>NC_000002.12:6676666-6979696 GCF_000001405.40 Homo sapiens | reverse complement strand
CCACATTCTTTTCATGTACACATCACCCTGGAGGCTTCTGTGGAGCCTGGAAGGCTCATTCATAAACAATAACTTCTGGTCCCCCACCAAAGATGTAATTGCTAATCTGATTGTTTCACCTTTCGAAATACTAAAGAGGCCACCCTCAGGAAAAAAAAAAAAGCTAATGATTTCTTTTAACTTTTCACACCTGAGAAGAATGTCTGTTTCATCACAGAGTCTTCTAGGTATTAAACAGGTCTTTGGTTTAACAATGGCAATGACAGACCATTTAGTTGGCTAGGATGCAGAGATAAATCCAGTGCTCAACTTCCCCAATCATAATCACACAGAAGGCACCTCTGCCTCCCTCACAGCCAGTGCTGGAGACTGCCTGTCCTAATAACCAGGAAAAAAAATATCTCATCTCATCTGCATCTCCCACCCTCCCTGTGAGGAAGTCCACGTGATCCCTACAGCCTTGGCCAAGACTGAAGACCACAGGCTCAGGGTCAACCCACAGCAGCGCCTCCCACTCATTCAGAAGAGACATCTCTGTCCAACATCCCTCAGATCCACAAGGCTGAGCCCCTATCCCAGCCCCTCGCCCACTATTCTAGAACTTAGACTCCAATAGGCACTCAGGAAACACACAAGGCTGCTCCTGTCTCTCTACTTTCTGACCCTGGCTGCAGAGACCACCAAGTGCAGATGAGCTCATGAGACAGAGAGGCAGCCCAGAAGTTGGGCAGAGATACGTGGACCCTTCATGCCACCCTTTCTTCTGGATGCCAATCCTCACCCATCCAGTGCTCCATCCCTTTGCTGGACAACAATGGGAAACTCTGTTAGCTATAAAAACAAACCACAGAACTTACTCAGTTCTGACATGGTGGTGATGATCCCCACAGGTGCAGAAAGAGAGCTCTCTTCTAAAGAGAATATTCACAAAGAGAGAAGGAAAGCCTCCAAACAGACAGGGTCCAGGCTCAGACTGCAGAACCAGCCTACTTGTTTCCTGAGCATTCAGCTTGGTTCTGAGTCCAACCTCGAGGGACTTGAACATGATCACATAAACTGATGCAACCTTTCCTGGAAGGAAACAGAGATGTCAACTTCAAATTATTCCCAAGAAAACCCCGGCAACCTGGGAAGAGTCTTCAAGGCGGGGAACGTTCCTGCTGGGAATACCCACAATAACACAAGTCTGTGTGGAGTAATTATTCCCAGCCCCACGTTCGAACTTGGGTTTTTACCCCTGGAACCTTTATAAGGTGTCCCTGAGCTTGGAGGCACCAGTCACAAAGAAAAGACATGGGCTGTCTAGAAGTCTGTTCCCAGGAAGGATCTTGTTGAAATGATAATGGGCCTAATGGGACTATGTGCTGTTAAGAGAGTACAAGTCCTTGGTCACTTGAGCATCATTAATATAGAATTACAGCACCAAAAACAATAGAACCCACCATATCCAACCATGTTTTCCACATTCACAGGCCATCATAGGCCTCTGACACATAAAGTCCTGTTAGGAGCTTCCTGTCATTCCAGAAAGAAGTCCACGTCCTCCAGAGCTATGCAGGACCACAGACACCTTTACCTCACGAGGGTGCCCACACCTCCTCTCCTCTCCTGGTCTACTAGCCCCTGTTGAGGATGAGGAGTGAGGCTGTGATGCAGTTCTATGGGTTCCCCAAGCTGACCACATACCCACCAAGGACACTATTTCACAAGACGTCTCCCAGATGGAAACTTCCAGTGACTCCAGGGTGATGTATCTTAAAGGCAAACTCCCCAACAGCTCCCCCCGACACTCACTACCATCTATGCTTTCATTTTCTCCTTAAAACAATAGGCTTAATACTGTCTACTGTGTAACTTATTTCTCTCCTTTATGTTCTTTTTGTCTCTCCAGAATAGACACCCCAATGAGGGCAGTAGTTTTTATTTGCTGGGTTCACTATTCTATCCCAAGAATTTATAACAGTGCAAGCATAGAGGAAGTGCTCCATAAAAAATTGGTCAGTAAAGTTTAATGGACACTCTAAAGCTCGCTGCCTGGGAGAAAGCTCCTGTAACAGCAATAAAAGGTTTACCGCTTCTCCTGCACCAGAAGTTTCCCAGTAACAGAGATCATTTTATGCCCATATAATATCAACTATTTGGTATAATGTACTACACGTAGAAAGTAAATATTTACTGAGTAGTGACTCAATAACCGCTAGTAATGAGGTGCGATCCTCTCTGCAGTGAAATTAAAATGTGCATTAAACACTGAATACTGATGCTCAGTGTTGATTTGATCCCAATGAATTGATGTTACGATGTTCAAAAGAACCATGTCCAGTTGTCTGTGCTTTCGTGTCATTAACTCAAAAGGCATACGCAACTTTCCCTTCCTGGGAACAAGGAGGCCTGGCTTCCAGCCCTGGGCCTGCCTCCTGCCAGCCCTGGGATCTTGGCACATCTCCTAAGCTCTCTGCATCCTGCTTTACTCATGTGGAGAACGACAGGGCTTATTTTCCACCTATAAAATCAACTGAACATTTAAAAAATTGTAATAACTTGGTTATAGTCTTAGAGAAAGCAATAAACATGGCTAATGGTAACATACAATGAACTAACACTTTTGAGAGGCAATGCGTAATATTTATCAAGGAACTTAAATTTTTTTAATCCTTTGATCAAGAAGCCCAATTTCTGGGAATTTCATCCATTGAACAAATAATTGCAGGCATGAAAATGTGGATTACAGCATTGTCTGTAATATTAAAAAGCTGCAAGTGCATGAATATAATATTTTCAAAGGCGTATCAGACCAGTTTTTTTAAAAAAAGAAGAATATGTATTATAGAATGACATTTTGCAGGATTAACCAATAGCCTTTTGGTATAATTTTGGTAGGTGAAAAGTAAGCATAAACCCCATCTGTTCATTATGATGGTACAACAGACAAAGGAAAGGGTAGTACATACTCACACAAAATCATTTCTTATGAGAGTGAGGAGTAACTGTTTTTCTTTGTGCAATATTCATATTATATATAAAGTTTATATATGAAATGTATATATAATAAATTTATATATATGAAATGTATATATGACATATATCATTATATATGAAATTTATATAGTTTTATATATATGAAATTCATATATATATAAATTTCAAAACCTTCTGCAAACCAAAGAAAGTTACAATAAATAACAAAACGAAAAACATTGCAAAATGTATCCCAAAGAGTTATTCTCCTTAATACATACATAACTTTATAAATTGAGAAGTAAAAGAGCAACAATTGAATAAAAAACGATCAAGGAACGAGATAAAATTCACAGGAAAAGAAAAACGGCCCTCAAACAAACACAATTATAAGAAGAGAAATTCACTCTTACTATATCAAGATGCCATTCCCCAACTATCAAGTTGGCAAAAATTCAAATATTTCGCAAACCCTGTGGGGGAGGCTGTAGGTCAACCATTACTCACACACCTTACTGGCTGGAGTTCAAAATGATATAACACATGAAATGGGGAAAATGTCAATATATCTACCAAAGATTTACTACATGTACCCACTGACCTAGTAATCCCACTTCCAGTCATGTGCCCAGTGGAGGAAGTTAGTCACTGGGGTCTTGTTTGTAATACCAGAAGACTGGGAATAACTCAAGTAGCAGGCTGTGGACTAAACCATGGAAGGTCTGCACAATGGAATACTGTGCCGCTGAAGAAAGGATGAAAAAGCCTTCTATCCATTCAAATGGAAAGATCTGCAAAATGTGTTAAGTGAAAACAGCAAAGCATAGAACAGCATATATCCTACGATAAACTTTGTGTACTTATTTGTATTCACATAAACACTGCATGGATATCCAAGATTCTTTCATTTTTTGAGACAGGGTCTCGCTCTGTCACCCAGGCTAGAGTGCTGTGGTGCAATCTTGGCTCACTGCAGCACTGTCCTCCTGGGCTCAGGTGATCCTCCCACCTCAGCCTCCCAAGTAGCTGGGACCACAGGCCTGTGCCACAACCACACCTGACTAATTTTTGCATTTTTTGCAGAGATGGGCTTTCAACTTGTTGCCCAGGCTGGTCTTAAACTCCTGATCTCAAGCAATGTGCCTGCCTCAGCCTCCCAAAGTCCTGGGATTACAGACATCAGCCACTGCATCTGGCCGAATATCCAAGATTTTCATTGAAGGAGTTACTTAACATGGCGAGGAGGGCTGGGCAGTGGAGAGAATGAGCAGGCACAGGTGGCAGTTGGATTCTCAATATATACCTTTAAAGAAGTTTGAGTGTGAATCACAGGCTGAAAGGGTTTGGTTCTGTGTCCCCCACCCAAATCTCATCTTGTAGCTCCCATAATTCTCACATGTTGTGGGAAGGACCCGGTGGGAAGCATGGGGGTAGGTCTTTCCCGTGCTGTTCTTGTGATAGTGAATGGGTCTCACGACATCTGATGGTTTTACAAACGGGAATTTCCCTGCACAAGTTCTCTTCTGTTGTCTGCCACCATGTGAGATGTGCCTTTCGTAGTCCTCTGTCATGATTGTGAGGCCTCCCCAGGCACATGGAAATGTCAGTCCAATTAAACCTATCTTTTGTAAGTTTCTCAGTCTTGGGTATGTCTTTATTAGCAGCATGAAAATGGACTAATACACATGAATATTTAAAAATCACAAAGATTTTAATAAAAATAAAAGCCATTATAATTATTCAGAATAAAAAGATGGTCTCTTAACTTCTTTTCCGGTTATAACCAAGCAATCATGCCTACTCATTCTATACATCTATTTGGCTACTCAAAGAAGGTTAGGAAATGTATTTTAGTATTGTATAAATTACCAAAAAAATTCCAAATAATATTTTAATTAATTTTTTGTCTCTGAGCTAACTCGGAGTTCCAAAAATGTCAGCATATGTCAGCTCCCCTACATGTCTCTTCTTAATTTAAAACCTGAAATGTATTTTATTGTCAAAAAATGCAACACCCTTGATGCACCTGCCTGTCAAGAGCTAAGAGTTAAACAAGGTTGGTCAGCTCACGGCAATGTGAATGTAAGACTTACTTTCACAATAATTAAGTAAAGTCTGACTTACTTTCACAGTGCCAGCCTTTCAGGGAGGCTTGTCTTTTTCCCATAAGAAAAAAAAAAAGCAGTGTTAATTCAAACAAGAATTATGCACTAATAATAGCTAACATGTTTTAAGATCTTACTAGGTGCACCAACTTATAAGCCACTTAATCTTACAATAGCTTAGTGAGGTAGTATTATTATCTCCCATTTGGTACAAGGAGACTGGGGCACACCAAGGTTAAGAAGCTTGTTGAATATCACACCACCACGGACACGGCAACGGCAGATGGATCTCGGCAGTCTGCAACCAGCCCCATGCTCTGAACCACAATGCTGTATTTAATTATTTTCTGAAAACTAGAATGCATGTGGCACGATGGTCATAAGGCAGCCATAATCTTGACAATGTGCAGAATCATGCTACAACTGCCATTCTCCTTTCTTGAGAAATCAATACTATTCAGCACTCCTGGAGAGCAGGTAAGTCTGTAACTTCCACCCTCCCACTTTACAGGCTGCGAACTAGGTGGGGCTGGTAAATGACGAATCTAAGATGAATTAATGAGCATGAGCCATAGCCTAAAAATCTAGATCCTCCAGAAGTCTCACTTACTCTTAATTTCCACATCTTTCCTTCTGTGGTGAACAATGTGCTATCCTGAAGTCCAGTAACAGTGTGGACCAGAGACTGGCAAAGTCTTCCTGCTAAGAGCAAGATGGAAAATATTTCAGGCTTTGTGGATCATGGGGTCTCTGTAGAAAAGACCTCTCTGATGCTGGAGCACGAAGCAGCCAGAGACGGCACGTAAGCCAACGGGCATGGCCGTGTGCCCGTGAAGCCTTATTTATGAAAACAGGCAGCAGGCTGGATTTGGCCCATGGACCATATGCTGACCCCTATGGTGGGTACTGATGATTTTCTAGGGGTGGTGAAAATCCGTATCACCATTCCAATCTTCTCCTTTCTCTAGTAAATATTGGAACAAAGTTAATTTTCCTAAAATTCCATTTCCACTCAAAAGACTTAGGCCTGATGTGAAGCCCTTTCCCAACCTCATCCTCACTGGCCTATCTTCCTGCAGCCAGTGTGCACCGTGCTGCCAGGCTGGCCTTCTGCAGAGATGCCCGCCCTGTACTGTGAAGTGACCAGGAGGACCTGCTACCCGGGCCACCTTCCATCAGCATTTAATCTGCGTGTTTGATGGCAATACGAGGGCCTTACATGCCGATATACACAGGAGAAATGGAGGCAGTACAATAAAATTAACCCAACTATCTGTGGTTAAACAGTTAATGACAATTTTAGGATAAGCACCTAAGTCTCTTTATCCAAAGATCCTAAGACACCACGTGAGTCTAATATTAGACACAACATCCTATACTGAAAAGTGTGCATCTTCTGGGATCAGAAGCCACTGAGTTTGAACCCCAGCTCGGACACTCAACCACGTAGGCAAATCGCCAACACTTAACACTAGCTCCAGTTACTAAGGCACCATCTGAACCTGCATTAGTTGTATATTGCCTCATTTAATCCCTTCAGTAAACTGTGAAGCAGGCATATTCATCCCCATTTCATAGATAAGAAAATAGAGGCTTTAAAGTTCCCCAACTTGTCCAACGTCACAAAGTTAGTAAATGTCAAGAGCCTAGCTTCAAACAGAGTCAACCTGGCTCCAGAATCCTACTCTTCAAACCATAAACGTGACCATCTCTTGGGCTTCACTGGTGCTGGTGTCTACCATTATTATAACTATTACCCCCACTGTTAGAGGGCATGCACCTTTCTAGCAAAGAATTAAACTCTTCCCTGCGGATCTTCTGCTTTGCCAGATGCAAGCCTCTGTAGGTCCTTTTCTCTGGGAGTTTGGGCCTGGACGTGGCTCAGGAACAGAACCGCAGTCCTTGGACTCCTTGGGATGCACTGCACCCCCAGGGTGGAACACAACCCTGAGACACAGCTGGCAGCCTTGTTAGCTATGGTCCTGCGAAACATGTGTACGAAACAGTAAATCTCTAAGGTAAGATGGTTTATGTGCCAGAGAGGCCTGGAAGAGAGGGAACCAAAAAAGGAAAAGGATTGTCAAGGGGAATCTTCCAATCCCACAGCCCCACTCCAAGAAACAGCAATTAGCTCAAGGAACAAACCCCCCGGGGCTATTTCCGTTCCACCCAATCCACCTGAAAAATTATTCTAAAAAGGAAAAAATAAGTGATAAACACACGAAGCCATGTGCAGTTAAAGAGGGTAAGTGGGGGTTAGCATAAGAAGTTATATAATCTCCCTTTTGTAGCTAGGAGGAAAGTTATCTCCCAAAGTTTGACAGTTGAACAAAGAAGTACAGCAGCATCTCAGACTGTCACTCAATCTTGCTGCAGACCTGCCTGGCAAATGACTGAGTGTGTGCCCACAATTCAAACCTGGAATGAGGAGGAGGGAAAGAAGAGGAGGCAGACCAGTTAAGCCTAGAATCCACTCTGCTGTTTGCTGTTGCTCTGGCTTCAAGGGAAATGGGTGGGTTTAGGTGGCTTCAGCTTGATTTGAAGTTACTTGTATAAGTTTGTGGGCTGGATCGGAACCCTGGGGGGAGACAGTAATTCCTCCCCAGGGGCCTATGTGAGAAGAAATGGGACTCCCCTTCCAAGGATCTCCATTCATGAACCAATCTGCAATTCCCCCTTTTTGCAAACTATTAAGAAAAGACTAGAAAGGAAACTGCATTAGGTTCAAAAGAACAAAATCAGGAATCTAGAAATAAACATTGTATACTATCTTATCCCACAGTAGAGAAATATCCCAGGTCCCACTGAAAAGCAGAGAAGCAGGCTTAGGTCACTGGAAACTGGGAGTTGAATCCATGCCAAAAACAAAATGGTCAGAACTAGTGAGAGCCCAGGGAGTCCCTTTGTCCAAGACTTCATCTGATGTCACTCAGATACATGGCACATCAGAGGACAGGATTCCAAGGCCCAGGTAAGCAGTGCTGCCGCTCCCCATACACGTGCCAGAGCTGTCTGTGTCTAGAATAACTGATTGCCCCATGTTAGCCAGTTCCACACAGCTGAAGACTGCAAAAGTGAAAGGTTAAGGAAAAATCTCTCATTGATCCTGAAACTGCAGCATGCTCTCTACCAGACCCCACCTCAAAATGCAATTTGTTATTCAGTCTTAACTCACCCATGACCTGGTTTGCTCCATATTTTAGTTTTGCAACATTTAATATCCTTCTGGCAGATATGCTGAAGAAGACTGGAATCACCACGTATACTAGACAGCCTGATCACTGGGACCCCACACCCTGGCCATCCTTACCATCCCTACCGGGGCTCCCAGTCAAAAGAAGGTAGGCCCACTCAAGGAACCAGACAACTGAAGGAATATTAAAGCAGGCAGCACACCCGTCCCAAGAGGCCTGGGCAAGACTCCCCAGCCAGAGGTTACTGTCCAACCAGCTGGAGCTCCTGCAACAAGGACAAGGCCAAAGAACAATAGGAAACCCAGTAACCACACACCACAAAGTAAAATGACACAGTCACTGAGTATTTCTGTTTTTCTATACTTGCCAGTTATTTTACAAAGTGTATGTTACACTTTGCAAAAAGAAAAACAAGTAAGAAAAATGTGTCAAATAAGGAAAGCAAGGTAAAGACGAGTGATTTTAGTGCACAAAATTCATATTCTCAAAGTTTAGTTTTGCACATGACTTTGTGCACTAAATTTTATGCAGGCCATGCCTTGGAGGCAACAAATTTGATTCAAAACTTCAAACAGGAATGAGGGCTGCAGGAGGAAGGACTAGGCCACTGGAGAAGCCATCAGATGGTGAGAATAATGCAGTCCTGTGCCTTGTGCAGAAAGCAGGTGCAAGTCACTGCCTGGTGAAGCTGGTGGCCGAGGGTGTGGACACTGGGACAGACCCTGGGCTCATTGTCCACCACAGCCTCTGCTCTCTGAAGGGACCTGGGCAAGTTCCTCCCTCTCCAGGCCTCAGTTTTCTCCTGTATAAAATGAGGAAAATGGTACCAGTTGAATAGCCCTCATCCAAAATGCTTGGGACAGAAGTGTTTTGGATTTTGAAGTAGTTGCATATACCTGATGAGATATCTTGGGGATGGGACGTGTATTCGTCTGTTTTCATGCTGCTCATAAAGACATACCAGAGACTGGGCAATTTACAAAAGAAAGAGGTTTATTGGACTTACAGTTCCACATGGCTGGGGAGGCTTCGCAATCATGGTGAAAGGCAAGGAGGACCAACTCACATTGTACGTGGATGGCAGCAGGCAAAGAGAGAGAGGGCTTGTGCAGGGAAACTCCTGTTTTTAAAACCATCAGATCTCATGAGACCCACTGACTTTCACGATAACAGCATGGGAAAGACCCGCCCCCATGATTCAATCATCTTCCACTGGGTCCTTCCTACAACACATGGGAATTATGGGAGCTACAAGATGAGATTTGGGTGAGGACACAAAGCCAAACCATATCAGGACCCAAGTTTAAACATGAAATTCACTTTTGCTCCATATACACCTTATACCCACATAGCCTGAAGGTATAATTTTATAAAAGATTTGGCCAGGCGCGGTGGCTTACGCCTGTAATCCCAGCACTTTGGGAGGCTGAGGCAGGTGGATCACAAGGTCAGGAGATCGAGACCATCCTGGCTAACATGGTGAAACCCCGTCTCTACTAAAAATACAAAAATTAGCCGGGCGTGGCAGTGTGCGCCTGTAGTCCCAGCTGCTGGGGAGGCTGAGGCAGGAGAATGATGTGAACCCGGGAAGCAGAGTTTGCAGTGAGCCGAGATCATGCCACTGCACTCCAGCCTAGGCGACACAGCGAGACTGTCTGAAACAAACAAACAAACAAAAAGATTTGTAACAATTTTGTGCATGAAAGGAAGACTGACTGTATTTTGCCTGCAATCCGTCACTTGAGGTCAAATATGAATGTTTTCACCTGTGGCATTGTCAGCACTCAACGTTTCATACTCTGCAGTATTTCAGATTTTGGAATTTTTGGTTTAAGAATGCTCAGCCTGTACTTTTATTAAAGTTTCCTGGGGCTGCAGTGACAAACACCACAGACTGAGTGGCTCCAATAACAGAAATGTATTTTCTCACACTTCTGGAAGATGCAGGAGCATGAGCAGGGTGTGGGCAGGGTCAGTTCCTTCTGAGGCTGGGAGGAAGGATCTGCTCCAGGCCCCTCTCCCTGGCTTGTCGGTGGCCGTCTTCTCTTTATATCATCTTCCTTCTATGTGTATCTCTGTCTCCCAGTTTCCCCTTCTTATACGGACACCAGTCATCCTGGGTTAGGGCCTACCTCAATGACCTAATTTAAACTTGATTACCACTGTAAAGGCCCTCCCTCCAAATAAGGTCACACTCTGATGTACTGGGAGTTAGGATTCCAACATACAAATTTTAAGGGGATACAGTTAAGCCTATAACACCATTTAGAATAATGAGGATTAAATAAGTTAACAGATGTGGCACCCTACTAACAAGGCCTGTAATGGCATTGATGCACTACAGGAATGGCCATCATTATTGTCATCACTACTGATATTTAGCCCCAAGGATGGGGTATTACCTAACCTATTGGCTATAGCCCTGGACCAAGAGGCGGTATACCAGGGTGCACCCTGAGACCACATGCTGCGCTCTTGAGGTGCGGCTCTGAGCCCGAGACCTCATCTGACCAGCAGGAACCCCCATATTTCACCAGCCTCTCACTGCCACTGCAGGGACTCCATGGGACAGCCTGAACACACAACACCTGAGAACACCGTGGGCTCTGACCACCAGTCATGCTTGAGGAGGATGATGCCAAGAGACACTGGCAATGCCCTCGCCAAGTTCACAGTGCCTGCTTTGCCCTGAAGAAGAGTTGATGCGTTTTTCAAGACACTGTGGCTAAATTTGTAAAAAAAAAAACACATTGACAGGTAATTCTGGGTGTTATTTTATATGGTAGGAGAAAAGGATTTGTTTTCTCAAATGTGTTTGTTTCTTGTGATGAGAATAGACTGATCCCAGTAGGGGGAGCAAAGCTCTTTTCAAGACCAGGCGATGGGCCAGCAGGCATAGGCCCCCAGGACTGCTGCAGCCACAAGAACACATTTCAATTACTGGAGCCGTGTTCATGTTCCCAGAATAAATCAGTGGTTTGTCCCAGCTGAGGAGGTGAAGAGCCACTGGCAAAGCCAGCTGCACCCACTAGGAGTCTGTTCTAACCTTGCCTGCTCTGGGCCCGAAGTGTTCACTGTTCCCCTCCTTCAACCAAAATAATAGAAGAAAGTACTGTGCCCACGTATTTTAACTTGCAACTCATCCTGCAGGATATTCTGTTTCTGTACCTTCAAATGCAAATACGGAACACCAGAAGAGTTTAGAACATACCTCCCCTAGCCTTCTCAAGGGTGGCCCAGAGAAGAGAAGGTCCTTGAGGAAGGATCAGCAAGGACAGGGTGGCTGCCCACACTGGGCTGTTTTACGTGATACCATTCTGGGACTAATGAGCAGAAGAGACATACCATTCAAAAGCAATTGACGCCAAATCCCATAGAATTAAGAATCCTTTGAAGAGGACACCACTTCCCCTACTCCATAGATATCAACAACTCATTACACGCAGTGACCCGTTTCTGAAAAAAAACACTGTTCCTTAAAATGCTAACAGAAGGTCCACTGAAACAGGAGTTCCAAAGTCAAGTAGCTTAGTGCTTTGGGTTTGCAAGGATGTTCATGAACTTTTAATTCATTTGATATTTCCAGCGAGCTTTTGAGTTTTCCCTCATTTTACACATTAAAAAAAAAGGAGTCTATGGAAGTATCTTAATTTGGCTTCCCCAAGAGCAGAGCCTGAGACAATGATTCCTATGCAAGTGATTTATTTAGTAGGTGAGTTTCTTGAGCCAAGGAAACAGTTGTAGATGTGAAGAAGTGAATGAAGTACAAGTGAAGGATTCACCACCGCAGTCACTACTGTTAATGGATGCTTAATCCCATGGAGGACTCAGACAGTCACTGTCACACCCCTGCCTCAGTTACCCAGAAGTAGGGAGCAGCAGCTGAGATCTACCAACTCTGTCTCCCAAGACTGGGGGCTGCTCCAGGGCAGGGTGCCACAGGGCGAGGCTGAGGGGCTCCTCAAAGTCCCCATGCAGAAAGGGGCAAGGGTGGGGCACAATGGGATACTAACAAGACCCTGGGCCGGTTCCCTTCACCCTCATCCTCTTCCCCCATAACACTGGTGCTCACACGCCCCAAGGGAAGTTTTCTGTAGCAGACGACAAACGAACTACGTCTTCTGTAGATGAAGAATTACATGTTTCACATAACATTTTCAAAGCTTGATTTATAGTAATTTGTCAGAATAAACTCTCATTGGAGGAAGAATGACCTACATGCATAGTGATGGGTAAAGTTCATTATCACACATGTACGAACTGATAAGAACCTTGACTCGGCGGGTGACCATGGGAAACTGGAGAAGCAAAGGCTTGCTGGGAGAGTCACGGAAAGGGAGAACATCATACAGGCATATGGGGGATGGTATGTGGGGAGGAGACAAAGTTGTCTCCAAAATGGTTTGCGTCGATGGCTGTAAAAACTGACACCATGAACCAATGCACTAAAGCTAAAGCCAAGAGAGGAAGGTCAGTCGGGAAAAGAAGTCTGTACAGGGGAGAAGCATGGATCTTCAAGGATCAGGAGGGCTTCCGGGTGGAAGTGGCCAGGATATATATATAACCAGAGACCTGGCCACAGAAAATCCCCACCAGGAGTAACAGCAGCTCAAGAATCGCCTTCAGTGCACAAGCTTGTGCTGCTGCCCTGACTATGGACTTCCTAATTATCCTGTTCACAGAACACTCTGCTCAGTTATTATCCTATTAAAGTTGAAGTCGCTTCAGGACTCCTGAAAATAGCCCCTAAGTCACTCCCCTTCTCATGCCAATATTTACTGTATTTCAAAACGCACGACAGGAGGTTGTCATGGAAAAGGAACTTGGCTACTATTAACCTCTTAAAATATTCTTTTTATAGTGGGCTGCTTTAGACATTTTGGTGACTGGTGATTTCTCCAGGGGCAATTTATCCTTCTCCCCAAACCAACCTCAGAGCACAGACTTTTCAGGTTCTGGGAAGACCAAAGTGGGTGACGCTGACCACGGCTGTTTAGTCTTCGTGTTGCTGCTGTTTCTGCATCCTAGCTAGAAGGTGAAGAAAACATCCAACATTTGGAGAATAACTCAAACTTTAAAATATTCCAGTGTTTCTTTAGTCTTCGTGTTGCTACTGTTTCTGCATCCTAGCTAGAAGGTGAAGAAAACATCCAATATTTGGAGAATAACTCAAACTTTAAAATATTCCAGTGTTTCTTTAGTCTTCATGTTCCTGCTGTTTCTGCGTCCTAGCTAGAAGGTGAAAACATCCAACATTTGGAGAATAACTCAAATTTTAAAATATTCCGGTGTTTCTCTGGCCAATATTGTCATAATCATACTCACACAGTCTATTTAAACCACCATTTCTTCTTACTGTGAAATATATGGGCTAAGACTTTGAAGTACCTGCAAAGGTCGGGGCTAACAATTGTGGCTGAGTAAACAACTTCCCCAATGCTGAATGTGCAATTCTGGTATTTGTGTGTGTGTTGTGGGGGTGAGGAGCGGTCTTTTTTCCTTTTCTTTCTTTTTTAATGATACTAAACATTTAACTTCTTCAAACCTAAAATGCACATCCTGTTTAAAAACTGAAAGCTTAATAAGTGAAAACCCTGATAGGCAAATTTTCTGTCTCTTCACCAAATACAAACAGCATAGCAATCTAGTAGGTAAAAGAGAGATTTCCTTTTAAGATTATATAATTACACTTAATTACCAAAAGCAATTTTTATAAATCTCGTGCCTTTTTCCTTATTCACCTGGAAAGGATGGGGAAACAGCGTCACGGATGCCATCCTGAAGATGCAATCCTGTCCCGTTTCCCGAAGCTCTGCGCCACCACACGGGCCTGCAGCTCCACCCTTGCCACTGAGACAGAGTCACCGCCCCATCTTCCCGCTGTTTGCGCTTAGGTTTTGCATTATGCCTCAGGCTTAGAAAAGCTTCTCCCTCTAGAAGGCACTGGTCCCTTAAACTCCATAAAGGCCCTGAATATATAGACGTTTCTGTAATTGAGTAATTGACACAAAGTTGCTCTCCGTACACGGGAGGGGTCTGGTGCTGTAGGCCCACTCACCTAAGAGCTTCCACCTGCCTTCACATGTGTGGTGGGGGCCGCTCCCCACCTTGCAGGGCACCACTGCCTCCTATGACAGCCTCCGACACACCCTCCTCATGAGCTGAGATCGTGTCCTATTTCCCTATTTTCCCTCCAGGCCCAGAAAAGCCTTGCCTCGTCCCAGTGCATGTGTCTGCAAGGTTGTTTCACATTTCTTGTAAATATCCTCACAACAGGCCTGCCAGCTATGGTGGAGCAAACATTTGAAATTTGTTGAGTACACCTGTTTGTGGACAATTCCAAACAGGGCACCCCGCACACACACGCAGGCAGAACTCCTCTGTGTGCAGAAATCCTACTTGTATACCTAAACTCCTTGCTACTGTGTTGAGTGCAAACCCATGCTCCCTCTTTTTTTTATTTTTATTATTATTATACTTTAAGTTTTAGGGTACATGTGCACAATGCGCAGGTTAGTTACATATGTATACATGTTCCATGCTGGTGTGCTGCACCCATTAACTCGTCATTTAGCATTAGGTATATCTCCTAAAGCTATCCCTCCCCCTCCCCGACCCCACAACAGTCCCCAGAGTGTGATGTTCCCCTTCCTGTGTCCATGTGTTCTCATTTTTCAATTCCCACCTATGAGTGAGAATATGTGGTGTTTGGTTTTTTGTTCTTGCGATAGTTTACTGAGAATGATGATTTCCAATTTCATCCATGTCCCTACAAAGGACATGAACTCATCATTTTTTATGGCTGCGTAGTATTCCATGGTGTATATGTGCCACGTTTTCTTAATTCAGTCTATCATAGTTGGACATTTGGGTTGGTTCCAAGTCTTTGCTATTGTGAATAGTGCCACAATAAACATACGTGTGCATGTGTCTTTATAGCAGCATGATTTATAGCCCTTTGGGTATATACCCAGTAATGGGATGGCTGGGTCAAATGGTATTTCTAGTTCTAGATCCCTGAGGAATTGCCACACTGACTTCCACAAGGGTTGAACTAATTTACAGTCCCACCAACAATGTAAAAGTGTTCCTATTTCTCCACATCCTCTCCAGCACCTGTTGTTTCCTGACTTTTTAATGATTGCCATTCTAACTGGTGTGAGATGGTATCTCATTGTGGTTTTGATTTGCATTTCTCTGATGGCCAGTGATGATGAGTATTTTTTCATGTGTTTTTTGGCTGCATAAATGTCTTCAAAAAGTGGGCAAAGGACATGAACATGCTCCCTCTTTCAAAGAATGAAAATTCACATTGGAAGCCAACGTGTTCTCTTGCTGTGTTGTGTTTTTTTGTTTTCTGTTTTTTGTTTTTTTTTCCATCTCTGCTACCCTTGCCACAGTTTTTCTTTAACCTCATGCCTCTTTCCTGAGCCACATCATTACTTCCTTTACAGCTTTGCCTACCAGCTGCTGGAGTGGGCCAGGAGGGGAGTGAGGAAAATGCAAGGCCAGGTCGACCCATTCCCTGCACAGCTGCCAGAAGGATGGCTCTCAAATGCAAAGCCACTCCTGGGCATACAGTGTGTCCCACGCCTGCTTCTAGTTTGCAGCTGCCTGAGAGGAGGGACTACGTTAAATTCATTTTTGACGTCCCCAGCTCCTCACCCAATGACTGCACACCAAGGACACATGACTCGGAAACCCTGAGTTTTAACTCTAGATATGTAATTAACTAGCTAAAGACAGAGGAGAGAAGAAAGTGGAAAAGAGAGTGAGAGAGATAAGAAGGGAGGAGAAAAGGAAATTTGTTAAAACTACAGGGTTTGTTTGGGCCTCTTCTCTTGTAATAGTCTTTTGTTCGGTCATTTTTGGAAACAGACTTAGGTAAATGGCAACTAAGCATACCTCACACATCCAATTACACAGATTCATTCTGAGAAGAAGAAGGAGGCAAGAAAAGGTGGTTTAACTTAGAAAACCAAGTCACGAGGAATTTAATTGTGTGACAAGGAATGTCTACGAGCTCAGAAAGTGACATGATACTGAGAGAGGTTCATCAGTCCATTAAGGAACAGGATGGAGCCAACACAGAAGGTAAATCGGATCAGAATGTGTTGCATATTAACTTTCATGCCCCCCAAATCATTGGAGATTCACCTACCTCCAAACGGACACAAACATTTCAACCCAGAGACTCCTTGCTTGGCCCGTAAGGGTAAAAATCAAACATACATTTTCAGGTATTTAGTGTTCATGTTACCTGAGGACTCCTGATGTTACCTATGTTCCTGTCTGTTCAGGTCTCAGTCTCTCTCTGTGGAACAAGGCACGATTCAGAAAAGATGTCCTCCAATATCTCAAACATAGAAAGGTGGATCTCATGCATCAAATCACCACTTATAACTTAGCCTAATTCTAGTCCAAGTACGACTTCATCCTTGACCTCTGCTTCTCAGTGCTGAGGACAGTCCCCTTATTCATCCATCTTTTAAAATTATCAAAATGATCTTGTCATCTCCCTTCAACGATCAATCACAGTTCAAAGACCACCACAAATTCAACACTGGCATCATGATGGCATAAACCATGGAGACCAGCAAGGCTGGGCCAGTCATTAACTGAGGACCTTCTGTGCATGAATGCCTGTGCTCAGTAATGGAAAAGGTATTGCCCTGCCTCTGGAAGTTTATGCTGTGATGAATAAAATAAGACAAGTGCATAAATATCCAAGCAAAATAGAATGGGGAAGAACTAATGTTTTATTAATTTTCTTGTCTAAGTGTTAGAAGTTTTCCTTATTTCGGTGAATTTATCCATAATCTGATGAGATATTGGCTTCACAGATGAGGAAACCAGTGTTCAGTCAGAAGGCTAAATAGCACAAAGTTTTGATATGGGAGGTAGAAAGAAATTATGAGATCAAAAAGAGTCCTCGGCAGAGCTTCCCTTCTAACAAAAAGCAACCTCCCAAAATCATTTCTCTTGTAACAAAGAACAGCCTGAGAAATGGAGCTGCAAACATAAATAAGGAAGCCAGAAACTTCTATGGGGGATGCCAGCAGCTGCACCATAGAAAAGGGTGACCTGGGGGCCGGGCATGTCCAACATGGAGGCTCCATCTTCCCTTTTCTGTTACCACGTGTACAGTAATAAATAAAAGGGCAACATGGTGGAGCTCAGGCAGAGAACCCGCCTGCATAATAAATCATTAGGGTGGGGGCTACCAGAGATTTGTGCCCTATGCAAATGGCACACCTGGCATAACCAGTCTTTAGCTCCCTATGTAGACCAGGTATCATTCCCCACCAGCTTATCTATAAAACCCCCTGCATTTCACCGTGGATCCCACAACGCATTTTTCCAGGACCGCTCTCTGTAGCGGAGAGCTATTCTCTTTCTTTCACCTATTAAACTTCCACTGTCAACCTCACTCTTCGTATGTCCGTGTCCTTGTTCTCCCTGGCCATGAAACAACAAACCTCAGATATTACCCCAGACAACGAGGCTGTTTCAATTTCACATGTATTTAGTAAATGAGAGAGAGATTTTCAAATGCCAATCAAACACTGTAGCTAATACTACTTCCACAATACCACACACTGCCTAGGAATTCCAAGAAAACACAGCATTTCCAGGTGGCCAAGTCAGGAATACTTCATGGAAGAAGGGGTATTCATGCTGGGCTTTAAGGTTGGAGTGATGTTGTTATGAGTGAAAGAAATTCTAGGCAGAAGGACAAAAGAGGGATGGGTATTCAAAGTCATGTGCCAGACATGAAGGCATGGCCTCAAGGATGTCATCCACAGCAAGATCCTTGCATCGGAGCTTTCCTCTCTTAGTGTTCTCTTGCTCTTGAAATAAAATATAAATTATGTCCTTAGGATGCATGCATGTCTCATCTCTCCAAATACATTACTATCTCCTAAGGCTGGATCTGTATCAAATACTCTGGATCGCAGGGACTCCACTCACAGTGCCCTGGACACAGAAGGCACTCAGTGCAGGTCTGTAAAAGAGTAGTTCACATTCTAAGAGGGAAAAAAAAAATGTACCTTTATAGGAATTCAATCTGGAAAATAAAACGCCTCCACCCCTCAGAAAATAATTTTTTTTCCTGGTCATATTGTCGTAGCACATAATCATTATCATCATAAAGATTTATTATCATAAAGATAATCGCAACATGTTAAATGCCTATGAAGCAATAGACCTTTCTGTGATGCAGTAAGAAGTAACCAGAAACCCATGGACTGATTTAACATCAGACTTAAAAAAAGAAAAGCATGCATTATTCCTTTTCTAATTGCTAAATTATTATGTTTTAAAGAGAAATTACACTAAAAGCCATACAGAAAAAAAAAACCATGTAAGTACAAGAAAGACATCCAGAGGACCACGTTGCATTTCAAATAGCAAAGCAGATTTTTCTGAAAGCTTTCTTCACTACCAAACACACACACGTACACACACACGCACACACAATTGAAATTGGCATTATGCTGACCAATGACTTCATACAATCACTTCACTGCCAATTTCAAAAGTAAGCGCATGCCAGCACTTTCTTCAGCTCTTCCTTCATGCTGAAGGAAGTAAACAAACCACTTATGAGTGTGAATCCAGCAGAGAGCCTGAAACTGCCACAGACCTGCCTGTCTGCGGTGAAGGAGAAAAGAACTCTCATACCTCCACACCGGGGAACCCATGTATTTGCCAGGAACATTTCAGGTGTGGAAGCGCCTTGAGATTTACCTGGCATGACTTCCTCCCCTCACGGTGAGATGAAATACATGCCTGATCTACGCAGAGAGCAGGTCAGTGCTCTTCCACCTGAGTATCCTTCTCTCTACACACCAATACTTCCGAGTCGTGATTAATTTCTCCTTCAATTCAAGATGGTGTTATACTTCCCCGGTTGTGTGTTGTGACCATCACTTTCCAGAACACAACCTTGGCCACTCTCATTGCCTTTTTAAAAGAGTATCATCCAGGGGCCCAGGTGGACTCACCCCGACTCAAGTTCTCTAACAAAAGCCAAAGTCCCTTCATGGTATGCCTTTCAAATGTCAGAAGCCACCTTCAGCTGGGCTCATTTTTTAAAAAATAGGTGAGTAAGGCAGATTCTAAGAGTTGATCTGGGAACCTCAAAGGTTTTCACTCTGTTGCGAAGATTCCATGCCAAAGGCACAAGGGCCTATGATATACATCGTCCCTAGTCTACTCCGAGGGAAAATAAGGAAAAAGAAGAGGATTTTAGGGCTTCACTGAACAACACAGTTTACTTTTCCTCCACCCATGTTTCCCTTTAGTTTTCCAGTGGTCTCCATTGCCATGAAATATCCTCCTGGATACTAGGGGCAAGACATTCATTTATAACTCTTGGAATCACAGAATGTGAGTGCTGGAGGGTCTCCGGAATACAGGCCACAGAGAGGAAGTAACATGGAGCAGCACTGTATGATCTCCATATGAGGGCAGGGACAGGTAGCCCCTTGACTGAGATCAAAGTGCCTATTTGGTAGTAGACAAGTCCCGGGGAATCCAGGGGAATTGGGAACTTCACTTGCTGCTCCAGTGCTATGGTTTCAATGTTGGTTCCCTCTGGAACTCATGCTGAAACTTAATCCTCAATGAAACAGTATGGGGGGGGTGGTGATCTTTAAGAAATGACTGGGTCATAAGGCGTCTGCCCTCATGACCGGATTAATCCATTCACCGGTTATGGATGAACAGATTAATGGGTTATCATAGGAGTAGAACAGCTACCCTGAGAGTGAGTCTGTTATAGAAGCCACTTTGGTTTTCTTTCGTGTGCCCCTCATCCTGTGATGCCTTCTGCTGTGCTATGATGCCGCGTGAGGCCCCTCACCAACAGCCCACCCCATGAGGTCACCTGATCCCGGACTTCCCAGCCTCCAGGACTGTGAGAAATAAACTTCTTTTCTTTATATCACCCAGTCTCAGATACTCTATTACAGCGACAGAAAATGAACTAAGACATCCAACAGCAGCTCTCCTATCTGGATGTGCACACGCAATTGTACATCATGATCCCTGTTTTCCTAGTAATCTATTAAATAATCACACCAATGAGCCATGCTCCACTTTCACTTCCATCCCGCCTTTCAATCCCTCTGCTTCCTTTTTAAAGTCTCTGACTCCTGGCCATACCCCAATGTCCCACTGAGAGAACAAGTTGTGAAAGTTACAAGGCTTCATGAGACCCTGAGATCAGAACTCCCTGGAGTTGCAGACAAGCCAGGGCGCTTCTGATGTATCAGATCACCAGCCTCACCCCCAGTGCTGTGACTTGGCCACAGGGATGCAGAGGCCCTGTCCTCTCACTGAGGGAGTTTATTTGGAATGAGTCAATGAGGTGCTTCGCCAGGAGCATCACGTGTTCTGTGCTCTGAGGGCAGTAAGAGAGTGATCAGGGGAGCAAGCCCCGGAGAGCAGTAACTGGACGCCCACGCTGCACCTGCAAGATGATCTAATGCACCATTTAGGGAGTCACTGGGTAAAAGAGAAGCTTTTAGGGAGCCATTGGGTAAAAGAGAAGCTTTGGAATAGTGTCCAAGCTCCTTTCAGCAGGGCCCACTCCCAACCTTGATCTCTGCACAGCCTACCCCACTGCCACCTTGCAGGTGAGACACCAGGCCCATGTCCTCCTCTGCCTCCTCCTGCGGGATGCACAGAAGCAACTGTCTGATTGGGAAGGCAGCCAGCCTGGGACCCTCTGGGAAATAGATTACGGTCACGTGGACAGTCCCCCAGAATCATGAACACTGAACCTTCTTCAGCTTTGTACCTCAACGTCCCACACACTCCCACCGTGACATAGGAGAGAGGCTACTGAGTTAGCTCAAGGTGCTAGTCACAGCCCAACATTTGTAACTCCCAGAAGGAGCCAGCGCTCCACCAAGAACGAAAAAGTGGGCCACATGGGTTATTGCTCAAGGTCTATGCTGAGAGCACCATGAATCACTAAGACATCTGGCCCGAGAACTTTAATCAGCTGCTCTACCTAAAATGCAATATTCTGTTTTCCTCCCAAACTGGGTGGTCACCTGGGTGTCGGGGAGGAAAGCAAGGAAGGCTTGCCCTTGTCCGTGTGTCTGTTCTGTCTCTGGCACGGCAGGCTGCTGAGTTACTGGACTGTGTCCTTCAATCACTCCACTTTGCTTTCTGTCCCTTCACCAGCCCAGAGCAGAGCCCCGCAGAAGGGACTGCTGAGGCCAGGCAGAGTGGTGATCAAGTTCCACCTTCCAGGAAGAGACAGCACGCCCGGTGCCCCATGGTGGCTGCGCATGACAGCCTGGCTGCAGACTACTGTGTGCTTCCATCTGTCACCTTCCAATGCAATGTGACAGCAGCCCTCCGGCGATCCATCTGCTTCCCTGGAGCTCCATCCCGACTCCCCCACCCCATTCTGTCGTTGCCTAACTGGGCAAATCCAAGATTAGGCAGTCTCAGCTGCAGCCCCCAGAAGGAAAGCTAAGAGCCTCACACCAAGCTGCTAAAAAACAGACATGTTGAGATTGAGTGGTGAGAGGCGGGGAGCTAGTGATGGCCCACAGTCCCTGCAAGGCAATATAGAGTGCTAAGATTGGAAAAGGGGTAGGAGGAAACAAGGACATTTTCTTTTACTTAAAATAAAAGCATTTGCAAAGAGGTAGCTCTCAGAATATGCCTTTCAGTGTCCTCTAGGATCTCAGCAGAGGCCTAGAACCAGAGGGCTCATAAAGTCCAAGTATTTAGAGAGATTACAGTGTCATTCAATCCCAAAAGCACTTGTTGAGGGTCAGCTCTATGCAAAAGTGTGCAGAGTTGCTTGGAGGAAATAGAGATAAACCATGCGGGGTACCCATTCCCTGCCAATCCCACAGCAGCCTCTATGCAGTGAGCTCTCTGAGCCTGATGTGGTCAACGCCAAGGTGGGCATCAGGTAGACCAGTTTCCCTCTTAGTACGCACAACATCCAGCACTTACCCACACATAATCACATTCTTCCAGTCACACTTTGCACACACTTTTGCACAAATATAACACAAAAGGGAATTGTTTTAAAATACAGTTCCTTCATTCAGCTAATATTTACCAAGTGCCTTCTGACCTCTGAGCACTCTCAACACCGGAGCAGATGCCAGGCCCTCTACGCTGAGCTCAGAGCCCACATGTAGCGGGTAAAGCCCTACATGCAGGACAGACAGATACAGGATTCAACAGAGGCAAGCACGTGGGACAGAGAAGGGGTTTCTCAACGAGAAGGGCTCTCACGAAGAGCTTCCTGCAGACACTGGGCCAAGGGGAGGGAACAGCCAGTGAGAAACCATGCCACCAAAGGGCTGTCCAGGGCCACCAATTATTCCTCACATTCCAGTTGGAGTGTGCTGGGGGCCTAAGAGTAAATGAGGCTGCAGCCAGGCCAGGAGCTTCCTCACACGTTCAGGAAGAGTCCAGACTTTGCTCCTGATGCCCTGAGAACTACTGATGGAGTTTTCAACAGAGAGCATTTTAATATGCTTGTCATTTTCACATGATTTTCTACAGTCTGAGACAAGGAAAGCAGTCAGAACTTTGCTGCAGATAAGTAATAATTTGCAAGTGCCCTGCATATTTTTTGTAGCATATGTATTTGCTGAAAGCTTATCAGATAATGTATGAGGGAGTGGACTATAAACCACCAAGCCTCCCAGAAGCATGCAGAGTTGTTCTCACATTGAAGCTGAGCAGCGTCCCCGGATGCCACTAGATTAGAACAGGGTATCCCAACATCAGACCTGAGATTAACAGTAAGCCAAGCAAACAAAAATCTCGGTCTAAGATCCAAGAGACCCAGATTCAAGACCCAACTGCAAATTAAATTCATGAGACCTTGGACCATTCCATGGTGCCATAAAGCCTCAGTATCATCATCTGTGATTTGGGTTGGTGAGAACTGCCCTGCTACTCAAAGGGCTGTCATGGGGATCTATGCAACAACCTACAGAAATGACATCCAAAAAGATGTGTGGTGTACAGATGAGATTAGGGAGCTGAAAGCTGCTTCTTCTGGAGGCACCTCTGACTCTCTTGTTGGGCTACTTCACAACCATTTCAGGTACACGCCATGGGTACAGACGAAGGTGACTAGCCTCAGGAAGTTTACAGGAAAGTAAGTGGCTATAACTGTGCACCTTATCCCCCACCCCCCGAAAAAAAAACAGAAACAAGAAAAGAATTTGCTAGTCGGCAGCCAGGACTCCTGGGTGTCTGACACAATCCTCTATGAATCAGACAACTCCCTTAACATGTAATCTGGGCTATTTTAGAACCCCCAATAAGCTTTAAATGGGTTAGGAGGGATCACCTTATTTTTAAAGGTCCCAGAGGGCTTGAAGCCATGTTATAATATTTTTATAGCCTCTTTCAGAGTCAGGAGCTGTACGGATTTTGTACTCACTCTGAATTTAACTAGTACTTAAGTGTGCTGATTATAGCTGCAAACACACTTCTTGTTCCAGTGTGTGGTTGGAGAGGTGGACAGGGAAGAAGCTTTGGAAATTTACAGCACAGAAATAGCATGTGGTCTGTCTGCTTGAAAAGAATCAATCCCTCTGTGACAACATCTAGAAGACCAGTAAAGGGCCTGTAGCAAACAAAAGACAGCCATTAAAATGGGGCTTCTTGTCACCAAATCCCTGTTTTGGGACACTGGACAGGCTTTTCCAGTCCAGGAGACACCAACAAAGCCAGGAGCAGGCACGGTGCTAGGATGCAACAGACAGGGCAAGTCTGGCTGGAAAATTGGGGGTCATCCAAGGAAAACATCTAGACACAGTGATGATTGTAAAGGAAATAATTAAGAAAGAAAATGCACCAGACACTTCCTAATTGGCTTTGCTTGAAGGAGCAACTCTATTTAGTTGTGGAAATGAGCTGTGGATGGCAGGAGGGCCTGGAATGGGCTGAGAAGAATTGACTCGGTCTAGGCACTGGCCAGCCCTGGAATCCCCACGGGTCTCTGATCCCTCCTCTGTAATATGAAGGCCTTAAATGTAAAGGATGTTCTTGTGGGTTTCACAGAGGGGAACCACAGAGGGGAAGCCTTAGTTGATGGGGGTCACAGGGGCGCTAAACTTATTCCCATCTGAGCCTAAGCCGAATTTTATTATTTATTTTTCAGACATTAGGCTTCCATAAGACTTCCTCTGGAAAATGGATTACCACAAAACTACTCCCCAAATTTTGAAAATTCTGTACTGCATGATCCCTATGATTTCCTTTAAGTGTTCATATTTGCACACAACAGTGTTGCCTTAGAGTAAAACAATCAAAAGAAAAAACGTTTCTTATCTTATCCTAACAAGCCATGTCATTGTTCTACAGACACCCTAATAAACATGTTTCATGATGAAATCCTGATTTGTCTCCAAATTTCAAGTCACACAGAAAAAAATAGGTCAAAGAGGTGTCTATTTTAAAAATAACACTATCTTTTTAAAAACGGTAGTGTGTGGGTCACCTTATAAATGTTAATATATGTTTACTACAGAAAATAAGGTTTAAAACATTATAGAATGAAAATAATCTAGAATATCAACTTGACGACAGCTAAGTTTACCAGTGCTGTGTTCTTTCCACATTTGCAAAGTGTGTCACATGGCCCTGGACTTACACGCACGTAAGATCTCAGTCCTTTGTCTAGTTCACATGAATCATAAAATACTTTTTCTACACTGAAAATCTCTTGTGCCTACTTAATTGAAAATCTACATAAGTGTCATGAAAAACCTATCAGTGGAGAGTTCCCATCTTCTTTGATGCTCCATCCAAATGATGAAACAGGTTTTGAGCCAAGGGGCCACCCATGTCTTCAGCAGCAACAAAAATCAGTAATTGCAGACATCCACTTCCCTCATTATGATGAATTAGATTCTATCAAGACCCTTCCCAGCAGAAAATAACTAAAGCCCAGTTAAAACAGATTGAACTAAAAAACGAATAAGCATCGTAGCTTATAAACCTGTAAGTGGACTACAGAATTCTAAGGCTCTTAGGGTTTTTAGAAACTGAGAATTTAAGGCTTTCTTTTTTTTTACTTTCTGTGCACACAGGAAAATATCAGTGCTGTCTACTAAGAGAAGAGAAACAGAATGTATAACTTCCAAATTATAAAAGAAAAAAAGAAGTAATACTATAAAGAAACAAATATGCATTTAAAAAACAGAAAACGGCATAAAAGCATTTGAAGAAAAAAATCCAAATATATTAAAGTCATAAAAAATAAATGGATTAAGCTTGATAGCCAAGAAATGGTAAAATTAAATTTTAAAAACAGATAAATATACCTAAAAGTATAAGAAATTGGATAAATTAGAAGTCAAAGGATGGAGAAAAGTGATCAAGAAAAATGCCAACCAAAAGAAAGCTATCGACAAAACAGGCTTTAAAGAATAAAGCCTAACTAGAGAAAAAGAAGGTAATACATTATAAAAGTCTTAATTCATTAAGAATCCATAAATTTTAAGTTTGTATACAACAAATAACTTCAAAATATATAAAGCAAAAATGATACTTACTGAGAAAAATGCCAAGTACACCAACGCACTGAGAAAACTCATTATATATGACTTTAAAATGGCAAACATGCAAAACTAGTGAAAATGTAGAAAATATGAAAGGTACTGCAAACAATCTTGATGTAATAGATTGTAAAAACCCAGAACCAATAAACTGGGAATTCACAGTTTTCTCAAAAAGACACAGAACATTCACAAAAGCTGACATTATACTGGGACATAAAGAACAACTCAGCAGACCATGTGTTCTGACCTCAATGCAATTAAGATAGATATTGATAATAAAAAGATCCCACACGTTGGAAAATTTTGAAAGACTTATCAGTAACTCATGGGTTATAGAAAAATATGTAATTTTAAAAATATGTAGAACTAAACATTAATGAGAATATTATTTAAGAAAACTTATGAGATGCCATTAAAGCAGTACTGAGAAGAAAATTTTTTTTGAGACGCAGTTTTGCTCTTGTTTCCCAGACTGCAATGCAGTGGCACGATCTTGGCTCACTGCAACCTCCACCTCCTGGGTTCAAGCAATTCTCCTGCCTCAGCCTCCCGAGTAGCTGGGATTACAGGCGCCCGCCACCATGCCGCTCTAATTTTTGTATTTTTTTAGAAGACACGGAGTTTCACCATGTTGGCCAGGCTGGTCTCAAGCTCCTGACCTCAGGTGATCCACCGGCTTCAGCCTCCCAAAGTGCTGGGATTACCGGTGTGAGCCACTGCGTCCAGCCCTGAAAAGAAAATTCATAATCTTAAATGCTTATATTTTAAAAAGAGGGCTAAAAATTATTGAGCTGTTTTTAGCTGAAAAAGTAAGAAAAGCAACTATAGCCCAAAATCAAAGAGAGCAAAAGAAGACCTGTAACAAACAAAAACAAAAATAAATAAAACACAAAGTAAAGTTACAATACAGAGGGTCAACAAAGTCAAGAGTGTTTTTCTTTGAAAATCATAATAAATGCACAATCTGGCAGGTTGGTTGAGGAAGAAAAAAGAACAATTGTATTGTAATAAATAATAGAAGAGATTTAAAAATCTGTGAATAATTTTATGCGAATTAAATTGAAAAGCAGGGAATTATGAACACATGCCTAAAAGAATACAACTTAACCTGCATACCATAGTAAGACTCCAGCTCTAAAACATATATATGTGTGTGTATATGTATATATAAAATAGAAATACACATCTGGATTCTATTTGCTCATTTTTAAATTTTTTCTTAAGTTATATATATAAATATATGTTAACATACTTTTTTATATATAACATATATATATACATAAAGCTTAACAAAACTGACTCAAGAAGAAATGAGTGCAAATAATTTTACAAACTTTGAAAAAAATTGATTAGAAATCTTCCTACAATGAAATCACTAGGTCTCGTTTTCAGTTGAGTACTACCAAAATTTCAAGAGCAGATAATATAAATCGTACACAAAATCTTCTGGTAAATTGGGAAAAACAGGAAAAAAAAAAAACCCTCCCTCTTCAATCAGACAAAAGCAGTTAAGGAAAGAAAAAATATAGGCCAAACTCTCTCATGAGTAAAGAAGCAAAAATTTAAAACAAAATATGGGCAAATAGAATCCAGCTGTGTGTCAGATGTGTATTTAAACAAGCTAGATTTCTCTTAGAAGTATAAGAGAATTTAACATTGGAATATATTGTAAGCGTAACAGAACATAAAAAAACAGTGAGAACCATATGGTCCTCTTAATAGATGCAGAACAGGCCTTTGATAAAATTCAACATGTATTTATGATTAAAAACATAAAATAAAAGTCGACAAATCAGAAACACAAGGTAATTTCCTTAACCTAATGACATTTAGAAAAATATGGCGGCAAACGTATTTTTAATTAAATTAGAACATTCCCTATAAAACTCAGGCTGGAGGAAAGGATGTCTGCTATTACTTCAATTCAATATTGTACCTTGGGCTCTAATGCAAAAAAGAAAGCAATCACAAGAAAGAGAAACTATAAGAATTGAAAATGAATAAACAGTAATTTCATTATTTAAAAATACAGTATATGTACAAGAATCTATAGACAAAATATTAAGAATACCAAAGGTTTGGTAAAGTGACTAGATGCAAGATCAATATTAAAAAGGTAATTACATTTATACATTCCAGCAAAGATTCCATTTCCAAGGGTATAAAAGAAACTAAGGTACTAGGAGCACATTCAACAAAAGATAAGTAAGGTGTATCTAGAGAAAAGTAGAAAACATAGAAATTTCAGACATAAATACATGGATAGTGATACGATGTTCATGGATGAGAAAGTCAATATCCCAGAATATGCCAATTCTTTCTAAATTGACCTACAGAGTTAATGCAATCCAAGCAACTTCCCAACAAGGGTTTGCTGCTGTTGTTAATGGTGCTATTAGTTCATAAACTAACTCTAAAATCTCTATAGAGGGCAGAGGACCAGGTATAGCCAAACACCACCAAATAAGAGGGAAAAGGTTGGAAGCCAAGTGCCAAAACTTACTAGAGAGCTGGAGTCATTAAGAGCAGGCTGCATTGACACAGAGGTGGGCAACCTAACCAAGTTAATAAAGGAGACAGAGAAAAAAAAAAAAACATGAATACATGGAAACATGACACATAACAGAGTGTGCATTTCAGATAAATAGAGACAAAGGGCCATTCAATAAATGTTACTACGTATTATTTTTCCTTATGAATAAAAACCACATTGGATTCCTCCATCACACACAAAAGTTAATTCTAAATACTTTTAAAACTATTAAATATAAGAGAGTGACTTATGACCTCAGAATACAGAAGAATATATTAAATATAAGGCCCTAATTATAAATGGGCAAGGCTGATATAGTCAGCATGTTAAAATCAAGAACTTCTAGTCATTAAAAAGATAACTTACAGAAAGTGAAAATGGATGACACAAACTGGGAGGTAATATTTTTAACACTTGAAACAAACAACAGTCTTCAGAATACAGGAAAATGAGTTCAAATCAATAAGAAAAATACAATCCAATAAAAAAACTAGACCAAAAATACGAGCAGTCATTTTACAGTGGACAAAACAGATGGTGATTAAACATGGGGAAAGTAGCTCAATATTACTGGTAGCTTAAATTCATCTTACCATTAATTTGGCAAAAATTAAGACACCTAATGCCAAGTGTTAGGATAAGAAAGGCATAAATTTTAAAGGAAACTCTTATTCACTGCTGATGGCAATGTGAATTAGTATGATCACACTTCAGAAATCATTACAACATTTTCTTGCAAACTTAATCATTAATTAGCTTTTATTTTTCAGGCCCAGCTGTGCTCTTCCTTGGTATATAATCAAGAAAAAAATTGCACTTATGGACCAGGTATTTAGGAACCAAGAATACTAACAGCAGACTGTTTTGTGACAGTAAAGATTGAAAATAACCCAAACATCCAATGGCAGGAGAATGCATGAAGAAATCGACGCCAACATTATCAAATATTACACAACATGAAATGAATAAATGCAGTTACACAAAACAACGCGGTTAAATCTTAGAGAACACTGAGTGAGCAAGTCTACCTATAACACAATATCATTGTTAATGAGTAAAAGGATATAAGGTTTAGCAATAAAGAACGCTTAAAATAGCAAGGAAAGATTAGTAGGTAGCTCAGGGGAAAGGTGGGATGCCAGGGCAGCAATATATGGGAGCACCATTCACATCAACGATGCTCTCGTTTGAAAGGCAGGTTCAGGATATTTGCTAATTATGCTTCAAAACTGACATAATGAAGTTTTTCATGTGTCAAATTCTACTGAATACAGCTCTTTAAACGCACTGCTTAAAACAGTAATATGGCAGAATCCTGTTCTGACTAAAAAGCGGGTATCTTTTTATGCCTCCTAAATTTTCTAGAGGGGTAAATAAAAAAATAATAATAATAATAATGGTGATGATGATAGTGGTTTTCTCTGGGAAAGAAGGTACAGAATTTAAATTTTTACTTAATACACTCTCTGTAGTTTAATAATTTTACTGTGTATGTATATTTATTTTTAAAATAAATTATCCATAATTCCTTAAGTAATTCCTTAGAGAACTTTTAGAACTCAAATACAAAAGTTAAGATTAAGAGCAAAGACAGATCCTGAATGAATTCCGAAAATCCAATGTTGATTTGTCAATGAATTGAAAGAACACACAAATAGCCTGGCTGAGTGCAGGTCTCTGAAATGGAAGTTCTGGGTGACGTCCACACCCTCCTCACTCCATGGTCTCTTCGACCAGAGACTCAGCTCGGTGCTAAAGAGGCCTAGACTGCCTCCAGGGCCAGCTCTCAAAGTCTGTGGATTACATGATCCTTTTAATACAGAGGATGTCCTTTAATTCCTGTCCTATGTAAGAACCTTCCTCAGATGATGCACTTTCAATTTATTCTCTATTCTACCAGAAGTTTCTTGATTTCCTTAAAAAAAAAAAAAGAAGGAAAGGAAGGGGAGGGGAGGGGAGGGGAGGGAACTGTGAAATGCCTTCCCCAGGCTAACCCCTTCTTCAAAGATTCTGAAATGTGATTTTTTTTTCCCCATCCTGGAAACATTTATATACAAACCTCCTGTTTGTAGTTAATCCTCACATTCAGTTGACTTACTCACATAGTGAAGAAATGTTTAACAGCAGGCTCTTCATTCTGATTCTTCAAAACCTCAAATTGCGTTTGACTTTTTCTTTCTGGGAAGTGTTGGTGATAATATTACACTCTCTTGGGCTGACTTTAGCCTGCACCAAAGTTTTCAACTAGAATTGGGCAAAGAGGACCCAGAAGAGAAATCAAAAGCACCACGTGGTCACCTCGCATGGCCTACGCTTTCAGGGATGGACAGGCACTCCAGAGCCCACTGGTGCCTCTCCTCTGCCCCCAATGACCTCGTCCACCAATGGACTTCACAGTCATGTTCCTAGTCTCTGCAAAATAATTCATCTGATTTCAATATGTGCTTCCTCCCACAGCTGGACACCATTATTTCTGGTACTCAAGATCTCTTCTGAAGCACATAAAACACCAGCTGATAGCCCTTAAAATGGCTCCTCCAAAACACCAATGTCCAGAAATGATCCACTCCACTCCCACCACGCCCACACCCATCTGGATCCTGGAGGGTCTTGCAATCCTAAATCACTTCCATTTGGAATCAAGATATTTTCCAAGATGTTCTAATCTTCCCTGCTTTCCTGGTGCTAAGAGTCACCTCTTAAGAGTCTCTCCTAAATTTTTATCAGGCAGAAAGGTAATGTGAGATTTGGAAATGGGGCATCCTGGGCTTGTTTCAACTCCACCAATGGCCCGTTGCCTCATCTTGAGGAAGCCTTGTTCAGTCTCAGTTTTCTCAGCTGGATGATGGGAAGCACCACAGCTCACAGGGACATTGTTTAAGCCAGCAAAATAACCATGCAAATGGAAATTCATTTATAAACATGAAAGTGATAAACAAATGATAGCTGTCAGCAGCAACCATGAGGTATTTCATGTGTCCCTAGACCTCTGGGCAGGATCCAAACTTGCGTGGCTCCAGGAGCTTGAGAATAAAAATCAACCTCCTCTAAGGCTGTCTCTTCTCTCTGTGCTGTGACAGAAGACATCCCTCAGCCAGATCTGGATCTCCCAAATTCCTGCAGCCCTGCAGCACCATCAGAGTATTCTCCTCTGAGAGAATAAAACATGTAGACCATCTCCACACCCAGTCTTCCTTGCAGCTGGGAGCAACAGAGCTTGCTGGTATCTTGTTTGTATCTGCTGAGTTTCCACCGTGCAGCATGGCTCCACCAGTTATACACACTGACCTCCTTCCCTCTTCCCTCGGGACCTAGATTGGGCTGCAGGTGGTCATTTTGTGTGCTTTTAGTTCTTAGCCCGTAGCTAACATGTGAGTGGCTAACATCTGAATGTTGATCACACGTTATGAACAGTTTCCCCATCCTTCAATACATCTGATCCTTAGAGCATCTGCCATTCCCATTGTATAATGAACAAATCCAAGAGGGAAGTGGCTTCTCCAGATCACGTGGGCAGGACAGGGCAGAGCCAGGCCTCACCGATTCTCGAGCTCCACCTCTTCCCACAGACCCTCTCATTGGCACTGTGTGGCCTGCAGCAGAGGCTGTCCCTTTTTTTGGCTTAAATACGGCTTAAAATAATTTTTAAAAACTACTCAGGCCCTTTGCATGCCCCCAGTTGCCATCAAAAAAATTCAATAGAACTACAAATCACTGAAAATGATGTAACTTCTGGCATATTGCCTTTTAAAAAATAAGTCAATGTCAGTTTTAAAAGATTTAATTTTTGGCCTATCACTAAATTTTATATATGTAGAAACTTTCTTCTCGGGCACAAATTTTATAGCATTCCTTTATCTCTCTGAACCTATATTACCATTGTTATTCTCCTGACATAATTTTTACTTCATGTAATGTAATATAGGATTCCTTGTCTATATTTTATCAGTGGAAGTATTTTACTGATTTTAAAAATTAAGAAAAGTATTAATTTTTGAAATAGCTTGTTACCATAAGGTTCCAACTATTAAAAATTACTGCAATTGTAATGATTATATAATTAATAAAAACAAGATAAATATAAATTAATGTACATTTCTTAAATCTAAAAAATAAACTATTAAAAACAGAAGAATTTGGATTTTTTCTCTTTAAGTTTGTATATCTATGGATAAATATTACTTATATGTATAATAAGACTCAATTCAAGATCAATTTTGTTCCAACTTTTCACTTTTATAGCTATAATAACTTCAATACTTTGTTCACATACATACACAGATGGACTAGAAGATACATTGTAAAAATGAAACTCAAGTCTTGAACTTCTATATATATGCCAAAAATCACATAGTAATAAAAGAAAAAACTAACTCTGAGTGATCAGCTGACAACTTAATCAGCAGATCTTCCCACAAAAGTAAACCTTTGGGAACCACCAGATATGTAAATAATGTACAACCAAGACATTAGTCATTCAAGTCCAGTTTCTGGGAAACACATCAAGAGACTATACTAAGACTTTATAAATAATTGTACTCATTACTTTTTCACTTAGAGGCACTTTGTTTAAGTCAATATACTCAAGAACGAGCTTGAAAAAAATCTTAATACGTGATTTTATTATTAAAAATGCTTCAATTACATGTTTGTCAATATTATTTGTATATTTAGCTGATTCTAATAACCTAAGAGACAAAGGAGGTTCTCACTGTCAAATCGGTCAGCCCTGTGTTCTACCAGAAGAGGTTTCACCTTATTTTTAAATTCAAAGAAATGTTTTTACATTGACTATATATTTATGTACATACAATTATAGGTATTATATTTATTTATATCATATATATTTAGAGAGAGAAAGAAAAAAGGAAAAATAATTTTTAAAGCACTGAGATAAATTATGAAACACAACTCATAAAACAGATCATTAAAATCAGTAAGGTCAGGTTTAAATCAAGATTGAGGTGACTGAATTATGTTACCCATTTTATAACAAATTATAAAGGCAAGATACTAATGGTGTTCTCATTAATATTTAATAAGGCAGTGTTAAATTGAGCTAAAATTAGAAGTTATTGATGAAGCTGTAAGTCTGAGAGCAGGCACGATATTTCTTTAATGAATGTATATGCATGTGTCTATGAAGTTCTGTTGTTAGGCTTTTGGGAATAATCAAAAGAAACTGTATGTTTAAAATAAGGACAAAAATACATTTGTTTTTGTTAAGCCTCATGACCCAACATTTCCTACTGGGTCTTCTTCCCTTTATCCCAGAAGCATGATATCACTCAATCAACCATCCAGAACCCTTTTGTTTTGAATCACATCACTACCCTTGACACATCTGAATGGTTCTCCCTGCCCAGGAGACAGATTCTACCTCCTCCTGATGGCAAATCTTCAGACTCCAGGCTCCAAGGGGCTCCCCAGCCCTGCTGTTCCAGGGCCCAGGTTCTCCTCATCTCTTTCCTCACAGCAGGCTCAAAACTGCCTTGGTTGTGATAATTCTTCTAACAGTCAGCATCCATTTCTCATTGTCTTAGTTCTACTCTGGCCTGTGCCCCAGTTTTGGGAACTGGAATCCACATCCTCACCTTGTCAACATTACCCAAAAAAAAAAAAAGTCAACAAAAAAACCCACATTCTTACAAACAGAAGTCAGCCTGTGTCTCCTCATTTATCCTGGGAGCCTCAAGCATGGGACCTTGCACATCATGGATGCTCATTAAATGCTGACTTGATCTTTCTAGAGAAATCTATACCGCCCTAGAAAACAGGCACTTGCTGTTCTCTTGCCAGTAGTTGACCGTCTCCCTCCAATTTGGCATGTATAAACACCAGGAAGGCTCAGAGAAGACTGACCCAGCAACAGACTGACTTAACATCATAGCCTAGAGCACAGAATATGGAGGAAAATGGCCCAAAGTCTGAAAAACAGAAGTAAACAAACCCCAGAAAACTGTAACTGAGCTAAATGTGGAAAATGTGGTTATGATTGATTGTAACAATACCATCAGCCGCTGCATCTCAGAAGAGCATCTCTGTTTCCATTTCTAAAAATACTGCTCATTTCTACACATTAGGAACTCTGAAACCAGGAGGAACTAGAGCAAGGTATCGGTCTTTTCGCTTCTAGTTCATGCTTTAAAAATGACCTTTGCCCTAAAGGCCAGCTAGCCAAAAGCAGACCATCAACGAGCCGGCCACACAAAGCTGCAGTTTCCCAAACGTGGCCGGTCCAAAGGCTGAGTGATGGCCAAGGCCAAGTTTTTAACCAACAATTTCTTTTCTTTTTAAACTACTGATATTTCCTACTTGGGAAAAACAAAACAAAACAGAACAAAAACCTGTATTTCAAAATTAGCTACTTCAATCATTGAAGGCTGGATTGAGGCTGCTTTATAGTCCATGAAAACCACCTCTCTTTATAAATTCTAAACATTTAAAAAATCTTTGCTCGTGCTGGAATGTCATTTTCTAGTATTTTGGCCACTTCACCATGACTCTTTTGTGAATATGAAGCCATTTCACAGTTCTTGGAATTTGTTTGAGACAGATTCCCAAACACAGCGTCCTGGGAGGTGGGCGTGGCCAACAGAGAGAACACAAAATTCTACTTGGCCTCGTGATGTGTTTTCTCCAGGGTTCTTTAATGTCTCCCTCACACCTGAGGAGACCCTATCTCGGGGCCAGCAAAAGCACTGCAGGGAAAGATGCAATAATCCTAATATGTTAAAGTTAAGATTAAAAAATAAACATAAAATTAGAATGCACTTATCTTCCAAGGAATGGAAGAGAAAGCGGGAGGGGTAACTTCAAATGGCAACTTTCACAGTGGCCACATCTGGGCCACAGTGCCCCAGCCAGGAAATGCAACCGTGACACCTTAGCAATGCCTTCCCAGTATCACCAAAGGGGTAAGTAGGCAATCGGGTAAGTGGAGGGGAAGATCTCTCCAGCAGCCCTTTTAAAGTACGGACCATGAAAACGTGAGACAGGATGACTGAGAAGCCGAGCCTTTGGGAGGAACACTGGAACTTGCAGCACCCGCAGACACCCCACATTCCGGGTTCCTCACACCACCTCAGATCACTGCCTGTGCCACTGCAGGTCCTTTCTCCATCACCCCAGGCCCATAGTGCCCGGCCTCCTCCCGCATCTCCAATGGCTCCTCCTCTGCTCCTTCCTCCCTCAGACCCGCTGTCCTCTCTCCTCACTTCCCTGTCTCAGTGCCCTCTGAGATTAGGATCCTCTCTCCCTGGCACACAATACCAATTCCAGCCATTCTTTCACTGTGTCCCTCTCAGCTTGGCCAAAAGATCACTCAATCCTTGACCTCCTGCACACTTCAACTCCCCATCAGGGCTGTCTAGAGAAGCATGCAGTCACCCAGAGTGGCTCTTTCAGTCTGGAGCCAGAGCTTCGAGTGGGCTGTGAATGCTTCAGGTGACCGCTCTGCACCTCCATCTCTCTAGAGGACTTTCTGCTGCCTCCTGGTCTCTGCAAACTTCCAATCCCTCTCCATGTAGCATGCTCAGATGCTGGCTTTGACTCCCATTTCACAAAGAAAGGTCGGTAATCAGAAGAGAACTGCAGAGCCTCCTCCTCCGAGCACCACCCACGCATGTATCTGTCATTTGGTCCATCCCCACTGGTAACTATCCGTGTTCCTCCTAAAGCCAGTAACTCCACTTTTCCACAAACCCATCTCTCTCTCCTACTCAAGAAGTGTTTTCAGCAGCCCTCCATCCCACACAATCAATATTTCACTCTCTACAGAATCACTCCCATCAGCATCTAAACATGCTGATAATGCTTCCAACTGAAAAATAATTCTCCTAAGCTTATTTACCCCACCAGATACCACCTCAAACTCTGCTCCCTTTTGCCGCAAAGCTCAACTGAGTTGTCTACAATCCCTGTCTCCACTTCCTCCCCTGCATTCTTCTCTCCAATCCAGCTTGTGTGGCCACAGCCACTGGACCACTGGTCCTGGCACTGATCCGAGCCTCCATTCTCAGTCCTCTCCATGCTCCTGGTTCCCCCGCTTCCTCCCTGGTTGTTCCCTCTTGTTCTCCTTTGCTGGCTTGTCCTCTTCTGCTCCTCATGAAGCTAGAATGCCCCAGGGCCCAGTCCTTACAACTCCTCTCTTCTTTCACTGGGGATCTCATCTGATCTTATTCCTTGAAATACCAAACAGAGGCCAAAGACTCCTATCACATCTCCAGCACATACCGCCCTCTTAAACGATCAGATCTGGATAGGACCACCCACTCGGTGTCTCCATGTGGGTGGCTTATAATCTTCTCACACTCAGCAAGTTCAAAACTGAACTTTGAATCTCTTTTTCAAATTGAGATGGAGTCTCGCTTTTGTCACCCAGGCTGGAGTGCAATGCCACGAACTCAGCTCACTGCGACCTCCGCCTCCCAGGTTCAAGCAATTCTCCTGACTCAGCCTCCCGAGTAGCTGGAATTACAGGCACCTGCCACAACTCTCAGCTGATTTTTATATTTTTAGTAGAGATGGGGTTTTGCCATGTTGGCCAGGCTGGTCTCAAACTCCTGACCTCAGGTGATCCACCCATCTTGGCCTCCCAAAGTGCTGGGATTACAGGCGTGAGCCACCGCACCCGGCCTCTGAATCCCTTTTTGCACCCAAACCTTCTCTGGCTGCAACCTACTCCATCTCCACTGGTGACAATTCCACCTAGTTACTCAAACTAAAGTGCCTGGAGTCATTACAGACTTTCCCCTTTTCCTCATATTCACAACCACTCTGGAAGGACATGGTAAGGGCTCTCTCTTCAGACTATCCAGAATGTGGCCACTTTTCCCTGCTGCTGCTGCTACTGCTATCTGCAGAGTGTGCCCCACTTTCTCTTGTCTGGATTACTAAAGTAAAATTCTCCAATGACCTCTGAGATGGTCTCCTGGGTTTTACTCTTGTCCTCCGCCCTCTCCAACGTCCTCTGAGATGGTCTCCTGGATTTTACACCCTTGTCCTCCACCCTCTGCAACGTCCTCTGAGATGGTATCCTGGACTCTAGCCTTGTCCTCCGCCCTTTCTAACGTCCTCTGAGATGGTCTCCTGGATTCTAGCCTTGTCCTCTACCCTCTGCAGTGTCCTCTGAGATGGTCTCCTGAACTCTACCCTTATCCTTCACTCTCTCCAATGTCCTCTGAGATGGTCTCCTGGACTGTAGCCTTGTCCTCTGCCATCTGCAATATCCTCCAAGATGGTCTCCCGGATTCTACCCTTTCCTCCACCTTCTACAGTTTATTCTCAATGTAGAGGCCAGAGTAAGCCATTTAAAATGAAATAGACCCTGCTTCTCTGCTTAAAACCCTACACTGATATCCCATCATGAACCTAGAATTCCCCCACAGCCTGCAATGGCAGGCACAGCCAGGTCCCACTATGCCCTGCCCAGTCCCAGCTCACAGCTCTGTGCTGAGTCCTTCCAGCCAGGCTGGCCTGGGTGCTCCTCCAGCTGTCCGTATGCTGCAGCCACCAGCCCTTCTGTCTACAGCGCTCTTGCCCAGATGCTAAGTGGCTAGTTACTGCGCCTCCTTAAAGTGCATGTTCAATTTCACCTTTAGAGACCTCCCTGACCACTCCACTTAAAACTGCAACCTGCCCCGTCGTACTAGACATGGTCTACTTTTTCTTTTCTCTACAATATCTAGGCCTTGTTGCATAGTATATAATTTGCTTCCGGCTACTGTCAAATGAGAATTGTCTGTCTCTTCCTGACTGTCCCTACCCCCATCCTCCACTTGTATTCCTCACAAACACAGAATCTTCGTGAGAGCAGGCACTGGTGCTGCCTCACTGAGTTCTGAGTTAGAGCTGTGCCTGGCACACGCAGGAGCTCAATCCACGTGTTCTCTAGTGAATCAGGGAGATCTAAAACAGGAGACTCCAAGGATTGTTAAAAGCAGCAAATGAATAAACCTGGAAATCTTTCCAAAGTATAAACAACTATGATGGCATAAAATAATGTGTTGAACACTATCTTAAAATTCATTCCGGGGAAACCTACTAGAAAATTGCCTTTATGGTATGGCTTAACAGGTATAGAAAAATCCACCCAGGCAGGCCTACTATCTTTTCCAACAATGGCCTGAGATTCCACTAAGAAGAGATCAATGAACGTTGGGAAGCCTTCATTTTCCGAATTCAAAGTTACCTCTGAGAAATCCAGAGGGGAGGAGAGGAAATGTCTTCAGGCCAGGTCCTGGTGTCCTGCTGTGCTTATACACACTCAGATGTCTCTGCCCTCAGGTCAGGCACCCATAGGGAGAAATGGGAGAAGGTCTCTGGCACCAGGGCTCCCTGCAGAGCTGGGGGAGGCTGGGGGCATGTCAGAGTCAGCAGGGTACTGGATGCCTAAGAAACAAGAGAAGAACACAGGCAGTTAGAGGAGCAGGGAGGAGAGGAGCAGGGCACAAAGCCTTTCTTCAAGCCCAGAGGAAAGGCTACTGACATTAGAAATCTTATCCAGTCAGACAGTTGTGAAGCATAATAGTAAACTGGAGAAAAAACTGAGGTTTACTATGTTAAAAAAAAATCCACCAAGAAGTTAATGAATAAATCCATCAACACAGACAATTCTGAGATAACAAACTGTCCCTCGATCTTCATTCTGTCCCCTCCTTTTCAATCACAGCCATTCGGCTTTGCCCAGTGAGTCTCCTATAGAGAGAGGTGCAAGTCCACAGAAACGCTTGCTTCTCAGGGCAATCATGAGAAAAATAACTCAGAAGTATATAATAAAATAAAAATAAAATTAAAAGAGGATAAAAATAAACTAATGAAAAAAAAGGCAAAACGGAAGAACAGAAGAACACAAATAACATTACGATCCATGGAAAACAAATAGTACAATGGCAGACATAAATTCAGCGTTATCAGTAATTACGCTAAATGGTTTAAACACTCCATTCAAGGGCAGGAATTGGTTGAATGAGTAACAACTATATGTTATTATAAGAAACATAATTTAGAATAGCACCAGAAAGAATACTTAGAAACAACTTTAACAAAAGATGTGTAAGATCTGTATATTAATAACTACCAAAACATCATTAAAAGAAATTAAAGAAGCCCTAAAAAATAGACATCCCATGTTCGTGGATGGAAGACAATGTTGCTAAGATAGCAACACCTTCCAAACTAATATATTAACAGATTGATTAATTGGTGAATAGATTACATGTAATTGCTATTAAAATCACAGCTGCCTTTTTTCAATAAAAATTGACAAGCTGATCCTAAAATTCACACAGAAATCCAAGAGACTCTTAGTAGCTAAAAGAACCTAGAAAAGAAAAAAAACTTGGGGGAGTTACACTTCTTAATGTCAAAACTTACTATAAAGCTATATTAATCAAGATAGTGTAATAGTGACATAAGGACAGACATATGGATTAATAGATTAGAAGTGACAGTCCAAAAGTAAGCATCTACATTTCTGGTTAATTGATTCTTGACAAGAGTATCATGACATTTCAATGGGTAAATGATAGTGTTTTTTTTTTCAACGAATAGTGCTGAAAAACTGAATCTAAACACAGACCTTAAACCTTTCACAAAAATTAACAGCAAATGAATCATAGACCTAAATATAACAGCTAAATTTATAAAACTCTTACAAATAAAACATAAAAGTAAATTTTTGTGATCACAGATGAAGAAATGGTTTCTTAAATATGGTGCTAAAAGCTCAAACAAGAAAAAATAGATACATTGTAATTCATCACAGTTAAAAATGTTTGCATGTCAAAAATGCCATCAAGAGAGTAAAAAGACAACCCACAGAATGCAAAAGTGCATTTGCAAATCATATATCTGATAAAGGCCTCGGATTCAGAATATATGAAGAATACTTAACAATCCAAAGACAACCCAAATGTAAATATGGGCAAAGGATTTAAATAGACATTTCTCCAAAGAAGATATTCAAATAGCCAATAAGCACAAGAAAAATTGCTCTACATGACTAACCAATTAGGGAAATGCAAATCGAAACTCCAATGAGATGCCACTTCACACCCACTAGGATGGCTAGAATCGAAGGACAGATAATAACAAGTGTAGACAAGAATGTGGAGAAATGTGAACCCTTACACATTGCTGGGGAGAATGTAAAGTGGTGCAGCTGCTTTAGGAAATAGTTTGGCAGCTCCTCAAAGTGTTGAACATAGAGTTCTCATATGGCCCAGCATTTCCACACCTAGGTAAACACCCAACATAAATGAAAATATATCTCCACAATAAAACCTATACAGGAATGTTCACAGCTGCATTATTCATAATAGCCAAAAAGTGAAAACGACCCATATGTCCATCAACTAGTGAATGTCTAAAAAAAAAAGACTGAGGCAAATCTATGCAATGGATTTGGCCACATAAAGGAATGCAGTACTGATTCATGCTACAGCATGGGTAAATGCTGAAAACATTGTGCCAGATGAGAGAGAGAAGCCAGACACAAAAGGACATATATTATATGAAACCACTCACATGCAAGGTCGAGAACAGAAATCCATAGGGACAGAAAGTGGATCACCAGTTTTCAGAAGCTTGGAAAGTGAGAGAATAAGAAGTGAGTGCTAAGGGATGCAGAGATTTTTGGAGGGTACTGAAAAGACCCTGGAATTAGATAATGATGTTGGTTACAAAATTCTGTGACTATACTAAAAACCACAGAATGGTGTACTTTAAAACGATGACTTTTATGCTATGTGAATTCCATTTTAATAAAACTACTATTTAAAAAGAAAGAAAGAGGCCGGGCACAGTGGCTCACACCTGTAATCCCAGCACTTTGGGAGGCCGAGGCAGGTGGATCACGAGGTCAGGAGTTTGAGACCAGCCTGGCCAACATGGTGAAATCCCATCTCTACTAAAAATACAAAAATTAGCTGGGTGTGGTGGCGGGCACCTGTAATCCCAGCTACATGGGAGGCTGAGGCAGGAGAATCGCTTGAACGCAGGAGGCAGAGGTTGCAGTGAGCCAAGATCACGCTGTTGCACTCCAGCCTGGGCAACAAGAGCGAAACTCCATCCAAAAAAAAAAAAAAAGGGAGGGGAGGGGAGAGGGGGAGGGGAGGGGAACAGAAACATGCCAAGTGGAAAAAAATTTAAAAGACGAAGTCTGGATTACTCCAGGTTTTCCCAAATGTTCTCTTTCTCAGTATAGCTTTTGTTCATCAGGACTGCAACACTACATGTAAACTCTGCTTAACTTTAGGCATTTCTGTCCGGGAAGCAAAGAACAAATTCAACTGCCTCTTTCTCTCTCCCCCTCTGCCTCTGCAGGGCCATCCTAGTTTTCTCAAAGCAGAGAAATAGAGGAGCAGTGTTTCCATCTGACCAGACAGAAGACACAGCCTGGTGGACAGGCCCATATATCTTTTTGGTAGATATTCCCTCGTTACTGCTCCTTTACTAAAATAGCAAGCATTGCCCACATGCAGCCTGAGGATGCTAATTTTTTTGCAACATTCAGGACCAGGCTGCTCAAGCTAAAGCCTTTAATGCCAATGTCTCCGCCAGCCGAGAGCCCTGACCCAGCCTCCAAACATCACCTGGCCGTGCACAGAGCAAGCCTCTCCCCTCCAGAAAGCTGTTCCTCCTCAGTCCTGAGCAGCATCTAGATATCCATTCCAGAAAATGGTATCCACTTTGTTGCAAATCTATTCTCTGCCTTTACTTGGCAATAAATTCTGAGCCTTCAAACAAAAGACAATATAGTGTCTTTTACTACAGCTTCTGCCATTTTTCCCAGGTAAGAAGAGCCTGTAAACAGAATTATAACCTCCAGCAGGAAGAAAAGCTCTCTGCTCAGCTGGTGCACTGGCAAATGAAGCCTTTCCCAGCTGCATTATAAAAAGATTTATAAAGAGAGCCTGGCCACAGAGCTTCCTGCCCAGAGGGGTGTGTTGGGAGCCCAGTGTGGCTCCTGGGCTGTTGGCAGGTTGCAAAGCCTCCTGTCCCCACCTGGACAGTGGCCCATGGTCACACAGCTGACTGGCATCCGCATTTTCTCAGCACCAGCAAATGGGCGCTAATGAAGTGCCATAGCATTTCACTTGGTTGTTTGTCATCCATATTTTTAACAGCCTCCAGCCAAGCTGCATGTGTACCCAGGTATCAAGAATTGTTCTTCATATACTCTGGTTACAAAGCCACACCGGTATGGAGTGGTCAGTCCCTCAATACTCAAGAAGCCCTCACATTTTTAGTACCTGTTTTTATAGAACACCAGGAATGTACGTACTGGGTTTTAGCAGAAATATCTGTAGTAAATGTTCACGCACTCAACCTTTTCTTGCACCCCGACCATGTGCTCAGACAGCACATAGGAGTGACAACAAGGTGAATAAGATGTGGTCTCTGCTGTCAAGGAGCTCAGACTATGTAGGAACCTATAGACCGCACCTGGCCCTCAGTGACACACACACACACACACACACACACACACACACTACTGTGTGTGACTTGAAAAAATCTGATATACTGAAGGATAGGATGAGGCTTCTCATTTCCTAACAGTGTGCTTGTCTGGTAACTTCAATACAATTAATTAATTTACACCTTTCTCGGAACACAGATGCTACTTCAAATTATGAACAAAAGACTCAATGGTTCAGAATAACCTGAGAAAGTCAACCTGATGCAAAAACATACATTAAAGACATTATTTTATTCATTTCTTTCTTTCACCAAGTGTGTGTCTATCAATATAGAAAAGGATCCTGTTGGTGATTTTTTAAGATTATGTAAGATGACTCCTTGTTAAATAAAGGCTCTAAAATAGCAGCAGCTGAAATCACTACAATAAAAAGGCTTATGAGAAAAAAGAGTCAGTGACAACCACTCAAAACCTTCAGAACTTTGCAGTCTGAGTATTTATCTATACACACACACACATGCATCTATAGATGCATGTATGTGTATACGTGTGTATATATGCATCTATGTGTGCACATGTGTGTACATATGTATCTATATGTGTGTGGGTGTGTGTATATATATGCCATCAGTTAGTGATAAGAGCTACAATAAAATACAACCAGGTAAAGAAAGGACGTGCTATTTTCTTAGTCTTTAAGGCCTCTCTGAAGACGTGATATTTTAAGTGAGTCCTGGATGAAATGAGCAAGCAGGACATGAGAATGTACGGAGAAAGAACATGCTCCACAAACATGCTCACTGCTCTGCACAAGCAATAACAGTGAAGCTCCCCCTGCCTTCACTGTTTCCATAGGCCGAGCCGCCCAAGTTCCCTAAAGGAACAGTGAAAGCAGTGAAAAACAGAAACCTGACAGATATTGAAGGTACCTCCCAAAGCATCTGATGGGAGAAAGGAAGGGAGGCAGGGAATGAGGGAGGGAAAGAAAGAAGTCAAAGACGCTTCCAGACTTTTGTCCTGAACAGTCGTTTGAGCAGCACTGTCCATGACATGGATGTCCCTCAGAAGCCCTAGGGTAGGTGTGCAGATTGCCATGCCGACAACAAGCATGGGCTCGTGAGGGTGGCCTGGTGACACAAGGTGAGAGGCCATCCCATCTACATGCTGTTACCATTAACACTGGAAGCCAAATGAGCTCACAAGGTGAGAGGCCATCCCATCTACATGCTGTTACCATTAACACTGGAAGCCAAATGAGCTCACAAGGTGAGAGGCCATCCCATTTACATGCTGTTACCATTAACACTGGAAGCCAAATGAGCTCACAAGGTGAGAGGCCATCCCATCTACATGCTGTTACCATTAACACTGGAAGCCAAATGAGCTCACCCGGGCAGGGATGTAGACGGGAAAGACAGGAAAAGAGGCCTGAGGATGGAGCCGTGGGGCCCTCGGATGTCCAAACACAGAGATGCAGCTCAGTGATGAAGAGCGACCAATGAGGGAGGAGGAACGGGGAGCTGCAAGGAGAGGGTGGTGACCTCAGAATGGGATGCTAGATGTCCAGATTTTAGAAGAACTGGGTGTTACTGCAGGAATGGGTATCTAATGTAAGACCAAAGAGGATGACCAAAAGGAGGAGGCCAAAGAAGAAAGTCAGGGATCTAGTTTTGAAATGGCCCGCTATGCAGATGTTGAAATGGCTAAAGTAGTAACAGGAAGGAAGATGAAGATGGTGAATTAGTTGCTAAACTCGTCTATGAATGCGGAGGAGGACAAAAGGAGGGGTTATCTGTAGAAGGCTCAGAGAAGAAGGAAGAGGGATGGTAAAGCCTGATGGCATATGTCTCAAGGGAGCAGGGGATTTTTAGGAAGGAAGAAGGTGCAATGGCCTGGAAGTGGCAATGAGAAGCACAGACAGCATCCACTCCACCTTGACCATGTGGTTTTTTTCTTTTTTTTGAGTGATGACCATGTGACAGTCACTGAACTTGGCGGTGATATGCACAATATTGGCAAAAGCACAGCTACTGCAAAATAGCTGCGTCTTACAGAAGAAGAAACAGGTTAAAATCCTTGCCCAGGTCAGATAGCTGGTCAGTGGCAACCCATGTCCAGCTGCAGAGCTCCTGCTCTTATCTAGGACTCCACAGAGTCTTCTATGTAGATATCTTTAAATACTTCTAAGTAGTGTCTCAGAACAATAGAAGAAAGATGGGTTATTCACTAAACAGTTTTCAGACAAATAGCTATAGGTGGGGAAAAAATAGGCTGGGAAAAAAAGATTAGGCTAGTTTCCTAACAATGCTAAAAGTAAAACTACAATTTTACCAGAGGAAAAAAATAACTGAAATATGTATAACCCAGCAGGGAGAAAGGCCTTTAAAGCAAACCTCAGAAATAAGGAAGTGGTAAAGTTCTAACTACATAAAAATAATATTTCTATTTGGAAAAAATAACATAAGACAAGTAAAAAGTAAGTAACGAAACTGGGAATAATTATTCTCATTACATGTAATGAAGAATTAATACTTCTAATTTATAAAGAAAAATATCAATAGAAAACACTGCAATAGAAAAGCAGGTAAAGAATGTGAACAGGTTCACAGAAAGAGAAATACTAGTGGCTGATAAACATTTGAAAAGATGCTGAAACTTATTCCTAATTAAAGACATGAAGTAAAAAGATACCATATTTCACTTGTCAGATCAGCAATGATGAAAAACCTCGATACTGTTGAATAAAAACCCAATACTGTTGAATGTGGAGAAAGAGGAACTTTCATCCATTTCTTAGCAGAACAACGGTAGATGTCATTTTGGAAAATGACTTGGAAACAGATCAAAACATAAAACACACATAACTCTGACCCACATGTGCTGCCCTAAGTATTTACTCAAGAGATACATTGGTGAAAAAAAATTTCATGCGTATGTTAAAACAAAACAAAACAAAAACAAAAACAAAAAACCCTGGAAGCAATCTTCACAACAGCAAAAACTGAAAATTACTTACAAACCCATCAATAGAAGAAAAGCTGAATAAATAATACAGCTATATGACTGAAGAATAAGCTGAACCTTAGTTAATATTTCATGTCTTGGCATGAAAAGATATCTAAGATATATCAGCAAAGAAAAAGTCACACTACAAAAATATGTATACACTATGATCCCATCTGTGAACACACACTTAATTTATATACTCACAATTTTTCTAGAAGAATTAAAATTAAAAAAAAAACCTGTGGGCAATTGCTTTAGAATAAAGGGAATTTTATTCTCCATTTTTTTTCCTTTCAAAGTTGTTTTTTATTCTCTGCATTTATAACTTTAAATTTTTAGAGGCTAAAGACTTTTGATACAGTACCCATGAGATACTATACACTGAGAGAAAACAATTATTTTTATTTTGCCTCACCAAGGATTGTATCTCATAAGTATAACATATTGCAAGCTCTAAATTAAAATCCCACAAAAAGACAGCATTTCTTTGCATTGCAGCCTCCCTGAAGCAAATCCTTAGAGTAGGCTCTGCTCTGAAATCCACATAGAAATCCAAGTTAGTAGAGGCTCTTCCTTCTCCATAGCCTTTCTCCCTCTTCTCCATAATGAAGGAACATTTTAGACTCTGTGCCCACTAGTGATCACAGCAAAATACTGCTCAAGAGAGACCCTCCCACTTACCTACAATTCCTTACACATACGTACGTAAAGGGTTCCAAAGGAATCCCTCCACTTCTCTTCCAATCTTTCAATTTCCAAGTCTAGGATTGTTTTCTTAGCTGTTGCTGAACTTGCAAGTTAGTATTTCAAAAAGCAGTATAGCTCTGCGCAGTTAAGCTTATGCAGCCGCTATAAGTGGAGGTTTTCACATGCGTGGTTTGTTTGACTTTACTATGAATAGAGGTCTTGTCCCGCTTCAATAAAGCACCTCTCTGTTTGCATGCATCGTATACTAATAGTCTGTACACTGGGAAACACAGGGATCCCTTTAGAGTTGCCCTGCAGTGAGTTATTTTGCACTTGTCTTCTCTGGGGGAAAACAAAATACACTCTTCAGCAGTGGAGATATTTGTCAAATTATAGCTATGGAACAAACTTGTTGGTTCATTGGTTATCAATTGATTGAGTATTGTTTAAAATTCTCTTATTGTGATAAAAGGCATTTGGCTAATTCTGCCGTCATTCCTGATTCTAAGGTATCACTCATAAAAATGAAGCTGAGTCTTAGGCTTAAACTGCTCACAAAGAACCAATTGATTTATCTGACCGGATACCAAATTAGGCACAAAATGAGAAGCTTGTTATAGTAGAGGCATTACCACAGGAAAAAAATAGTTTATTTAGAATGGTGAGATAAAACACACACCAATTTTAAAGAACTTAGAAAGCAATTCCTTTGGCTATGTAATTTTGTAAAGGAATAAGGTAACTTAATATATTAAGGAAAAAAAAATCTCCAAATAGCAATACACAGTATTTTCTATTTTTAAAGTGTGTGTAATTGTGAATGGTCTAAATATACCAGTTAAAAGGTACAGATATTCAGGGAGGGTAAAATAGCAAGTGTCAACTACATGTTGCATTGTCCACAGGAAACCTACTTCAAATAGGAAGATTCATGTTAAAAATAAAGGGATGGAAAAAGATATACCATGCTAACACTAATCAAAAGAAAGCTGGACTAGCTATGTTAATTTCGAATAAAGCAGAGTTCAAAGCAAGAAAAAAATCATCACAACAAAGAGGGTCATCACAAAATAATAAAGAGATCAATTTTCCAAGACATAACAATGCTAAACATGTAATACCCTACAACAGAGCATCAAAATACATATGGCAAAACTGACAGAACTGCAGGGAGAAACAGACAAATCCACTACTAATAGCTGTAGACTTTAACACCCCTTTATCAGGAATGGAAAAATTCAGCAGGCAGAAAATCAATAAGAACATAGTTGAACTGAATAGCACTAACAATCAACTCGATCTACTTGATAAAGAATACTCCATCCAACAATAGCAGAATACACATTCCTTTAGTTCAAAGGGAAGAGTCCAGGCCACAAAACACAACTTAAATGTAAAAACAAACAAGAAAAAAACAAAAATCATACAAAGTATGGCCTCATATCACAATGGAATTAAACTAAAAATCAGTAAGAGAAAGATAGATGGAAAATCTCCAAATATCTGGAGATTAAACAGCACACCTCTAGATAACACAAGAGCCACTGGCATTTTCACCATAAATTTAAAACAAAACCACCACCAAAACAGAAAATTAGAGAAAAAATGGAAATATGGCATTATTTCATCTAGGCTATCTTTAACTGAAAACTAGGAAAAAAATGACATGGGTCAAATACTTCCATTTTTGTGGACCAGAGGGCAGTCTTTTATGAGCCAATGAAGTTCTCCACAGTGGACTCTGAATGCTGTCAGCAGGCCTGTCCCTCCCCATTCCCAAAACCCAGCTTCTGACCTGGGTAATTCCAATGGTAATTTGTTAATCTGCATTTTGGACAGGCCTTCAAGGTTTTCCTTTGAAGTTTCATAGGCATGATTTCTTTAATCCTCAGAGGATTCCCACAAAAGAAGTAACCCTGGTACAATTCTCACTTTAGAGATGAATAAAACAGGAACATTTACAGAGAAGTCACAGGTCTTTTCACAAATCCAGTGGGGCCTGAAGTCTTGAGCAGGATCCTGTCTCTGTCCCCACAGTCTTGCCTTCTCTGCTCAAGCACTGACCACGACCGCTGCACTAGGAGATGCTTCTGGACTCTGCCGGGCACACTGTCCCAGTTCTGACATGAACAGTACTCAGTCAGACCTGCAGGTGCATGGTATCAGGTCAGCCTGGGAGGGCAGCCGTTTAGGAGCAATGTGGTTGCTTGCATGGCTTTGTCCAGTTTATTAATAATAGGAGGGTTTCTTCCTTGTTTCATTTCAATCCCATGGCAGCAAAATGTCCACTTATGACATAAGGTGGATTTATTGGTTGAAATATATATAGTTAGCCAGGCGCAGTGGCTCATGCCTGTAATCCAAGCACTTTGGGAGGCCGAGGTGAGAGAATTGCTTGAGCTCAAAAATTCAAGACCAGCCCGGGCAACATGGCAAATCCCCCCCTCTACAAAAAAAATATAAAAATTTGCTGGGTGTGGTGGCACACACCTGTGGTCCCAGCTATTCAGGAGGCTGAGGTGGGAGGATTGCTTGAGCCCCAGAGATCAAAGCTGTAGTGAGCTGAGATTGCACCACTGCACTCCAGCCTGAGTGACAGAGCAAGATCCTGTCTCAAAAAAATAAATTATACATATATATACACGTATGTATGTATATACAGATAGATAAAGTGTGTGTATCTATATATATTATATATATACCCATAGATGTGTGTGTGTGGTGAGCATGTGTGTGTATATATATGGAGTAACAAAATTTGTGTGGACTGAGGGGATGACTGAATTTACAATTAATTTTTTACAAAACTAAGTGAATTTACTTCACTAAAAATGAAATATAACCATAATTGAAAAATAAAAAAATAGAAAAACTGTCACAATCCTTATGAGTTCTGATTCCTCTCCTCAGCACATTTTTCAAGTTTGTACATCAAACTGCACAATTCTGCCTCACCATTGTTTTCACTTAATAATATAAACATTTCCCATGCCCACTATCTCCAAAAATCTTATCTAATTAGAGCATGATATTTACTTAGCTATATTTAGATGTTTTCCATTTGGGGCTATTATTCTTTAAAAAACATGAAGAAATACATTTGTGCATCAAGCATTTATTTTTCTCCACATTTAGTATCATCTCTTGGAGCTGGATTCTCCAAAGCGCAACTGTGCAAAGTAATCATGCCATTGCAAATAAAAATAATGCATCTTTCCTTACGCCATCCTTTCACCCAGTTTAGGTCTAGAAATTCATTCTTTCTGCTGAGCCAACGTGATTTATATTTATTTCCTTCCTGCAGCAGGACCCACTTCATCATATTCGAAAATGCACTTTTTTAGCTACTTTCTCTTAGAATTGTTTTTTTAAATAACAATTCCATGCTTAACAAGGAAAACTTTATCCTATCTCCAAAGCTATTTATTATCACATAATGGTAGTTATATCGTAACTAAATTGATTTCTACATAAACAGTAGGTGTGGATAACATATAAGTCAATACCAGGTAATATTCAAATATAATTTAAAGTCTTCCAAACTACGATTGCGTAAGCTTCACAATAATTATTTTTATTAGCACCTCAGCTGAGGGTTTTTGCCATTTGAGGTCAGTTTACAGACATGCGTGGTTTTGAAAACCACCACATTGTGCTGTTTCAGTAAAAAGAAAACACAGACCTTCAGGCAGGATCCCAATGTCCCTTATTTAAAATAAAAATATGTATATATTGAGTTCAGTGAAAAGTTCCAGAGTGAAGTTCAGCATACCACATCCTGTGCTGGAAATTCAAAATGAGTAACACCCACGGCTTAGCTCCAGGAGCCCAGCTCACTGTACATTCACCCTATGGAAGTGCAACAAATAAATGTCAAACTCTGAGTCTCAACTCCACTGTCAAGGAGAGCTGGGAAGAGATAAAATATGGTGGCGAGGGCAGTATTTAACTCAGGGACATGTGACTTCCACAGGTCTCATCTCTCCTTATGCCAAAAATTGAAAAGTACCCTCACATCAGGTTAAATACAATTTCTATGTAACTATGCATGGCGTTTCAATCAAGTCAATAACAGTTCAATTTTGTTGACATAACATGTCATATGTGTTAACATCAATTCTGTTATTTTTTTTAATACTCTAGAGCTAATACTTGTTTCCAATTTTTTAAAATATTTCATTTGGCAAAGCTCAAAGGCCCTTGGCACCAAGTCTGCTGTGTCTAGGGAGCAAATGGATGCTGACTTCATTCCATGTCACCCCCAAAATGCCAAGCTGCTCAGGGAACTGACAGGGTCTGAAGGGGCCACGCAGAACCCCCAGAAGTGGCAGGAAGAGGATGGGCCAGTTTCTGACCATCACCGAAGGCAGGCTGCCACAGCAGGAGACACTGGGAATGCAGGAAAAAGCAGGTGAGGAGGAAGTTCACAGGGAAGCCCTCGACCACAGAGGGTGTCAGGTGATAGGAGGCCTTGGAGCCAGCCGTGGAGAAAAGGCTAGCGAAAGCCACAGGTTTCAAAGACTCGGAAAAAAATCTGGGGCAACTCTGAAGGCAAGGGCTCAAATGAGGAATGCGCAGTCGCCAGAAAGGAAGGGAGGAGCACGGAGGCCAGGGCATGCAGGAGGCCAGTGGAGGACAGCAGTACGTGGGCTAGAAGCTGGTGGCCTGGGGGCACGTCTAGTATTCTAGACATGTGGGCTTGGTCTGGGGTGCAGATGTAGGATGTGCAGAGAAGAGACAGGTATGGGAGAGGCTTCTCTCAACCAGTCTTCACTGGGAATCAAATATATGTGCAAGATCCATTCGGTGCCATCTGCCCTGACCGCTGAAGGCCAGGAGAATGCCAATGGTAAACACACAGGCAGGTGGTGGACCCAGAGGAGAAATGAAGGGGGCCTGCGGCAATGAACTTGATGCAAAGATGATGGAAGTCAGGGTAGATTTTGACAGTAGAGCGTCTTAAGGAAAAATGTTAAATTCATCTAGCCCAAACCGTCCATTTAACACATTTTTTTAAAAAGGCCCAAAAATGTTGGAATCTGAATTGAGACTGAACAGAGTTGAGCTGGTTGAACAGTTGAGTCTGAATAATACAGGCTACAAAGAAGGACGTGCCCAAACAGGGCAAGTGGGACAAGAGTCTGAACCATCCATAACTAACCTCAAGGCATGTAGGACGTGCCTAGTGACAGTGAAATGGCACAAACCAGGCCCCCAGATGCAGGCGAGGGGCCCTGTCCATGCTGGGATCCCAGAATCCAGGGCAGGTAAGCACTCTAGAAGAGCTGGTCAAAAGGCTGGTAACCTGGAAAGAAACACACCTCTCCAAGGCCCTCCAGATCAGCACTTCAGTCTGATGCAAGCCACATACACAATTTTAAATTTTCTGGTAGCCACATTTTATTAAAAAGCATGGGAAATTAGTTTCAGTAATATATTTTATTTAACCCAATATGACCAAAATATAATCATCTCAACATACAATCTATATAACAATTATGACTGGGTACTCTACATTCTGTTTTTCACACCCAAAACCCACTGACAGCACAGCTCAATTGGGACTGGCCAGAATTTAAGGGCTCCAGGGCCCCGCAGGGCCAGTAGCTACCGCAGAGGACAGCCTGGCTCAGGTCCTCGCTTCCCCTCCACCTGTCTGCATTCTGTTTTTTCTGCTACACAAGGAAGAAGTCCTGCCTGCCTCCAGAAAGCAGCCCTTATCTGCCAGGCCAGCAGGACACAGCTCAAGGCCCTGATCAGTCGCCTAGGCTGGCACAGTCAAGCTGGTCCTCCCGAGGAAAGGCTGGATCCACTGCACATGGCCAGGGACAGAAAAAAAACAAGGTCACTGTCAAGGAAGCAGAGCTGCAGGCCAAAGGGAGAGAGTCCCAGGAGTGATTAAAGTATTAACAGATAAGAAATGCTTCCCTCGGCCAATCAGCAGGCAGAAATTGTGCATTCCTTTCAGGAGGAGCTGCAAACACATCCTTCTGAGTCTTACTCAGGCTTTCACAGTTGACAGCACAGTACCTGGCCTAGAGTGAAGGCTACACAAATATTTATTCGGCATATGAAAAACCCTGCACCTAAAATCCTGTGCTATTTCACAAACAGGAGACGTGAAGAGCAGGCAATCTCACGGGACCAACAGGGCTTACTATGTGTTCTGGTTGTTTTTACTACAGTGAAACTGGACTCAACAAAGTACCGCAAGTTTAAGAGATGAATCCCTGCCATGTGGACTCCAGAACGGTAAACTCTCCCTTGTTTCAGAAAGGGCACCCCCGCTCTGCCCCATCCCTTCCTCTCTGCAAGTCCTCACCTTCACTATATAGTCCTCAATGTGTCTTTGAATCCCTGGTACCAAGTAGTTTTTGCCAAATGATGGATTAAAGAACAAAAGTAAATAAACAACAACAACAATAGAAATAAAGAGTAAGATATTCATGAATATTATAGTGAATGAATGTGGCTGTTTCTGGACTCAAATGTCTTTGAAGGGAAAAGACGCAGATTCATTTCAACAAATATTTATTGAGCGCCTCCTATGAGAAGCCTGTGTGCCGAGTGCTAGAGGGGTACAAAGACAACCAGGACAGGACTGGGATTCCCAGCCCACACTGTACCCACACCGAACCTATTGATGGAACACACAGGTGTGCATAGCCCCACACCTGCAACCTTGAAGCCGCATGCATATGGCTCTGGGCCTAATCCATATGGGCTCCTGCTTTGCCAGGAAGAGCAGGTAAGAGAGGGAAAGGCAGTTTTATCAAGGCCTAGCACGGCCAACCCCTGCACGGGGCAGTTCTCTCGCATGTGTTACCAGTCCAGTCCTCCAGGACCACCTCCCAGGCAGACCCTCATTTTCTCTCCTTCTCTTTCTCCAGGAGCCGGCCACGCAGCCCAGCTCTGGCACTGGGCCCTGAACAGAGTCAGCCACCAAACTTTTGGAAAAGCTTGTCGCTTCTTGACAAAAACGGACAGATGCAGCTGACACCAACTCCCCCTCCTCTCTCACTGCCTTCAACACAGATGTGGCGCAGCTGTGGCCAGCCCTTTTGCATGATGGGGCAAAGGAAAACATGCTGAGGATGGCAAAGTGAAAGAAGAGAGAACCTGGCTCTCAGTAACATCCCAAGCCGCTGCACCAGCACCTGGAAGCAAGCACCTACCTTCAGTGCCTTGCTATTAAGGAAACAGAAAGCTGTTTAAGTCCTTGTTAGTAAGTGCTATGTTGCTGGCCAAACATATGCTAACACATCCAAACACAAACAAACACTATGCCTGATACTGGTACATATATATGTGTTGTGTGTATTGATGCATGTGTATGTGTGTGTTTGTGTGTGTGCGCACACGTGTGTGTTGAATCATGTCTCCCCCAAAGGATATATTGAACTCCTAACCCCTGATGCTTATGAATGTGACCTTATTAGGGTGTTTGCAGATGCAATCAAGAGAAGATGGGATCAACAGGCTTGGCCCTAATCCAACATGACTGAAGTCCTTGTGAGAAGAGGTGCACCCCCAGCGCAGAGACAGAGAAGACAGCCACATGAAGATGCAGGCAGATATCAGAGAGAATCATCTACCTGTATTCTGCGCCTTGAACCTGCCCTTTACCTGCGGCTTGCCCACATCAGATCCTGAGGTTCCTGCCTGCTTCTGTCCTTGGATAAATGGGAACTCTTACTCTCATATCTGGCCACTTTCACCCCTACACATGATAACAAGAAGAAAGTAAAGAGAGCAACTGGGGGGGAAGGGGGAGGACAGAAGCTGAAACACAGATGGTTTCTTAGTGTCTCACAATGGATTAAATAAAGAGATTTCTTTTTCTTTTTCCTAATACACCTGGCCCTATCCACCACTCTGCCGGCCACCAATGACCAGACTGGCTCAGTTTTCAGGGCCTTGGATAGTGCTTCACTGAGACAAGAAGAAGAGAGAAGGGCCTGCAATCTGTGAGTGAGATCTGTGAGGATACAGCCAGCCCCATCCCATCCACACCAGGGATTACAATCACTTACTTCTGCCAAGTGGTTAGAAGGAAATGCAAGTGTTTTAGTCAAGAGAGTTCAGATCTAAGGTGCCAACTCAGAAAGTCTCCTGGAAGCTCTTTGGATGCCACTGCCCTAGGCTACAAAGCTCCAGTGCATACGCTATCAAAATTCGCCGTGTGGCAATCGAGGTCGCCAGAAAACTCACAGAAGGACCCAGGTGCTTCCTGACATTCTCCATCCGTCAAAGAGCCAGCCCCAAGGTCTCTGGAAGCCCACACCCTTCCCAAAGCAAAGGCTCCCTTGGAGCACACAGCCTGTGTTATGCTTGTGAGTGCACAACTGGCACCACAGACCATGGGCACATAAGTTACTCAGAAAACGGATTCCTCAGAGACAGAGAATACAGTGAACACAAAGGATGGCTCCTCACACACTTCACAGCACACTTAGCAGTTGCACTTCTTCAACTCTTATACAGGAAGAACCACAAGAATCTCTGGCCCTGGGGCCCTACCTGGCAAGTTCCTCCAAGGCACTGGCGAAAGCATCCTAGTGTTTCATGAGAGGCCCGCACTCGGAAGGGAGATGGAGGCCCCTCCTCTGCTGCTCCTGAGCGTTCATCCAACAGCCCTGTCTCCTCAGCATCCTCCAGAACAAACCCTGCCCGTCCTGGGTCTTTGCCCTGCTCTGGGACAGCTCAGAGCACCCCCTTCTCTACACTCCCCAGCTCTCCAAAGCCCACCTATGCTGAGTCCCATTTCCACAATCGCTTCCTCACCAGACTCCCAGGACATGCGCTCGGATGGGCACATTCAGGCGCTTGGTTCTAACCATTCCACATTATGCATCTCCCTTCACATCGCAGGCAAAGGCCACGTCCTATGCTTCCCGTGCATCGCACAGTGCCTCGGGCCCCCCAGCAACACGGCCACGGAAGTCTCGCCAGCTGTTACTCTGGATCTCACTTACATGGTGTCTACACAACCACGGTACCCAGGATTCTCTCTCTGCATTCCAGGCCACCAGGCTACATTCTACCATCCTCACTCTTAAACCCAAGCAAATATTCCCATCTGACTTCTCAGGGTCTTAAGGTGTATTGTTCTGTGACCTGACCTAAAGAGAGAACCTGGTTTACTCGGATCATGATGGAATACAGAATTTACACTCGAATTCCATTTCTTCATTCATAATCTGTTCCAGGCTTCCCTCTTGAACCAGGTTTCTCTATCTTGTATTCAATCACTTAACAAAAATCCATTCAGAAAGAGCATGATAGGCACTGAGAGAATGTAAAAATGAGTAAGTTCCTACCTGTGCAGAGATTATAATTTAGCAGAGGAAATAGGATGGTTACATAAATCAGTAAAATTGGATTAGAGAGTTTTAAACGCAACTACAGGTTCTGAAAAAAAAAAATAAAGTTGCTATGGAAGCACCTGGTGGGGAAAACATTTGTGCCTGGGAAGACGAGAGAGAACGCAGGCACCTGGGCCTGCAGGACCTGGCCTGGACCCTGGAGCTTTAACTCCGTCCCAGTTCTGCTCCGTGCGGCTCCATCTTCTCATCTGTGCAATGCCAGTGTCAGAGGAGAGCATCTCCACAGTCACCCACATTGGCAATTTTACAGCTGGAAGGAAAGGCAGCATTTGTGATGAGCCTTCAAGAATCATTAGGAAGCTGGCACATGGATGGTGGGAGAGCGTCCCAGGGCACACGTCAGCAGCTGCTGAGATCAGCCCTGGAAAGACAGGCTGGAGCCAAGGCAGGAAGAGGCTTGAACACTCAACCCGCGGGCTCACAGGTAACTTGGGCAACGAGCGTGGCTGGAGGTCTCTGAATAGAGAAGTGTTAACAGACACCGACAGGCTTAACACACAAGCTTCCCAAGAAAGTTAACAAAAAAAAAGGTGTGCATTGATTCCAGCTTCAGCGCATTTCCGTTTCAGTGAATGTTTGAACTTGAGGAGAGAGTCCCTTCATGCAGACATCTGAGTATTTCTGTGGAGGGAACACTTCCTACCACCCAAATGGGGACATGAGGAAGCGCTGCTGCCTCCCTGGCAGGCCCCCTTTCATTCAGAGGATATGGGCAGACCTCACTGAAGAGGCTGTAGCAGGGGTCGAGCAGGTGGTGCAGACATCAGAGAGTTCACTCTAGAATGCTGGAAACTTGCAGAGGAGGCTGCAGACCAGTCAGCGACGGAGGGTGCACAGAGGGGACTCCTGCAACCCACCAGATCACCAGCCAGGTGACACACCCTGGAGTCTGAGACACACTATGAAAAAGCAGGAGGCCGGGCGCGGTGGCTCACGCCTGTAATCCCAGCACCTTGGGAGGCCGAGGCGGGCGGATCATGAGATCAGGAGATCAACACCATCCTGGCTAACACAGTGAAACCCCGTCTCTACTAAAAATACAAACAATTATCAGGGTGTGGCGGCGGGCGCCTGTAGTCCCAGCTACTCGGGAGGCTGAGGCAGGAGAATGGCGTGAACCCAGGAGGCGGAGCTTGCAGTGAGCTGAGATTGCACCACTACACTCCAGCCTGGGCGACAAAGTGAGACTCCATCTCAAAAAAAAAAAAAAAAGAAAAACAAGAAAAACCGGGCGGGTCCCCTCTGCATGGCTCGCAGGAGGCAGTCAAGCTTGCTGCATTCTGCACTCCTCTGCCCTCCAGAGGACCTTAACACACCATGCATCAACAATAAACATGCCCTGCTCCACAGAATTACCTGAAAGCAGTTCTTGGGAAACCTAAAAAGTATTCCCAGGAACACAATGTTGTAAGAGATGTGCACAGTCCTTGGACAGACACAAAAGCCCGTTCAATCAATAAAGAGACTCTGACAACATCCACTTTCAGGACTTGGAACCCTTCCCTTTTGCTCCCACAGGCTCCCATAGGCAGAAGCCCCCAGAGCCTGCACGGCCATATCCAGCACATGCACGGGGCTAATGTCTAGTTCGCTGGCCCCAGTCAACTATGGGTCACTCGGAAGACATGGGAGCAAGGTGACTGACTGTAAAAACAATGGTCGCTATGGGTGGTTCCCCTGATCTTTCCCTGAACTCACTCTCCCACCAGGTAGAACTGGAGGAGGAGGAAAGGAAATGGAGGGAACACAGATAGGGAAAGACGCTCCAAAACAAAACAGTGAAAAGGAAAATGCACTGATGGGACCTTCCAGGAGATGCCAGTAATGAAAGCGGCTGTATTACACACGGAAATCTGGGTCCAAACAGCTCAGAGACCACCAGCCACCCTAAAAAGGCCAATGGTAAGGCAGCTGGGGAGCTCGGCCCTGTGTGCTGGTCCTAAGTTCCCTGTCCACCCCAGGCTGTTTCTTGCTGTTCCCAGGCCCAGAATGTGACCTTGTCCCTCTTAATTTGCCTAGCTAACTCTGACCCGTCCCTCCCATCCCAGACCAACAGCATCGCCCCAGCAGGCAGCCTCCCTGCCACCCGGGGCTGATCCAGGCACCCTCCTGTGGGTCCCACTGCTCTCTGCCCTGACCTCCCATGCTGCCCTGACCCCACGGTTCAATCTGTTAATGTTTGAGCTTCCCGCTCCCTAGACTACAGCCTCCTCAAGGTCATGGGATCTATCCTTATCTGCAGGCCTCTGGGTTCAAAGCCAGGCTTCAAAATTGACGACGTGTGTGCGATGTTGGACAACATCCCTGCTCTCTGCTTCACTCTGCTCCTCTGTCAGCTAGGGATAGCAACATACGCCTGTGCTGCAGGGCTGTGTGAGAACTGCATCCACGATGCAAGCAAAGCCCTGAAGATCAGGCAAATCCATAATGAGTATCAACCACCTCCTCCACCTCTAGTGCCAAACACACCTGAGATGATAAAATACTGGTTGACACACTGCATGCCACCAAGGAGCTTGCTTTTGTCTGGAACACTGCATCCAGCTTATAAGCCTGCTCCTTAGAGAAAGCCTGCCTTCCAGTTCTACGGAACATCCAGGAAGTAAGCACCTTTAAATTCAGGTCTTGGGTTATTTGTGGAGTGAAGCAAGGTGAAGGCTCCTATCAGCAATGAGCCACCCTCCTCAAAGCTTCATTTCTCACCATTTCACTTTGGAAAAAATCCACTCTTCTGAAAGTTAAAATATTTTCTCTTGGGAAACAAACAAACCCTTACGAATGGTTGTACTTGGTGAGTCGTCCTGTAATATTTATTCTCCTGGAAAAAAAATATGATCCAACAGTACATTTTTATTTCTGGATCTTGGAAAATATTTACACCAACACCTCAGTTTTATCCTCAAAAAACTGGAGCCATCCAGGGAGGTTAAGACGCTGGCCCAGGGCCAGACAGCTGGGTCAGGAAATTGTAATAAGCTCTATCCTTCAGCCCCACTACCCAGCAGGTATGTGAGCAGTGGCTTCAATTTAATTTCTTCATCTAACTAAGAAAGGGTATTCATGTGTTTCAGTAATGCAGAAACAACGGAGAAAGGAGGCTAGTCTTGGAAATGATTACTTCTTAAAGAAAAGAAAGGCACCTCCAACTTCATTCTTCGATCTCAATGTTAGAAAATTCCCCAGAGAAAACACGGAGAGTCCCTCTTCCTTAGAAGCACTCCATTCCATTCCCCGCCTCTGGGCTGCCTCTGAGATCCCACATCCTGTGAAGCCAGGGGTTCCTTGCTCTAAGAGAGTCTGAGGGCTCAATATCATCCTGAATGGTTCCAGACCACCCAACGTGCAGGGCAGCGAGCACGGCTTCATCCTCTTCTATTGCAAGTGAGGTATGGGAAAAAAGGGACAGCAGACAGAACCAGAAAAGCTGATGCCAGGGCTGGACCAGCCACAGCTTTTCATGTGGCCTGGGCTACCTGACCCCTCCTTTCCAAGCTACGAGGTTCCCATGGTTACAACAAGGGTTCATAGGCCAGGTGGGTGCTGGCCCACCTGGTTCTGTGATTGTCAGTCTCCAAGGGCAGGCTTCCTTCCCATCTCTACCCCCAGAGGGAAAGGCTTCCAGGAGGGAGAAATGTGAACAAAAGTAGGCAGTGGGGCCACGTGGTGGACCACAGGGGAAAGAATGTTCTCAGAGGCAGGCAACGTAGCTTGTAGCTCCCAACCCTGCCGCCGCCTGCCAGAGTGGCACTTCTACCCCTGAACCTCAGCAGCTTCAGCCAAACAGTGTGAGGTCCCTTCAAAGTCCCAAACCACACTGAATCCCCAGGAGACGTGACTTACTCTAGCAACAGTCTGGATACAGGGATTACCAACTAGCAAGCTGAGGGCACTGGAATCTATTTATAAAATATATGCATTTTACAATGCTCTTTGAGTTTCCCAAATCCTCATGGCACAGATGACCTGGGGGTGCCTGCATCGTGCATTTGAGTTTGCCCTTCATTAGTTCCTCTTCCAGAGTTGCTGACATTAGAATCGGGAGCTCTTTAAAAACACAAACTGCAAAAATCAAATTGCACTGGGTCTGGAAAATTTCCATCCCATTAAAATTGGGTTATTTGCACCCATTTTCTCATGAGGTCCTCAATCCATCCACAGCCTTTGATGCCTGATGCAGGTGGAAGCCCACAGCCAGTGGGGGTCTGACTCGGAAGCCACAGTAAGGCACACCACACCATGCCTTCCCTTCCACGCAACACCGCGGAAATCACTCTAAAGCAGGGCTCAGATCACCCTCCTCCTCCAAAACCATCAATGGCTCCCACTGACACAGAGTCAAACCCAAAGTCTTGGCCTAGAATTCAAAGATTTCATGATTTATCCTCTTCTGACCCCTCTAGTCACATTTCCTTTGCACGCTTTAAAAATAAAAACAAAAATGTAAAAGGCATTAGAAAAGTGCAAAAAACAAGGTTCCCTAATCTCAGTACCGGAGAAGAGAATACAATAAAAAAGGCTGTTGTCTCCTTTGGAGCCACTGGGTGAATCCCCTGGGAAAGTTCACGGTGTCACACACCTTGTCCCTCCCCCTTCCTGCGCTGGAGCAGCTCTCTCTGGACAGAGGCCCTTCCTGCCACCTCTGACCTGCCCCACCTGCAAGCTTTGACTCAGACACCCCCTCCCTTGCAAAGGGGACTCCCTTTGCAGGGACACCCTGACTCCCTCCCTTCCCTCCTGGGGGCTCCCACAGCTCCACAGGCGTCTACACCAACTTACTTTCTACCTGGCATTTCATTTACAAATCCATCTTATCTGCCAGGCTCAACTCTCAACCCCAGCCCCATTCACTGGGGCATGTCCTCCTTCCATCTCCCAGGCCCCATTACGGGAAGTGTTTTCTTCCCAGGCTCTTAGTGCAGGAGCTAGACCCCCTCTCACCGCAGGGCAGCAGGGATCCACTGGGGATAGTTCCCTGGGGCCTTACCTCACTCCTCTGTTACCCCAGCCTTGATCCTGCAGGAGGCAGCGCAGGATGTTTGTTCAATGGATTTTTTTTTTTTTTTTTTTTTTTTTTTGAGACGGAGTCTCGTTCTGTCGCCCAGGCGGGAGTGCTGTGGCGCGATCTCCGCTCACTGCAAGCTCCGCCTTCCGGGTTCACGCCATTCTCCTGCCTCAGCCTCCCGAGTAGCTGGGACTACAGGCGCCCGCCACTGCGCCCGGCTAATTTTTTGTATTTTTAGTAGAGAGGGGGTTTCACCGTGGTCTCGATCTCCTGACCTCGTGATCCGCCCGCCTCAGCCTCCCAAAGTGCTGGGATTACAGGCGTGAGCCACCGCGCCCGGCCAGTTCAATGGATTTTAAAAATTATTATTCTCTAGAAAAAAGACCACGAACTTTGGAGTGGACATCCTGAGACCTGCCTACGAAGACCATTAGGGTAAAGAAGTCACCCCTTCACCCCAGGACCAGGAAGCCTCCAGGATGGCATAAGCGACCAAACAGCTGGGAGCCAAGCACAGTGCAGGGGGCTTGGGGTCGGCGGCCGGAGGCTGGGGTGGGTAAGACCCGCAGGGAACTCCGGGGCTCGGGCGGCGGCTCATTCCCCGGGAAAGGGCTCGCGGTGGGGACCAGGGGCAGTAGCAGCCGCGGACCCCGCGCGCAGGGGATGTGCGGGGCATCCTCTTGGCCAGTTCCGACCTTCCCCGCCGGTGGCGATGCCCCGGACGCGTCGTCCTTTCCCAGACCTCCTCTTGGGGCCGAGGCTCCAGCCCCAGGGTCTGCGGGCGGGGCCGCGAACCTTGAAAGCCCCCGCCGCCAGCTCGCCCGCGGGACCCTGGCCCGGGGCGCCCTGTCCCGCGCCGCAGCGCAGACCCGCGACCGCGCAGGGCAGGCAGGGGGACGCCAGGTCCCTAAGCGCCCACTGCCCTGGGGCGCGGGCGCCGCCTGCGAGAGGCAGGGCAGGGCAGGAGCAGAGCAGGGACGAGGTCAGGGACACGGGCAGGGCAGGGCGGGCGTCCTCTGAACGGAGCCCGCGAGTCCCCGCCCGGGACGCTGCCCCCCGCCCGCTGCCACCGGGCGCCGGGGCAGGACCCAGCGGGGCAGGCGCGGCCGCAAGCCCCGAGCCCCAAGGCCGGCCGCGCAGCGCCGCGTCCCGCCCTCCCCGCTCCGCGGCCGGCCCGGGCGATGCGGACACAAAGGGGACGCGCGTCACTCTACCTGGGCCTGCTCGTCCGCGGTGCGCGGCTCTGACGCCTCCGCCCGGTACTGGCTGCGGGGTGCCGGGTGCCCGCAGTTTGCCGCCCGCGCCTCCCCGCGCCCGCGCAGCCCGCACGGCCCGCACTGCAATGCCAGCCCTGCCGCCTCCCGCCTGCCGAGAGCCCGCGCGGGGAGAAGCGGCTGCGCGGGCGGGGCGCGAGCGCGCACAGAGGCCGGGCACGCGGGAGGCTCGGCCCCGGCCCCGCCCCCGCGCCGAGCCGCACAGCGCCCCCTGCCGCCCGCCTGCGCCGGCCCGAGGCCCGGAGCCGCCCCGCAGGCCCCAGGACAGGCTCCGGCACGAGGAGGGGCTGCGGAGACCGCCCGTGCACGCTAACATGAAAATGCTATTCCTGCTTTAGTGGCCTCCAGAAGACACTCCCCTGATTCCTACACCGAGGGAACACACAGCAGCAAGCTAGGAAAGAAGGGGTGACCCAGCCCAACGCTGTAAACCAGGGCGCGAACCGGCGTTGAGCTGTGCAGCTGCGCCCTGGGCTCCAGTCCTGCTCTGCCGCAGACCCCACCGGAGCCAGCACCTGCCTCCCCGACCCTCGCTGGGGCGGCTGTGAGATGAGCCCAGAGCCTTCCTGAGCCAACCCTCGCAAGGAAAGTCTGTCTGTTCACCCCACTATCCTTGTCTTGAAGGATGAAGAAAAGAGGGCCCCCCGGGAGGTCCCAAAAGGTGGAATGGACATCTGGGATCCAAGCACAGCAATTTCTTTATTTTTCTTAAGGTATCCAGCTTGTTGGAATCTAAGATCTGCGAAGGTATTAATAGAATTCCTGCATCTTCTGCCACTCCCCATAGAAGCTTGAAGTTACACAAATGTTAAATTATACGTCAGATGTGCATATATGAACAAAACCTACGAGTGTGCATGAAATAACACCTTCTTAAATATATAGATTCTTTTTTCTGCAATATTAAATGGAAACCCCACTAGAACATCGTTTTTCCTTAATAGCATACCCTCCACACTGTGTGGTCTAAATTCAAGCTCTACCACCTACTAGCCATTAAGCAAGTTATTAAGGTCTTCGTGCTTCCATTTTCTTACGTGGAAAATGAGGTGGCAATAGTATGTATGAGTTCTTCGGAGGGATTAAACAAGTCAAATAGGCCAAGTGCCATGGCTTACACCTGTAAGCCCAGCACTTTGGGAGGCCAAGGCAGGAGGACTGCTTGAGCCCAGGAGGTCAAGGCTGAAGTGAGCTGTGTTTGCATCACTGCACTCCAGCCTGGGCAGCAGAGTGAGACTTTGTCTCTCAATAAATAAAGAAATAGTCAAATTAAATATAACTGGCAAACTAAAACAACTCCATAGTCCTTAGCTACAATTTGTCTCATTTCTCCAAAGAATTAAATCAGATGATTCTTAACTAACTCAAAGCTCTGCATAATTTGTCTTCTGCTACACATACATCTTTATAGTAAAATAAAATAAAGCTGTCCCCTCTGTATTGAGAAGTTATTCTGGTAAATATTTGACCTCTTCAAATATATGAACGAGCACTTGCCTTCTAATGCCTCAGTTTCAGATTCTTTTTAGAAATGTCATTATTCAAGAAAAATGCACAATGGGAAGAATCTTAACAACAGCACTTTGTTACTTCAGCCTCTCACTAGAGGATGAAAATCGTTCTGCATAAAGGCCTGGGCTTTATGAAAAATATATTCACACCTCCCGTGTCCGAGCTGGGATACCAAAGAAGTTCCTGGTTGAGTACTACTTATGAATGAAGGATTCAGGGGATGCACAGGTGGGTGACTGCAAATGCACAGACGTTGTGCTGTGTTCCCCACAATAAAGGGGTCTGTATTAAGATGCAGGCATTCTCATGGAACACAGACGTATAACACTCAAGCTGGGGGACTGCAAAGGAGCATCTGGGGCTGCAGGAAGAGAGTTAAGGTGCAAAAATGCCCTGACCCAACTGAGACTTGTAATTGCTCATGTGGTAATACATGTGACTTCATTCCCCTGCTCTGTCTTTGTGAATGCAACCATTGTTGGGGAGATAGTGAGAGGGGACACTGGCATTGAAAGTTTTGTTTGCAGCAGGCCTCAAAAGGCACTCAGATGCAGATTTCCCTGCAAAGACTTCCCGGCCTATCATGGAGTTCCCCATCCCTAGATCTCTGATCTCTGAGCTGGTGTAATACTTAGTCTTTGTCTGTGTTGATCATGGCATCTGCCACACTTAATGTTTGTGGCATTCACTTTCTGATGCTTAGATCTTACGATTCTAGAGAACAGCATTTTTCTACATATTCCCTCTTAGGGCCTTGAACATAATAAGTGCTCAATAAATACTGAGTGAAATCCTCTACTCTGAGCTTTGCCTCTGAGCAGCTGTCCTAGTTCTCTCCAACAAGAAGTTTGTTGGGTCTCTCAAGTTCACTTCCACCTGTCACTGTCAGTTTTCAGTCCAGCCCCTTACTCAGGTCTGGCTGGCCCATCTCCCCCAGAGGGCTGTCCCATAGAGCCCATTGTAAAGGACACTCATTGTTGCCAAGAGTTTGTGCCAATGCAGTATGACTCACCCTTCACTCATTGAACAAGCTCTTCCTGATTACCTAGATGGGCAAAATTTCCCTGCTCATGCGAAGCAGGCTGGCGACTCAGTGCTGCAGCAAATGGCCCAGAAGCTGGGAAAGCAGATAGCCGTTCTGACACTTCTCTTCTAGACAGAAAATCAAGGGAAGCTCAAGACCCACACTTGAATTTTTTTTAAAAAATTAGACAAGGGGCTGGGTGTGGTGGCTCATGCCTGTAATCCCAGCACTTTGGGAGGCCGAGGCAGGCAGATCACCTGAGGTTGGGAGTTCAAGACCAGCCTGACCAACATGGAGAAACCCCTGTCTCTGTTAAAAATACAAAATTAGCCAGGCGTGGTGGCACATGCCTATAATCCCAGCTACTCGGGAGGCTAAGGCAGGAGAATCGCTTGAACCCCAGAGGCAGAGGTTGCGGTGAGCCGAGATCGCACCACTGCACTGCAGCCTGGCAACAAGAGCGAAACTCAGTCTCAAAAAAAAAAAAAAAGAAAGAAAAAGAAAAAGAAAAGAAAAAAAATTAGACAAGGAAGTTTATGTGAATTTGTAATCACACATTCCATAAATATAGAAAATTCACTTTTTTTATTTTAAAAATTAACAAATTCCATTTCTTGTTTCTCTAGAGTAGCAGGAAATCAAATGTCAGTTCTCATTCTGACTTTCTCTCCTTAAGGACACAGAGGAATCTGGGGGATATTATGGTTCTGGGAATGTGGAATGTAACGTCTCATCTTCAGCCCATCTGTGCTACTGATCATCTCATTCCAGAAGCCATGCCTTCTCTCAGGAGCAGACAGCACAAGACTTTCCTGCCAGAGGCACAGTCCCCAGGTGAGCCACACAGCCTTCACAGGGTAATGCCAAAGAACAGAGGAGAGTTCCTGCTACTCTCCGGGTCTTCTTGGCAAAGCTTCTGATACAGTCTGGCTGTCTCTCCACCTGAATCTCATCTTGAATTGTAGCTCCCATAATTCTCGTATGTCATGGGAGGGATCAGGTGAGAGGTAACTGAATCATGGGGGTGGGTCTTTCCTGTGCCGTTCTCGTGACAGTGAATAAGTTTTATGAGATCTGATGGTTTTATAAAGGGGAGTTCCCCTGCAAATGTTCTTGCCTGCTGTGACTTTGCTCCTCCTTGCCTTCCGCCGTGATTGTGAGGCCTCCCCAGTTATGTGGAACTGTGAGTCCATTAAACCTCTTTTTCTTTATAAATTACCTAGTCTCAGGCATGTCTCTATTGGCAGTGTGGGAACAGACAGACTAATACAGCTTCCCTTGTCTGTACTCTTACCCTTCTCCCTTCAAAAGCATCCTCTCTTTCTTTTCCAACCTTTCCAACCTCTCGAATAATCTCTGCAGTGGGAGTAGCATCCACATAAGACAGGATGCAGAGATGTCTTCAAGCAGCTTCAAACAAAACTTCAAGAAAGAAAGTGCAAGTGAAAAAGGAAATTCATCCTTCCAGTCACTTAACACAGCACTGTCACGGACACCTTGTGCCTCCTTAAAATTCGTATACTGAAGTTCTAAGCCCCAGTACCCCAGAATGTGACCTTCTTTGGAAATAGGGTCATTGCAGATATGATTAGTTAAGAGGAGATCATACTGGAGTGGGCTTTAATCCAATATGACTGGTGTCCTTATGTAAAGGGGAAATTTGGACACAGACACACACAAGGAGAACACCATGTGAACTGAAGTCAAAGATTTGGGTGATGCTTCTACAAGCCAAGAAATGCCAAAGATGACCAGCAAAGCACCGGCAGCTGGTGGAGGAGCCTGGACCAGATTCTTCCTCACAGCCCTCAAAAGGAACCAATCTTGCCAAAGCTTTGACTTAGACTTCTAGCCCCCTGTGATGGTTAATGTTAAGTGGCAGCTTGACTGGGTTAAGGGATGCCCAGATAGCTGGTAAGACAGTATGTCTGTGTGCATCTCTCAGAGTGTTTCTGGACAAGATCAGCATTTGAATCCTTAGAGTAAAGAAGATCTGCCCTCACCCACGTGCATCACCCTATCTCTGGAGAGCGCGAACAAACAGGAGGAAGGGCACATATGCTCCTTCTGTTCCAGCTGGCACATCCATCTTCTCCTGCCCCCTGACTTCAGAGCTCCTGGTTCTCGGGCCTCAGGATTCCAGCACTTACATGAGAGCGTGCTTCCCCCTCCCTACTCCACCCCTAGGTTCTCCGCCCTTTGGCCTCTGACTGAATTCCACCACCAGCTTTTCAGGGTCTCCAGCTTGCAGACGGCAGATCGTGGGACTTCTTGGCCTCCATAATTATGTAAGCCAATTCCCATAATAAATCTCCTATCTATCTATCTATCTATCCATCTATCAATCATCTATCTAGTCTATCTATCTATCTATCTCTATCCTATTGATTCTGTGTCTCTGAGGAACCCTAATACACCTCCAGAACTGTGAGATGATACATTTCTGTGGTTTAAGCCACTCAGAAGGTGGTACTTTGTTTCACCAGGCCTAGCAAACTAATACAAGTGCATGGAAGGTGACTACTCATGACTGCAACTTAGAGAACAAGGGTTATAATAAAAATAAAAGTGTTATACAAAGGTGGCAAGATAAATGACAATAAATGAAAATATTAACATGTGAATTAAAAAGTAAAGATATTTTTCCTAGCATTCTCCCAGAAAGTAGAGACGCGTCTCTCTTGTTTGCCATCATATCCAGCAATGGCAAGATAAGTTCTAGGCACTTCATAAAAATTTGTTGAATGAAAGAAATGAATCTTCTGTGGTTCTTTATTAACCGGATCTTCTATGCATGGCTCAAATGCAAGCTCCGTAGATTCTACTTAGAACTGAAAAGGACCCAAGAGAAAGTTTTGTCTGATCTTTTCACTTCACTTATGGGAACACTGAGGTTTACCGAGGCCATGCCAGATCCAGGATCCCTGCTTGCTCAAGGCACACATGGTAATATTACAGAAGGCTGATTCAGAGGTCTTTTAACTTTTTATTACACTGCTTTTCTATAGTAATCAATTGAATATGGCCCTTGGGGCTTGACAGAATTTTTAAAGGCTTTCTCAAGTCTCAAAGAATGATTATATTTAACAGCAGACAGACCTCATTGTGGGCAAACATTTAATGCTCACTAAATAGCCATGCATTTTCCCAGATTTTCTGGCCCCCTCACAGTCAGGCCAGGGCATGTGACTCATTTTGTTCCATAGACTGTAGACATAAGCCTCACTTTTGAGCCAAGGCAATGAGAAAGACCTTCATGACACTGAACTTGCCCATCACCATCCCAGTGATAACAGAGCCACATATTGAGGTGGTGGGACCACCAAATGGAGTCAGCTGGATCTGTGGGTTGCCCACTGGTAGGATGATCCTCAGGAGAACATGAACCTGCATGTGTTAAGCTATTGAAATTTTAGGGTTTATTTGTTATGCCAGCATGGTCTTGCCTAAACTAACAACTAAAGCTAACACATTCACTGTAAACTGGTTTTGAGTAGCAGTAATTCACAGGTACTTGAGTCTTGAAGGAGAGCCCAAGTACAATACTAGGTAGGCAGAGTAAGTCATTCAGTCTTAGACATGAGAGCACAGTTGAGGCAGATAGCCAAGAGCTAGGAAAAGATGGGAACCTGGAAGAAATTCAGGTAGCAGATAGGTGCAAGGGGAACACAGTACACAATCCAGGTCTGTGTCCTGGGCAACAACTCAGGTGCCCACAGCTCATTCCTAGTGGATGCTGCCACATGGTAACACGTGAGGTTTAAAATAAAGAGCTATGGGGGAGAAACAGGACTTGCTATTCCACCTACTGAACAGGGCTCAGGTGATATATCGCAAGGTGGATGCTTGAATGCTTCATGAAGATTCCCTACAGAACCAAGGCAGTCATTATCCCGTGAGCTGGGACTGTTGGCTGTGGAAGGCTCACATCCCAGGAATCAATCTTGGCCAAAGGTAGCTGCCTCCTGCAAAACTCCTTCCAAAACCGCTTGCCTGGGACATAACATATGTCTCATTTCATATCTTTGTGTGAAAGTTTGGTCTATTGGGTTGTATTTCTGAGAATCGCTTGGCATACCTTGGGACAACACTGAAGGGCTCCCTAGCCCCAGAGTTCCCCAGCAAATGCATCCCAGCTCCCCTGTGTCCTCATTCTTCTACAGGAACCCTTCCTAAGCATCTCTTAACCACCAACCTCCATCTCAGAGTCTGTTTCCCAGGGAACCTGACCTGAGACAGTAAGATGGGGAAAGTGAGCTCCAGCAAGATTGCAGAAGAAGAGAATCATAAAACATTTTCCTGACAATAGATTGTCTGGCTTGGTAGGACCAGGAGGTTTATCTGTTATGGATAAAGGTGGCAGGTGGGCTTGAGCAGGAATGGACAGAATCTTGGATGCCACCTAAGAATGGAAAGTTCTGGGGGATAATGGGAATAAAAAATAAAAATAGGGGCTATAGAGACCCTTTCTGGATGGAAACATACTTAAAAGGCCCTTTAGAGGTCATTTTGTTTCATTGCTGTATGTTTCTAAGTATTTAACTTTTATTCTGCTATTATTTTAAATGCTCCTCACCTTAGATTATTCAATCTCCTTAAAATACATACAGTACTTAAAAACTCCTCTCTCTCTCTCTTTCTACACACACACACACACACACACACACACACACATCGCCACCACCATCAACAACAATAACAAACGCAAACACTCTCATCAAATCCCCACACCTTGACGGCCTGGAAAACTTCTCCTACTATTTTAAACTCCAGTGCACCACTGACACCTCTAGTAACATTTCTGTCACTCCCCTGGGTTAGCCAATCTTTCTGCTGAGCTGTGCTCACACCACTTTTGTTACTCTCTTATTATATTATCATATTTGTATGTTTGGCATTAGACATGAAAGAATGTAATAGTCCAATGAAAGAATGCAAATTCCTCTTTTTCCTTTCCCCATCTTGCATGTGTATGAAGAACTCTATCAGTCTGTCTTCTCCTTCCTTCTTCTCTCATTTCATATCTTCGTGTGAAAGTTTGGTCTATTGGGTTGTATTTCTGAGAACCTATTCTTATCAGAGGATCACAGGGCAAGACCACAAGCCACTTCCTCTAAAGAAGACATGCACTCACAGTTTCTAATCATCAAGAGGAGAGCAGGCTTCACAGATTGAAACAAGCAAATAACAACAACAAATAAAACCCAGAAACCCAGAAGCTGAGTCCCAGGCAGTTTGGAAGAAAGAAGGACAAAGCCCTCTGCCTGAGCTTGGCTCGGGCTTTGCTGCCAAAGTCAGTTTAGGTTTCATCAAGATCTAGCTATGCATTTCAGTTAGACTCCCTCAGCTCCAGTTTCCTTAGCAATGAAATGAAGGATGATTACACTTCTCTTCTATGGTTTCTCTGAGCATTTAAAATAAAAATTATGCAAAGCACTTAACACCATACTTGGCATGCCCACTTCAGGGCTCAAAACTTTTTAGCTGCTAAAATATGCGCTCTACCCTTAAGGACCATATAGTTTAAGTTAAGAGAAGAATTGTGTGTCCAGTGGTAGGAGGCAATGGCGCATTCCCCCAAGACCGAGAGTATTGTGATTCCATCAGTTGTAGAGCCACCCCCAGGGAGAATGTAAATCTTGGTCAATATTGTGAAATGGGACTATGAAGTCCAATGCCTTAACCCCTATTGAAATTGTATCTCCATCATTAGCCTTAGACAATCTGAATGTTATTTGTTATGGGATCATTTTGGTTAGGACGGGCTAATCTGTGTTACAGTAACAAGTAATCTCAAAATGTGAACTGTCCCATATATGCAGTTTGCTGTGACCGTATTTGTCTCTCCAATACTATCCTCCCAATAAGCACACAAGATCAAGGTTGCCTGTTTTTAGACTCAGCCATCTCAACATGAGGCCTCCTCTGTAATCACTGTGGACCCAAAAGCAAATGTTGTACAGCCTTGTACTAGCAGTTAAATGCACTCATAATTGGCCGGAATTAGTAGCTTTGCTTAACTGAAAGAGGGTGAGAAAGTATAATTTTCTCATGTTCACAGAAGGGGGTATGAATAACTATTCAAAGTCTTTACAACAGGGAGTAAAAATATTTCCTTCAAGGAACAGTGATTAAGGTTACCAGTTTTCAGTGAATAGCTAATGCCTGATATACCACTGAATAAATTAGGGATAGTCATGGTGGCACTGTGACTTGAATTTGAAAACAGGCATCTGATAAGACAAGTCAGATCTTCAGGGGTATTTCATTTGGGGAGTGTCATGTTTTATAAAACTTGAACACCTCTAAGAGGAGTATGTTCTCTAGCTCACCCTGGCTCCCACCACCCTGTGCTGTCTTATATCAAGTTGCTTCACACATGTCTGTATTTCTGATTTTTGAGGCCACTTGAAGGCCGACATTGGACCCCTCACAAAACAGAGCAGAGCATTTTTTTGTTTTGTTTTTTGTTTCCATAGGTTATTGGGGAACATGTGGTGTTTGGCTACATGAGTAAATTCTGTAGTGGTGATTTGTGAAACTTTGGCACCCATCACCCGAGCAGTATACACTGCACCCAATTTGTAGTCTTTTATCCCTCACCCACATCCCACCCTTTCCTACTGAGTCCCCAAGGCCCACTGTGTCATTCTTATGCCTTTGCATCCTGATAGCTTAGCTCCCACTTAAGTATGATAACATACAACCTTTGGTTTTCCATTCCTGAGTTACTTCACTTAGAATAATAGTCTCCAATCTCATTCAAGTTGCTGCAAATGCCGTTAATTCATTCTTTTTTTATGGATGAGTAGTCAGAACATTTTTAGAAGTTTATGTTCTACCGGATTTTTCAGACCTGAGCTCTGGCGAAGCGCTCATCTCAATATTCCCATTAAGATGTAGAATGAAAGACCACCAGAGTCCTCCATGTTTTGTGTGTGTGTGTGTGTGTTAAAACTTTGTTGCTACTTCTACCATCCTTCAACACTTATTTTACCTATTCGTTTACAAGACTGCCTTCTCCACTAAACTTTGAGCACCTTAGCGACAAAACAATCTTATGCTCATTTTTGTGTTTTTAGCACTTGCTATAAAAGCTGATACATCATAGGTGCATACTAAATGAGTAAGTTAACTAACGGGCAGCCGTCTTAAGCCTCCTGTTCTCTAAGGTGTTCTTCCCCAAAACCCAAATGTCCTCTCTTTTTGCTCATGACAATTATCAGGACTTCAAACTGTGCCATGAGTTTTTATCTATTTTGTCCTGCATTACCTCAGATTATGAAGGATGGCTTTCACATGATGTGAACTCATTGGTAACTGTTAGTAGTTACCAGAGGCCACCAAGAGCTGTTTGTATAATTAACTCAAGTCCTTACACTAATCTGCATTGATCCCTCATTTTGCTGATGAGGAAACTGGGCCTTTGTGAACCTAAGTATCGCACCCTTAATCAAACACGGTACTGCAGCTCAAGCCAGGCTGTCCCACGGCAGGTGCCTTTTCTATCACTGCTTTGCCTCTCTTACTCAGTTGTTTAACTCTCTCGTGTGTCTAACTCTTGTCCTAACATTTGTAAATTTCTCAAAGATGAAAAGCCTGACTCTTCTTCTTGGATATTCCCCATAGCGTCTGGCACAGGTCTCACCACACAGTAGATATGCACCAAGCTGTTCCTGAATTAAATCTTTCAACTACAAGGATCTTGCCAGGCATCACCAGGTTGTGGTAGGCAAATAGGTAGGAAATAGCTTAAGTTTGCTCTCTGTTCCCTGCTTTTCCCTCTCCTGGCCAATACCTGAGAGAAAGGTGGGGCTGACACATCCCAACGACAACTTGAAGAACAAGATTAATGTTTGCTAATTCCCCAGACTCCCTCAGTTTTACAGAAAATCAGTGGAGAAACTGCAAGTTTAATCACAACGAAGACATTTCAGGCTCTGTCACAGCGGATGGAGGCAATATTTAAAGGACTGGAAACGTCCATGGGGCCCCAAGTCATAATACTCACAGCACTGCCTACTTCAATAGAAGTGGCTTTATTAACTGCCATCAGACAAAGTCAAGTCAAATCTATTAAATGGCATCAAAGTCAGGTCAAATCTATTAGGTATATTGCATCTTACCATTTAAATGATGGATCATGCTATGGACTGAATGGTCTCCTTCCAAAACTCACATGTCAAAGCTCTGATCCCCTGTGTGACTATATCTGGACACAGGGTCTTTAGCAGGTAGTTAAGTTCAAATGAAGTCCTTATGCAAAATGATGGTGGCCTTTTAAGAGGAGAGAGATCCCTGTCTCCTCCATGTGAGAACACAGGGACAAGGCAGCCATCTGCAAGCCAGGGAAAGAAGCCTGACCAGGAACTTAACCAGTTGGCACCTTGATCTTGGACTTCCAGCCTCCAGAGAAATATATGTGTATTGTTTCTGCCACATGGTATACGGTATGTTTTTATGGCAGCCTGAGCTGACTAATTCAGGTCAGTTTGACTCAACCAGCATTCAAATGCCTGCTGTCTACTAGGCTTCCAGGAAAAAGTGATATCTGAGTTATGATTTAATGAAAAATGAGGTATTCTTCACAAAAGTAGATACCACCAACTACACATATACACAGGTTTTCTGGTTATCCCCACAAATAGATGTCAGAAAACATAAAAGATAAAGCTGAATATAACCCAGGAAGAGAACTGACAAAGGTCAGTCTATTCAGATGTGTTGCTGAGAGGGGTTTAGGAACAAGTTGAGGTGGCCCTGAATGAAAAAAGTAAACAATGTTTGGGCAGTTTTCCAGATTCCCCAAGAATGAACTTTCACAGAGCTTTGTGTGTGTGTGTGTGTGTGTGTGTGTGTGTGTGTGTGTGTGTGTGTGTGTGTGTAGAGAGAGAATATTACTAAAATTAATAGGATACCACTTACATCCATAAACAAATATGTAAACAACTCAAAAACAAATCCAGTGGGTTTTTTTTCAAATGAGCTCTGACTTTTTAATGCCATTGAATGTTTTCTCATCTATTAGTGTGAATTGTTAAGAACTGGCTGTTCTCATTAAAGTACAAAATGCTAATTAACTTTAAAAAGCTTCAGAAGATATAATGTGAAAAATAAAAGTATTGAGTAAGAATGCAATTCTATTAAGCAATATATATGACTGGACAGATGTGAGCTAAATTACCAGTTACCTCTATGTGATACAATTATGGGTAATTTTAATTTTCTTCATTTTGTTTTACTCTGTTTTCAAATATCCTACAAATGTGTATTTTTAATAATAATAAAAATAAATATTGTTGCAATCTTTCTGATCTTTTAAGTCCATTTTAGTAGCATCTGACGTGGACTTGCTATAGTTCTCCTAAGCATATATGGGGGTGTTTTGTGTGATTAAACTTGACCTGGAGGGCTGACAAGATGGCCAAATAGGAACAGCTCTGGTCTGCAGCTCCCAACAAGACCAACAAAGAAGGCGGGTGATTTCTGCATTTCCAACTGAGGTACCTGGCTCATCTCATTGGGACTAGTTGGACAGCAGGTGCAGCCCATGGAGGGTGAGCCAAAGCAGGGTGGGGCATCGCCTCACCCAGGAAGCACAAGGGGTCAGGGAACACCTTCCCCTAGCCAAAGGAAGCCATGAGGGATGGTGCTGTGAGGAACAGTGCTATCCAGCCCAGTTACTATGCTTTTCCCGTGGTCTTCACAACCCACAGACCAGGAGATTCCCTCAGGTGCCTTCTCCACCAGGGACCTAGGTTTCAAGCACAAAATTGGGTGGCCATTTGGGCAGACACCGAGCTAGCTGCAGGAGTTTTTTTTCGCACCCCAGTGGCCCCTGGAATACCAGTGAGACAGAACCGTTCATTCCCCTGGAAAGGGGGTTGAAGCCAGGGAGCCAAGTGCTCTTGCTCAGCGGATCCCACCCCCCCAGAGCCCAGCAAGCTAAGATCCACTGGTTTGAAATTCTTGCTGCCAGCACAGCAGTCTGAAGTCAACCTGGGACACTTGAGCTTGGTGGCGGGGAGGGGCGTCTGCCATTACTGAGGCTTGAGTAGGTGGTTTTCTCCTCACAGTTCAAACAAAGCTGCTGGGAAGTTCAAACTGGGTAGAGCCCACCACAGCACAGCAAAGTGGCTCTAGCCAGACTGATTCTCTAGATTCCTCCTCTCTGGGCAGGGCATTTCTGAAAGAAAGGCAGCAGCCTGGCCAGGTGTGGTGGCTCACACCTGTAATTCCAGCACTTTGGGAGGCCAAGGTGGGTGGATCACAAGGTCAGATGTTCAAGACCAACCTGACCAACACGGTGAAACCCCGTCTCTATTAAAAATACAAAAATTAGATGGGCATGGTGGTGCACACCTGTAATCCCAGGTACTCAGGAGGCTGAGGGAGGAGAATCACTTGAACCCAGGAGGCAGAAGTTGCAGTGAGCTAAGATTGGGCGACTGCGCTCCAGCCTGGGCAACACAGCGAGACTCTGTCTCAAAAAAAAAACAAAAAAAAAAAAAAGAAAAAAGAAAGGCAGCAGCCCCAGCCCCAGTCAGGAGCTTACAGATAAAACTCCCATCTCCTTGGGACAGAGCACCTGGCGGGAGGAGCGGCTGTGGGCGCAGCTTCAGCAGACTTAAATGTTCCTGCCTGCTGGCTCTGAAGAGAGCAGCGGATCTCCCAGCACAGCACTCAAGCTCTGCTAAGGGACAGATTGCCTCCTCAATTGGGTCCCTGACCCCCGTGCCTCCTGACTGGGAGATACCTCCCAGCAGGGGTCAACAGACACCTCATACAGGAGAGTTCCAGCTGGCATCTGGCAGGCGACCCTCTGGAACAAAGCTTCCAGAGGAAGAAGCAGGCAGCAATATTTGCTGTTCTGCAGCCTCTGCTGGTGCTAATCAGGGAAACAAGGTCGGGAGTGGACCTCCGGCAAACTCCAGCAGACCTGCAGAAGAGGGGTCTGACTGTTAGATGGAAAACTAACAAATAGAAATCAGTAACATCAACATCCACAGAAAGGATGCCCATGCAAAAACCCCATCCAAAGGTCACCAACATCAAAGATGAAAGGTAGATAAATCCACAAAGATGAGGAAAAACCAGCACAAAAATGCTGAAAATTCCAAAAACCACAATGCCTCTTCTCCTCCAAAGGATCACAACTCCCCACCAGCAAGGAAACAAAACTGGATGCAGAATGAGTTTGACAGACTGACAGAGGTAGACTTCAGAAGGTGGGTAACAACAAACTCCTCCAAGCTAAAGGAGCATGTCCTAACCCAATGCAAGGAAGCTAAGAACCTTGATAAAAGGTTACAGGAACTGCTAACTAGAATAACCAGTTTAGAGAAGAACATAAATGACCTGATAGAGCTGAAAAACACAGCACAAGAACTTCATGAAGCATACACAAGTATCAATAGCCGAATCGATCAAGTGGAAGAAATGATATCAAAGATTGAAGATCAACTTAATGAAATAAAGCGTGAAGACAAGATTAGAGAAAAAAGAATGCAAAGGAACAAACAAAGCCTCCAAGAAATATGGGATTATGTGAAAAGACCAAATCTACGTTTAATTGGTGTACCTGAAAGAGACGAGGATAATGGAACCAAGTTGGAAAACACTTCAGGATATCATCCAGGAGAACTTCCCCAACCTAGCAAGACAGGCCAACATTCAAATTAGGAAATACAGAGAACACCACAAAGATACTCCTCAAGAACAATCCCAAGACACATAATTGTCAAATTTACCAAGGTTGAAATGAAGGAAAAATATTAAGGGCAGCCAGAGAGAAAGGCTAGGTTACCCACAAAGGGAAGCCCATCAGACTAACAGCAGATCTCTCTACAGAAACTGTGCAAGCCAGAAGAGAGTGAGGGCCAATATTGAACACTTAAAAAAAAAAGAATTTTCAACACAGAATTTCATATCCAGCCAAAGGAAGCTTCATTAACAAAGGAGAAATAAAATCCTTTACAGACAAATAAATGTTGAGGGATTCTGTCACTACCAGGCCTGGGTTACAAGAGCTCCTGAAGGAAGCCCTAAATATTGAAAGGAAAAACTGGTACCAGGCACTGCAAAAACATACCAAATTGTAAAGACCAACAACACTATGAAGAAACTGCATCAATTAACGGGCAAAATAACCAACTAGCATCATAATGACAGGATCAAATTTACACATAACAATATTAACCTTAAATGTAAATGGGCTAAATGACCCAATTAAAAGGCACAGACTGGCAGATTGCATGAAGAGTCAAGACCCATCGGTGTGCTGTATTCAGGAGACCCATCTCATGTGTAAAGACACACATAGGCTCAAAATAAAGGGATGGAGGAATATTTACCAATCAAATGGAAAGAAAAAAAAAAGCAGGGGTTGCAATCCTAGTCTCTGATAAAACAGAATTTAAACCAACAAAGATCAAAAAAGACAAAGAAGGGCATTACGTAATGGTAAAGGGACCGATGCAACAAGAGGAGCTAACTATCCTAAATATACATGCACCCAATACAGAAGCAACCTGATTCATAAAGCAAGTTTTTAGAGACCTACAAAGAGACTTAGACTCTCACACAATAATAGTGGGAGACTTTAACACCCTGCTGTCCACATTAGACAGATCAATGAGACAGAAAATTAACAAGGATATTCAGGACTTGAACTCAGCTCTGGACTGAGCAGACCTAATAGACATCTACAAAACTCTCCACCCCAAATCAACAGAATATACATTCTTCTCAGCACCACATCACACTTATTCTAATGACCACATAATTGGAAGCAAAACACTCCTTACCACATGCAAAACAACAGAAATCATAACAAACAATCTCTCAGACCACAGTGCAATCAAATTAGAACTCAGGATTAAGAAACTCACTCAAAACCGCACAACTACATGAAAACTGAACAACCTGCTCCTGAATTACTACTGGGTAAGTAACGAAATGAAGGTAGAAATAAATAAGTTCTTTGAAACCAGTGAAAACAGAGACACAACATACCAGAATCTCTGGGACACAGCTAAAGCAGTGTTTAGAGGGAAATTTATAGCACTAAATGCCCCCAGGAGAAAGTGAGAAGGATCTAAAATCGACACCCTAACATCACAATTAAAAAAACTGGAGAAGCAAGAGTAAATAAATTCAAAAGCTAGCAGAAGACAAGAAATAACTATGATCAGAGCAGAACTGAAGGAGATAAAAACATGAAAAGCACTTCAAAAAAATCAATGAATCCAGGAGCTAGTTTTTTTGAAAAGATCAACAAAATAGATAGACTGCTAGCCAGACTAACAAAGAAGAAAAGAGAGAAGAATCAAATAGGCACAATAAAAAATGATAAAGGGGATAGCACCACTGATCCCACAGAAATACAAACTGCCATTAGAGAATACTATAAACACCTCTATGCAAATAAACTAGAAAATCTAGAAGAAATGGATAAATTCCTGGACACATACACCCTCCCAAGACTAAACCAGGAAGAAGTCGAATCCCAGAATAGACCAATAACAAGTTCTGAAATTGAGGCAGTAATTAATAGCCTACCAACCAAAAAAAAAGCCCAGGACCAGATGGATGCATAGCCGAATTCTACTAGAGGTACAAAGAGGAGCTGGTATCATTCTTTCTGAAATGATTACAAACAATAGAAAAAGATGGACTCCTCCCTAACTCATTTATGAGGCCAGCATCATCCTGATACCAAAACCTGGCAGAGACACAACAAAAAAAGAAAATTTCAGGCCAATATCCCTGATGAACATTGATATGAAAATCCTCAATAAAATACTGGCAAATCGAATCCAGCAGCACATCAAAGAGCTGATCTACTGTGATCAAGTCGGCTTCATCCCTGAAATGCAAGACTGGTTCAACATACGCAAATCAATAAATGTAATCCATCACATAAATAGAACCAATGACAAAAACCACATGATTATCTCAATAGATGCAGAAAAGGTCTTTGATAAAATTCAACACCCCTTCATACTAAAAACTCTCAGTAAACTAGGTATTGATGGAACGTATCTCAAAATAATCAGAGTTAATTATGACAAACCTACAGCCAATATCATACTGAATGGCCAAAAGCTGGAAGCATTCCCTTTGAAAACTGGCACAAGACAATGATGCCCTTTCTCACCACTCCTATTCAGCATAGTATTGGAAGTTCTGGCCAGGGCAATCAGGCAAGAGAAAGAAATAAAGGGTATTGAAATAGGAAGAGAGGAAGTCAAATTGTCTCTGTTGGCAGATGACAGGATCGTATATTTAGAAAACCCCATCGTCTCAGCCCAAAATCTTTTTAAGCTGATAAGCAACTTTGGCAAAGTCTCAGGATACAAAATCAATGTGCAAAAATCACAAGTATTCCTCTACACCAGTAGACAAATAGAGAGCCAAATTATGAGTGAACTCCCATTCACAATTGCTACAAAGAGAATAAAATATCTAGGAATACAACTTACAAGGGATGTGAAAGACCTCTTCAAGGAGAACTACAAACCACTGCTCAAGGAAACAAGAGAGACACAAACAAATGGAAAAACATTCCACGCTCATGGATAGGAAGAATCGATATAGTGAAAATGGCCATACTGCCCAAAGTAATTCGTGGATTCAATGCTATATCCATCAAGCTACCATCGACTTTCTTCACAGAATTGGGAAAAACTACTTTAAATTTTATTTGGAACCAAAAAAGAGCCCATAGAGCCAAGACAATCCTAAGCAAAAAGAACAAAGCTGGAGGCATCACGCGACCTGACTTCAAACTAGAGTACAAGGCTACAGTAACCAAAACAGTATGGTACTGGTACCAAAACAGATATATAGACCAATGGAACAGAACAGAGGCCTCAGAAATCATGCCACACATCTACAACCATCTGATCTTTGAGAAACCTGACAAAAATAAGCAATGGGGAAAGGATTTCCTATTTAATAAATTGTGTTGGGAAAACTGGCTAGCCATATGCAGAAAACTGAAATTGGACCCCTTCCTTACACCTTATACAAAAATTTATTCAAGATGGATTAAAGACTTAAACGTAAGACATAAAATCATAAAAACCCTAGAACAAAACCTAGGCAATACCACTCAGGACATAGGCATGGGCAAAGACTTCATGACTAAAACACCAAAAGCAATGGCAACAAAAGCCAAAATTGACAAATGGGATCTAACTAAACTAAAGAGCTTCTGCACAGCAAAAGAAACTTTCATCAGAGTGAACAAGCAACCTATGGAATGGGAGAAAATTTTTGCAATTTAGCCACCTGACAAAGGGCTAATACCCAGAATCTACAAGGAACTTAAACAAATTTACAAGAAAAAAACAAACAAACCCATCCAAAAGTGGGCAAAGGATATAAACAGACACTTCTCAGAAGAAGACATTTATGTGGCCAACAAACATATGAAAAAAAGGTCAACAACACTGGTCATTAGAGAAATCAAATCAAATCAAAACCACAATGAGAAATACCATCTCACGCCTGTTAGAATGGTAATCATTAAAAAGTCAGGACATGACAGATGTTGGAGAGGATGTGGAGAAACAGGAATGCTTTTATATTGTTGGTGGGATTGTAAATTAGTTCAACCATTGTGGAAGACATTGTGGTGATTCCTCAAGGATCTAGAACCAGAAATACCATTTGACTCAGCAATCCCATTACTGGGTATATACCCAAAGGATTATAAATCATTCTACTATAAACACACATGCACACGTATGTTTATTGCAGTGCTGTTCACAAATAGCAAAGACTTGGAACCAACCCAAATGCCCATGAATGATAGACTGGATAAAAACAATGTGGCACATATACACCATGGAATACTATCCAGCCATAAAAAAGGATGCGTTCATGTCCTTTTCAGGGACATGGATGAAGCTGGAAACCATCATTCTCAGCAAACTGACACGAGAATAGAAAACCAAACAATGCATGTTCTCACTCATAAGTGGGAGTTGAACAATGAGAACACATGGACACAGGGAGGGGAACATCACACACTGGGGCCTGTTGGGGGGTGGGGGGTTAGGGGAGGGATAGCATTAGGAGAAATATCTAATATAGATGACGGGTTGATGGGTGCAGCAAACCACCATGGCACGTGTATACCTATGTAACAAACCTGCACGTTCTGCGCATGTATCCCAGAACTTAAAGTATAATACACATACACATACACACACATATATATATGCTATAGAAATTACTTTGACATATACAATGGTTTGCTACTTTCATTATTCTCCACTATTCATTGTGTAGAGTGTATATATTCATAATTGATAAATTCAAATGTGCATAAATTTAAAATTTTTATGTAACTAGACTTATTTTCTATCTCCAGGCTCCAGTTCTAGTTAACGTAAGAAACAATATTGTCACTTCTAGACAAACATGGTCAAATAAAATTTTGGATTAAAAAAAGAAAGAATTAAATGCAACATAAAATATCTTCCCTTAACACATAAGATACCTCCGTGAAATTGTTCCTTGCTTTCCCAATTAAATGTGTTTTACAAAACTAACACTCACATTTAAAACTGAAAACATAAAGCAAAACACTATATAGGCTGAATTTGAATTTACTCTAATGTTAGAAGTCCTTATTTCTCCCCTTTAAGAGAAATTAACATTTGAATATTTTAAACATTAAGGCCTTGCAAATCCTGACAGTGCATTAGGTGGTGGTGGTGGGGGTGGGGGTGGTGTGGGCGTGGCCTGTGAATAATGGTGGATAAAACAGCTGAAAATGTATTTAACATAGCTTATAGTTTTATTTCACTTTACATTACATTCCTCTTTGGGGAAAGAAAAATACAGTTTCCCTCAGCTAGAAAAAAATTCATTCCAACTCAGAAGATTCAAACTTCAAATTCAGATTTGGTTTCAAATAACACTGATTGAATACCTGCTGTATATCAAACAGTGTCCTTGGGCTTTCACATATGTGACCTTTCTTAGTTGAACTCTCTTGCTTTTTTTTTTTTTTTTTTTTGAGACGGAGTCTTGCTCTGTCATCCAGGCTGGAGTGCAGTGGCGCTATCTTGGCTCTGTAACCTCTGCCTTCAGGGTTCAAGCAATCCTCCTGCCTCAGCCTCTTGAGTAGCTGGAATTACAAGTGTACGCCACCATGCCTGGCTAATTTTTGTATTTTTAGTGGAGACGGGGTTTCACCATGTTGGCCAGGCTGTTCTCGAACTCCTGACCTCGTGATCCACCCACATTGTCCTCCCAAGTGCTGGGATTACAGGCGTGAGCCACTGTGCCATGAGGATTAGTAAAGTGCACTCATGTTAAGTAAAAAATTTGTTTTATGTTTATGCTGATTATATGAAGGTCATCATAGCTTAGACACAATCAAAACCCATGGGGAACATCTTTAGAATTCATTTTTCTCTTTTCTTACAAAAAAAGTAAATAGGTAAAATGGAAAATAGAAGACAACCTATCCTATCCTGGATGAGACACACACATATTTAAATTGAATTATAGACTTAAAATTTAAGTAGGAATATTTTTTTTCCTGAGAAACAAAGTCACAAAAACCAAAACTTTCAGAATCACCAAGTCTTGAAAATAGATTATGAAGCAGACTTTTTGGATGGTGCTTAATGACATCAGGCGACATTTAAATGCCACCTAGTGAGGAACACTGAAATTGCAGCTAAATTAAAATGACCTTTTATTTGCCTGGACAACAAAAATTTTCCATGATTTTGCTTTTTTGAAACAATGATAAGAAATTTTTTTTTAGGCAATAAGATACTAAGTTGTATCAACAAACTGCATGGGATATTTCCACAAGGAGAGGATTTTGTTCCCTGATCTAGTTTACGTGACATTTTCCCTTATGCTTGCTTTCTCTGAGCTGACTCTTCTTAAACTGACCTAGATGGTACCCTATTTCAACTGACTCAGAGTTCATTCAAAAATATGATATGGTGACTTGGCTTCACTGACATGAAATCCAGGCACTCTCTCTACTCTTGCTCACATTCTTCCTTGCCCAAGGTTCCAGCGTGATTTTAGGATATCTTATGCCAACCCAGTGTGCCGTCACTTCTCAGAGATGTAGGGCCAACCAGCTACTCAACTACACTCCTATTCTTTTGCTTGACAGCCTCATGTGGCCAGATGATAGGCGAACAAAGCAATGCAAGCACTGCCTCCATGTCAACTCCATCATCAAATGGAAAGCGTATCTTTGTTTTGCTCAGGATCTTTGAAGAGAAAGGGACACAACAGGTACCACACACATAGGTAGCCAGCATTCATGGAACAGCCACCGTGGGCTGGGCTGCACCACACCGTCTTTCCATGTGTTATCTCTTTCTAGAGACTTCTTGAAAATTGGTAGGATTATCATATCATATGTTCTTGGAAACATCTGTTGACTATTTCTGTACATCACAGTAAAAAGTACAAGACTGCAATGGCATAAAGGCAAAAAAAAAAAAGCATTATAACCAGCAGAAATAATTGAGGCAGATACTTTGTAATGTCTCAGATGTGAAAACTGGTTATCTGGATATTTGGCAAAAAATACTGACTCTGTCAAATGAACAAACCTGGAACAAGAAATAGTTTCAAAATGGAAATATAGAAATCGCAGTAAACATTGTTTTAAAAAATCAAATCCAAATTAAATTTTGCCCCCACAGATATCACTAGAGCTTATTTCTTACAAACGCATCATTGAGCTAAATGTCAGGTCCTGTGTATAGGGGCCTTATCTAAGCATTTTTGGGGTCATTATTCCTGTGTGTATTCCTTCTTTTTAGCTAAAACAAACTCAAAAACAGAAGTGCTGTTTCAATAACAACAAGGTTATAAGCCAATGAAGTAAAGTTAATGGTTTTCCATTGTCTCAGGATTTGCTATCCAAGTTATTCGTGTGTTCAGTGACCACAGGTAATCAGATGCCACGTGCAGCAGAAAATCAGGTTTTCAGCCACTGGGAAATACCAACGGGATAGTATTGCAGACAATGGCAGTTACTCTAGGAGTTTTCCCACTGGTGTGTTGAAGTCTCGTTCCACTTTCCGCTCTACCAATCCAGCTTCAGATCAGCCTTACTCCATATGTATTTTCCTCCTCGCTTCAGAAACATCTTTTCATCAAATCCACTGAATTTTATAGCTTCTTCTACACCAACATCCAGGATGGACTTGGAAGGGTCCTTCCGTCCCTTTCTACAGTTCAGAAAGCGCATCTAGAAAATTCATAACAGAAACTGGTATATTTCCATGTGATGAATCCTGTAAAACTCAATCTAGACTATTAATCCCAAATAGCTTTTGATATTCCAGTCATGTCGACAGGTATCTTTTGAAATCTGTGGCTGATATTGAACCCCTTGGACCCCATCTCTCTACTCAACCAGCTCATGGTCTGGTGGAAGAGGCTGGGCTAAGTACAGTAGACACCTAAGCGCACAATAAACAGAATGATATGCGCCCCGCATGGGCAGATGTAGTTCCACTGGGGGAAGGGGTAATCAGGAGAGGCTTGCCCCAAATGCTAACATCTGAATTATGTGTTGAGATTTTAAATTGGAGGGAATGGTATCATAAAAGCACAGAAGTGTGATATAGCATGATGTACTGGGGAAATGGAGGTAGACGGTGTTTCTGGAATAGTAATGATGTGCATGCATCCGTGCATGCATGCATATATGTAAATATTAATAAAGGCTTGTTTTGAGAAACGGAGAGAGGATGAAAAGAAAGGTGCTGCTGAGGCAGGCAGGTGCCAGATCAAGAGGAGTCTTCCATGGCAGGTGCCAGATCAAGAAGAGTCTTCCATGACCTGCGAAGGCTCTTTGTTTTAATCTTATTCCATCCATTTTCATTTGTTTTAGTCTGTCCTATTCTACTCTGTAGGCAGAAACGATTTCTTCACACTCCTTACGACCTACACTGAGTGTTTCATAGGAGCTCAAGTAATACTTATTGAAGCAAAATGTTATTCAATTGGTAAAAGCAAATTTTGGTTCAACGATGTGTTTTCCAAATATGTGGAGACCAGTGAGTTTGTTGAGGGATGCTGGTCAAAATCACTAGACAATCATAATAATTTCCACTCCAAAAATAAATTGTTTGAATTTTCCTCTCTACCTTGGACCCAGAAACTAAATGTTTTCCTTATCACCTTTTCCCTTATGCTCTATTAAGAAAGCTTATATTGTTAAGAAATGAAATGGGTATAAACAATGATTGGTTAACTTGAAAATAACAAAATACCAGCTGGACATGGGGGCCCACACCTGGAATCCCAGCATCTGGGGAGGCCCAAGTGTTAGAGGCCAGCATGGGCAACATGGCAAAATCCAATCTCTACAAAAAATACATAAAAATCTAGCTGGGTGTGGTAGTGCACATCTGTAGTACCAGCTACCTGGGAGGCTGAGGCAGAAGGATCACCTGAGCCCAGGTGGCTGAGGCTGCAGTGAGCCAAGATTGTGCCATTGCCCTCTAGCCTGGGTGACAGGAAAACCTATCTCAGAAAAAAAAAGAAAAGAAAGAAAGAAAAGCAAACATCAAAAGTGACAGTAAGTATTTCTCCAAAAAACAAATCCAATTTAAATATGGAATTCAAGGTTGTTGGAGCTCATTTCTTTAAAATATGTCTTCAAATGGAATTATTTGTCCTTTGCTAGGAAGAGTGGCAATGGTTATAGATCTAGAAAAAAAAAGACAGAGGAAAGGGGAAAGTGATTTGTTTTTCAGTTTTGAGAAGGGTAGGTTTCCCTCTTCCTTTGGAAGGCAGTGGGGGTAGGAATAATATCAGTGGTGTTTGGAGCAGAAACATAAGCCTCTCCTTAGGAAAGCCAAGGTTTATCAATCAGAAGACAAGCTGGCTGTGCCTGGTTTGTCCAAGATAATGAGAAGAGTGATATGGCCTTCCTTCAAAGTAGGCTGGATGCCCTATCTCAGGAGAGCCTCCAGCCCAGGACTACATAACAGATGACTCTGTTGTGTGTGATAACGGGTTCAATGTGACATCCACGGATGCATAGTTACATGGCAGACAATATCATATGGTGCTCAGTGCAAATCAGTGCTGGGACCTGGGTTGAAGCTTATTCTGTTCCAGTGTTTAGCTCCACATTTGACCCTGTGAAGTGAGGGCTCTGGCATAATCATAATCACTGACTATCAAACTGTGAAGTGCTAATTAAGAAGGACAAATAGGTACTAGATAGTTATGCTCATGGAACTCAACTCTGCCATTACTGCTAATTAATTAATTAAGTTTTAATTTTATAACTCATTGGAAATACTCACATATTCATCCAGAATAAGGTAGGAGTCTTTCATCTGCAAAGGAGAAGTTAATACAAATTTAGTTTCAGGTGCATTTCTCAGTATGTGAGCTCAATTGTCCACCTGTAGTGTTTGCATTGTATTGTTTTGGATCCAGCATTTCTCATTTCCCTTGAGTTGCCTTTGGCATGGCCCTCACAAGACAAGGCTCTGTTTGTGTGCATTCGGTTTTCAACAGATCACAGCAGGCCTGGATTCTCTGCTCTTTGCTGAAAAGGTCACACATCAGAACCTTCATCCTGAAGGCTTCCCTGACATTGAACCCCAAGGCAATTTCCCCAACCCTTCACACTTTGGGAGAGCCCTTTTCTTCTTTACATGATATTTCTGATGACTGTGTCCACCATGTATCTAATTTCTCCCTTTTCAATGTATAAAGCAGAACTCTCTTGAATGCTATTTTTTTGGAGCTAAAGGGTCGATTTACCTGAGGATTTTATTATTACCCTAACATTACTTACAAACAGTTATGACTTCTATAGGTATATAGAAGCTGTACCTGCACTGTTGATGGGAAGGTATTCCTTCTATACCTATTCTTGTAGATAGGGGTCTGTAAAATGTTTTCTGTAAAGGGCCAGATAGCAAATATTTTCTGCTTAGCAGGCCACACAGTCTGTCACAACTAATCAACTGTGCTTTGCAGCCCAAAATCCACCACAGATGATACATAAGAAAAATAGCTTGGCTGAGCTCCACTGAAACTTAATTTATGGACCCAGAAAACCAGCTTTTATATAATGTTCACAGGGCACAAATACGATTCTTGTTTTGATGTTTTCCCTCATCAAGTCTTAACTTGCATCCTGTACTACAACAGGTGGCAGGCCAGACCCATCCCTGGGGCCAGCATTTGCCAACTCCTAGGAAGGGATGGGAGCAGACCTGCTATTGAATGTCTAGTGGGGTACCAGTAGCATCAGCATCATCTGGGAACTAGTTCAAGGTGCAGAGTGGTGGGCCAACCTCAGACCCACTGAGTAGAGGTCTGCCCTTTCACAAGATCCCAGGTGATTTGATGAAGTTTGAAACAAACTGGCTAAAAGGTTTGTGGGCTTTGGGGTCATCAAAATTCAGATTTTGCCCCTGATACAAGTCAGGTAAATGAGTACCTACCACTCGGCCTCTTGATGTATACAATGGGGATGATACAACCTGGCTCATGAAGCATTAGTGAAAATGGCAATGAGTCAAAGGGTTAACAGTCCCTCTTACAAAGGAGGTACTCAACCAAATTTTCTTTGATGTCATATTAACTATTAAGATGGAGTTTTAAAAAATTAAATAAAATAGTGCATAGAGGAAAACCTCCTCTACCCCCTTTCTCTTCTTTTTGATGGTCATCCTGTCCTTCATTCTGAGATTTTCTTGTTCATGTTCACTTCAACATTACCTTTTAAACTTGAACCATTTACCTAGAGCCTCAGAAGTCTAAAGCATAAGGAATGAATGTCTGCTCTTTGAGTTCCTAGCATTACTTAAACATATGGGGTAGAGATTTTCCTGTATATGTATTTTTGGATGGCAGATGGAGAAGCTGTTTTTAAAATAATAAAACTAATACTTAAGTTACAAAATTTTAAAGTTCAAAAAGTTATAAAGGTGAATAAAACTACTTATAATTCCACTACTCCAAGATAACCAAAGGAATATGTAGAGATACTTTTTTTTACACATCAGGATTAAACTTCAAATTAATTTTGCATACTGTTTTTTATCTGTACCTACTATTATATTATCAGAATTTCTCCTTGTCACTTAAAAATTTTTGGAATATGCTTGTTAGTCAGTGTAACATTTCATTCTGTGAACCTACAGACTTACTCATTCTCTGTATGCTGAATGACAGGCTATCTTTATTTTTTTTTGGTATTATTCTTTTTGTTTGTTTGTTTGTTTGAGACAGAGTCTCGCTCTGTCGCCCAGGCTGGACTGCAGTGAGCGATCTCCGCTCATTGCAAGCTCCGCCTCCCGGGTTCACACCATTCTCCTGCCTCAGCCTCTCGAGTAGCTGGGACTACAGGCGCCCGCAACCACGCCCGGCTAATTTTTTGTATTTTCAGTAGAGATGGGGTTTCACTGTGTTAGCCAGGATGGTCTCGATTTCCTGACCTCGTGATCCGCCCATCTCAGCCCCCCAAAGTGCTGGGATTACAGGCGTGAGCCACCGCGCCCGGCCGGTATTATTCTTAATACTGCAGTAACATATCTTTACATAAGTACTTCTCTAGTTCTGTGAATATTTCTCTTGTTTTAAGGTAGAATTTCTAAATTCAAATATGGGCTATTTTAAAGGTTATAAAGTTAGCAATTCGTTTTCTAGGAAAGTTGCAATAATTTATACTCTTGCTAACAATATGAACTTGCCTCTCTTACTGCAACTTTATGCTTCATATTTTATTTTGTATTTCCTTGAATATAGACAATATCAAATACTCTTAAAATGTTTATTCACCATTTGTTTTTTTTCTGTAAATTATCTATTTATGCCCATTGGATGTTTTGCTTTTTTTGGTGTTCATAGATTCTTATTGATTTAAATAACTTTATATATAATACTTTATTTTATACAATTCAGTATATCATGTTAACATATTTCACTTTTAATTTTATGATATGTGTGACATATTTTTAATTTTATGGATTCAATTATACTATCATAATTTTTTTAAAGTTTGTATCTTTCATTAATAAGGAGGTTCCTTATTAATGGATTTTTTTTCCTGTAGCTTCTGAGAACACATTTTTAGATACCCGGCTTCTAGTTATACCTGAAGCTCCACAGTGTAGACATGTTTTGGCCAACCTTGTTTTATCGGTGTATGAAATTTGTGCTAATAGGATGGATCCAATTGTCATTACATTAGAAAACTAAATGGGAAACATTTCTTCTACATTCTGTGCAACATAACAAAATTATACATAGAGATTATTCAACTAAATAAAGTGATAATGTTGATATCAACAGAGTGGCGTTCGTTAGTTCTTTCTATGTTTAGGGGTTATGTCATGCATGTATGACACATAGGGACATTATACTTATATGAATCATATAGCAAGAATATCTACATGAATCTATATACAGTTGTATCATCTGCAAAGTACCACTCTATCCATCGTGGATAGAGAAACTGAAGCTCTCTAAAGACCCTGCAGCTGGGAGGTGGCAGAGTCAATGGCAGCCCTCAGCCCTATCTGCCCTGACATGGCATTCCTCCCATTTCTCACCACCGAACCCTCTAAAATAACAATGTGTGGGGTCCTTGGCTGAGAGACTTCCCTTTTGGGAATCAATCTGAATGTATGATGACAAAGAAAACAACTTTTGCTTTATACAACCTTCTGGTTAGATTCAGGCACCAAGCAGGACACTTCTTTGTGGCGCTCCAAGAATCTTTCAAATTCTTCATCACCAATAACAAATCTTTCTGCTTCTCTTAGAGCATCTTCTCCACAATTCTCACCCTCAATTAAGAGGCACTGGAACACCTGAAAGGCAATGGTAGTGTTTGCTTTGCAGAGAGCTTTCCATCGTGTTTTCCCCCAAACCTCACTCCCCCTTTTCAAGCTTCATCTCTTCTGAGCAAAGAGACTCTACGAGCTGAGGAACATTCTAGAAAGATATTACTTTGGGGAAATGAAAGCTAGCCCTGAAATTTAGGAATATGGTGTCAGAAGCACAAACATTATTAAAATATAAACTTTCAAAAACTTGTCTAGATTATGTTTGATTGAGTCATAAATTTTCAGACAACAAAATAATAGGTACTTATTGAAAAAATATAAACTATAAAAGAGCATAAAAATAAATCATGTGTAATCCCATAACCCAGAAAAACACATTTTAAAAACATTGTTTTCTCTGCTGATTTTTAATATATTCTTATGAAGGCCTCTAGCATATGTCTGTTTTTCATGTAAGACCTAAGAACAGTTTTTCAAAATCATTAATATTCTCTTTCAACAGTCTTTTAAGTAAACAAATGTGTGTGTAAGAGTGTGGACAGTGTATTATTCTATACATACTACCATCATTTGAAAATAAAAGTCAGTCCTAGAAAAGGCAAGAAGTGAAGAGACTTGCCCAAGGTGACAAAGGGTGACAGCCAACCCAACACAGAGGCAGGACAAACCCAGATCTAAAGGGTTTCCATGGAAAGGATGATTCTACACAGAATTTCACTAATATCATCGTCTGAACCACTCAGATGCCACTATAGTCAGATGAGAAGAAATTGTCAACACTTCATGTTGCCTTTTTTGCTCACTCTTTATTTTTCCTCTTCTTTTTTGCTTCTCGGTCTTTTGATATCTGCCTCCACTGGCCCCTGGTCATAGGATAATTTTGCTATTTGCTTTCATGGTGTCTTCCTTAATAGACTGTGAGCATCTTGGGAGGGGTTGTCACCCATCCTCATGCCCCATCCAGGCTCAGGGTAAGGAGAGGCCTGGCAGGGAGGGAGTGCCCTTCCATGTAGGTTTGAATCATGAGCAGACTTGACTATCAAAGAAGACATACAGCACAGGCATTTTTTTCCAGGGACTTTGACTCCAGAATCAGCCAGCTAGACTGGAAGGGCTTCTGCAGGAGAAAAGCAAGCCGTAGGAGCTGGAAGGGGAACAATATTGAGGGTGTGGGATTGGGCATGGGGGAGTAGAAGGAGCCCTCTCCTCCCATGCTGCTGGAGCAAGCCTACAGGTCACAACAAAGCCTCCCAGTGAGTAATCACGCATGCTCATTGCTGTTGTCCCGGGGACACGGCTGGTGACACCTTCCAGCCCACAGCCTCACAGTGGAGGAGGCAGCCTCAGGAAACTAGGTTCTGAGTGCAATGTAAGATTGGACTAAGAACAGGCACCTGTTCCAGAAGCATCAATTTACATCAATTGGAAGCCTGCATACATCAATAATCTGGTTTTCCAAACAGGCAGAAACTAGCCTTCCACCAAAAGAGTCAGGATCTTGATGGCAAATCTACAGTGAATCAGATGAATGGAAGCCAGTGTGGGAGTCAAAATATCTGAGAGAAAGGCCATGAGATAGGAGAAAACCAAGCTGTGGGGAAAAAATATTTACACATCTGAAAAAAGGACACCAAAAGAGAACAATGAGGAAGACAGTAACAGGAAACATAGGGAAGACGAGAGAGGTGGGTACAGGAGAGGGGCAGGCAGGAAAGTCAACATGTCTAAGGCAGCTTAGCCCTCCAGCTGGAGCCTCTGCCTTCCTGGTGGATCATGTCCCTGTTTTTCCTATCAGACCTCTCTCTTTAGCTTTTCTCCAGTTCCTTCTAGACCTGGGAATGTGGCTGATAATTCATATCCTTATATATGTAACCAAAAGTTCAAGTTCAACATACCTATTAGCAATTTTTGAAAGTAGCATCTCCAGCTTCCCCTAACCCATTTCCACATATTACAGGACAGCTTCAGGAAAATGATAGAATATCCCTTTCCCTCTTCCCTAACTCTATTTGGAATGCTGACATGGGATTTAAAAAAACAGCCAAGGCAGCTTTGAAGGAAAAGCTGTTTTTTGTGCAGGCAAAGCCCTCTAGTCTGGATGTGCCTTTCTTCTTCAGGTCTTTGCCACCTACGAAAATTCTTTCCATTTTTCAGAGCATAGCCAAATGCTTCCTCCTATATGAAGCCTTCCACTTAAGCTCAGCCTGTTTTGCCATTTCACGATATGGTAGCACACATAGCTTTCTATCATGTGACTTTTCCCACATCTCTTTTTGTGTGTTTGTGCTAGCACTGAGCTCTGCATCTTATCTTTCATTGCACCTGGACTGCTTGTTAGAAATACACGTTTGTGCAAGCCCTCCCTGCTATGCTTACCTTCACCACAGGCCCTGTTTCAGGGCAGCAGATATGAGGCCCAAGAAGCTGCTTTTTAAACAGCCTCCTGATTTGCTTCTGACGAGCAGTCAAAGGTAGAAAACTGGGATTTTAGTCATGATGTCTGCACAGAGTGGGAGCTGCATATGTGGAGTTGGCTTTTAGTAGCTGGTAGTGGGGCCAGCCCTAAAGCATGAATCTGGGAATAAAGGTCCCATTTTGCTACAACTTGGGGAAGACTTTAACCCTAATGTCTTCTAGAAATTCACTGCATCAGAATTTATGAGGAACCGGTATCTGTCCATCCATAAGCCAAGAGTTTTAAAAATAAATTTAGGCTTTCTATGAACATATTCTTCCAAACATTTCAAAGCACTGAGCATATTTTTTTATGTTTATCCTCACAATATTTCCAAAGGAAATCATATCATGTTTTCAGAAAAGGGAAGTAAGGCAAAGAAAAGTCTAGTTTTATGTCTAAGACAAAGAAAAGTATAGTTTTAAGTCTAACAGAGCTGAAAGACCAAGGACCTGACTTCTGGACTGGCTTGCGAGGTCCAGAGTTCTCTTGTATCAGTATTGTTTTCAGTTTCATTGAAAAAAGTCATTCCTGAAAGTTTTCTTGAAGGAAATCAGCAAAAGCGACCTTGTGTACTTACTTTCCAGCGGACAGGGTTTAGTGCTTTGATCTGTTCCGTCATGTCCTCTTCCACGTTGAAACGATTAATGACAGAATTTATCTTGAAAGCGACTCTATAATCCCTACACCACCTCCTCAGCTTTTGAAGGTTTTCCACATGGTTCTTCTTTCCTTGGCCACGGCCAATAAGGACATTGACTTCCTCGTCAAAGCTGTCACAGGAGATAGCGAGAATGTCCAAATACTCACCTGAGGGAAAATGATCATGTTTAAACTTTTCTATCCAAGGACCAAGCCCCTTGGGCTATTTAGATCTCTTGTGATAAAATATATCTTGTTTAAATTTTTAAAAAGACACTTTTCCTTATACCCACAAAACTCATTGAGATATGAATTTTACTTTCTTCTTGTGTCAAACCTGAAAAACTAAATATATATGTAAAATAATGATGCAAATACTTAGTTGATTATTTGAAAACTCTACACATGTATGTGTGTGAGCACTTACTGATATATTTAAATGAGGTTTTTCATTTATTCCTGCATACAAATTATGTAATTTCTGAGGCAGGTAGATATATTTGGATGCCTCTAGACTTATTTATGAACAATTATAAATTTACTTCTTTTTCTTTCCATCACACAGATAAAATTGCTCTGTTGAAGATCCCTAGTATTTTTGCTAAGTTCATCCGCTTCTTCTGGACATCTTCTTGACAGTTGTCTCATCATCTAAATATCTAGAGACATTCTATGTGATGTCAGAGACAACTGTGTTAGATGCCAAGAAAACCAAGAGAAAGGGAAGCCTGGTGTGGGAATAAAGTGTAAACAGACCCCTCCTTGCAACATGGTATGTGAAGAGCTGTGACAGCGTGTCGTTTTGGGAGCACAGCAAGTGTTCACAATTACCTTTGCTTTGGTTTCTGTCACACTAGTTTCTACTCCACCTATCTTATTATCCCTCCAATTTCCTCTGCTCCTTCATGCTATCCACTTATCTCTTAAGTACAGATATTCTCAATGGCTGAGTCACTCCTTGCAGTTGATTAAGTCTGAGTTTTCCTAGTTTTGTGACTTTTTAAGAGTCGACTCTTTTTCTTAAAATTACTTTCAAATTATAGAAGCTGGAAATTCCAAAAACTCTTTAAGCAACTATCCTCTAATATTATAAAAAGAGTCATTTTAACTCCTATTTTGGGCTAATTTTATTTTATCCGTATGTAACATACGCCCTCAAAATATCTAGCATAAACTGGAGCCAGAATAAGGCAACTGTCCATAATTTAAAACAACTCAAAACGTTCTAAAAATTGATCTCAAATAAATTCCTAATGGCATATCACATTGTGAAAAGGCAAGTAACTGAGCACCTGATCTCCAAACAGACCAGAAATTAAGTTCAAAACCAAAAACATACAGCCTTATCAGTTATACTAAAGACAGACCTAGTTGATTTCCAAGTCATCTGAGGATCTGTAAGTCAATTGCTATATTCTGCCGCCTTTCCAACTTTTGCTATGTGTCCATGATAACTATCCTCCTGTCCTCAGCTTTTCCTTGCCAAAGCTCTTGGGAAGAGAGATTTAATGGAGCAGATCTGTTTGCTCAGTCCCTACATCTTTCCAGGAAAACCTGGAACCATGGTGGAATCTTGGCCAATCCCTGCACATATGGTAGCTACAATATTCTATATATCATTGGTGAGGTGTATAAACCTGGAGCAATGGGGCATGTTGAATCAACTTGTCAAGACTTCTCAGGATTGTTTAACAAGATCCATGATTTCCTTGGTTGCGTTGTTGGGGTCCTGAGTTTCAGTTCCAATAGCTGGTTACATAGCAGCATGTGCATAAATGACTAGCCCTGTATAAAGCCTCAGACCCTAAGACTCAAATGGACCTTCCTGTGCAAAGACATTCCAAATATGTCCCTATAGTTCACTGCTAGAGAGAAAGTACAACCTATGAGGCCTGGGATGGAGAAGGACTCAGAGCCTGTGTCTGGACTCTCTGGACTCTGGTGATATATGTCTTTACCCTGCTGTTTCTGTTCTGTATCCTTTATTCTAATAAACCCTAGACGTGAGCATAGCTGGCTATTGAGTGTTGGAAGTCCTTCTAGCAAATTACCAAACTTGGAGAGGTAGTGAGGCCCTAAAACAGCTCTCTTCATCCACTCAACACATAGACCCATCCCTGACCCATTAAGCCAGAGGTGGAAAATCAGCAGCTTATGGGCCAGATAGGCATCTATAAACATTTGTTCCTCACAATGCCTAAAAATATTTCTAATTATTTTCAAATATTTATAATTGTAGATTTTTGATCTATGTTTAATAATTTGAGGATCATCCAAATTCTCTTGCTGCACAAAAATCAATGAAACCTCCTAGTTGGCGCTCCACTCATGCACTATAGGAATATGGCGCGATGCTTCCCGTTCTCCACAGTCTTCATGCTTTCCTATTGTCTCCATGCTGCTGACAGTGTCTTTTCTTATATGCTTCTAAATTCACTAATTTATACCACTTTCTCCCACAAGCCTGAGAGATTTGACCTGGACATGCAGTACTGTCCCTACTCTGCACACCATGAGGACATCCTGGACGGCTGATCTTGGAGGAAGGGCATTGGCTGGGTACCCACCCAGAAAACCCCGCCAGTTGGTCTCCATCACACTGCTTCCTCAGTTTCTTTTTTCTCTCTCTGAGTATGGTTCCCAAAGTTCACTTTTGAACCTCAGACTCCCTGTGTGAGTGACAAAGTGCCTCCCTTCACTACCATTTTGGTTTTACACGCTTGTAGGCCCTTCCTAATTCACCTGCATCTGACACCTTGACTCTTCTCTACCTGCTTAACCCTTATCAGATGGACCCTCCAACCCACATCCACAGCGTCCCTCCCCCACAGTCCATGTCCGCACCATCACAGATGGGGTATCAGAGATGTCTCAGCAACATCCTCAACAGATTATAAATGCAGTTTCCCTTTGAAAGACTTCAAGGCTCCAACAGCTCATATAAACAAGAACAGAGAATTGTACTGTAACAGATTATACCTGTTTCCCAACATGACAGTCCATATAAGAAGAGCTAATGTTTTCCAAGCTCTTGCTAAGTTTTAAGAACTGCTATATGGACATGACACCTGCAGAAAACTGAACTGCGAGGAATCTCAGCAGCCTTAGAATTCAGCAGTTCTTAATCCTGGCTACATGGTGGAATCCCTTGGAGCCCTCCACCTTGGCTAATCCACACACCACGAGGTTCTGATAAAATTAGTCATGGATCCAGTCCAGTCCCAACAGAGATATTTTATTACAAAGCTGTCAAATGTGTTAATTTTCCTACCTAGTGTCTAAACTAAGGCCATAGATCTTGTATTTGCTAAATTGCAATGTACAAGATAGTCATCTCAGTAAAAGGTCTATTATCTAACTTGCCAAACTTGTTTACTGAGAGCCCTAAGGAACTAAAACTGCCATAATGCCGTGCACAGCTTGAAAAGCAATTAGAGTAAGCAAGATTAGTTTTTCCTCCCTTCCAGTTCCTCAGCAGGCCTGGCTGAAGGCCCAGGAGGGAAGGAAATATAAGAACCAACAATAAAAATAGCAATAGCAATAAGAAGAATGCCATCCCATGGAGCACACCATAATTCTGGAACCACCTCTCCCGGATCAGGCTTCCATTGCTCACGATGCTCACGCTGGGCAGCCGCAACTCTACTTTGCAGAACCTCACCAACTTGCCCAGGTATTCTCCCCGGTCTTGAAGAAATGGCTCTCCACCTGAAAAGTTGATCTTCTCCATACCTGTGCAAGGTGATACATGAATTTTACCACTTCACAAATATACATTATTATTTTAATAGCAAAAGTAGTATTTTCTCAATGTAAAAAAAAGAAATAAAACTTTCTCATTAATTTCCCCTCCCCTAACCCTAGTTCCCAACACCAATCCCACCCAATGGGAATAGCATATGTTTAATTCGGGATCTAAACAGGGATGCAGGGAACTGGTTACACAGATGAATAGACTTGCTCAGACACCAAAGGGTACAATGAGGCAGCACCAGGATTTGCAAAGCATAAAGCCACATGCCTGCCATGTGGCGTGACTGTCCACGGGCCAGCTGCCAGCCTGAGAATGACACTCCTCCTGACTCTGCGTTTCCCATCCCCACTCCTTGTCCTGGATTCCGCATCGCCCACCCTCTTGGGCTACTCCCTTATTTTGGAGAATCCCTTTACAAGCTTCCTGAAAAAAACGTAAAGCAGGAATTAAAGTGATGACTTGTATGCCTCAAAATGCATTGGTGATCAATTGTTTGTCCAGGTATCACATTCTAGGTGAAGTCATTTTCACTCAGTTTTAAATGCTGTTGTTCAGAGGCCTGATAACACCCTCGTTTGTACTCCTTTGTAAGTGCATGGCTTTTTCTCTCTCCAGAACCTTTCTTCCTAATGTTTTGGAATTTCAAGACCGGGTGTCCTAGGAATCTCTCTCTATTCACTGTCTGGCCACCTGGAAGGCCTCAATCTCAAATCATAGCTCTTTATGTTATAAAGAAAAATCTTCTTTTACTATTTGCTTATTCACCCCTTGTCTCAATTTTTACTTTTTCATCTTTCTGGAACTTCTATTACTGGAACATTGGAGTTTCTAAATTTAACCACTATTTTCTTATCATCATCTTCCTTCCTACGTCTATCCTGATTTTTTGGTCTCATTTTGGTTAAGACTTTAACTTTTCGTCTTTCTATTAAGATTTTAATTTTAGAAACCCCATTTTTCATTCCCCAGATGCTTCCATATTCTGACTATTCCTTTCCAGGCATTCTATTCTTGTTTCATGTATGCAATTCTTTCTCTTATCTCTCTGCAATTACTAGTTATAGATTTTTTTGGACGTTTTCTTCTTCCTACATACTCTCTGTGTATTTGTTTTGGTGTCTGCCTCTTCTTTTGATGTTTTTATTTGTTCATTCAAATTTCAGTATGGCACAAAATAGCAGAATGGAATTTCTGTGATGAAGGGAGGGGCTGGTCCAAAAGAGGGTTTCACTACAGAGAGACAGAGAGGTAAACTGGTTTATTCATAGGAAAACCTCCAATTGCTAATATCCTTGGTCTTTACTCTGGGGTCATTTTGTTTTCTCAGAGAAGAAAACATGTCTCTTGCATGTGTTACATACCTGCCTGCCTGCATTTTAGGAGGATGGGGTCTATGCGTTACACACCCACCTGCCTGCATTTTAGGAGGATGGGGTCTATGCATTACACAACCACCTGCCTGCATTTTAGGAGGATGGGGTCTATGCATTACACACCTGCCTGCCTGCGTTCTAGGAGGATGGGCTTGTGCGTTATACACCCACCTGCCTGCATTCTAGAAGGATGGATCTATGCGTTACACACTTGCCTGCCTGCATTCTAGGAAGATGGACCTTTGCAACATACACCTGCCAGTCTGCATTCTAGAAGGATGGGCCTGTGCGTCATACACCTGCCTGCCTGCATTCTAGGAGAATGAACCCGTGCAAACCTCTTTCTTGTCTCTATTAATCTGTATCTGGCCTCACCATACATCACCCAAGGTAATATGGTTAAAGCTTTCAACCCTTAAATAACCCATGGGGAAGGAATTATTATCTGGTTTTTAGTGGAAGAATTGAAGCCAAGAAAGGTTAAACACTTGCTGAAGATCATAAGGCTAGAGAAAAGTAGAGCTAGGGTACATGCCTAGACTCCAAAGCCTAGAGTCTTTATAAGTAGAGAAGCCTCCAGGCTGGTGTGCCTGGAACAGTTTTGGTTTATGGTAGATGAAACAGTATCTGTGAGTGAGTTTTAGTGCCCCCTTTCACTCTCAGATGTCTCTATGATTGGACAGTGAGGCATTATATCACCTCCCTATTTATAATCCATCATGCTGGGAGGCAGTTTGAGTGACACTCATTATAACCCGAAAACAAAACAAAACATAATTACCTAAGAAGTGTGGTGATGTGATATAGTGGCAGATAAACTGGAGAAAGTAAGACAGGGTCCTGGCCAGTGGCACAAAACTGCTAACAATTTTGAGGAGTATATTTAGAAGGGATGGAAGAATAACAAAAGGGAAGGAATAGAATTTAGAGGCATAATTAATATCTTAGACAAGGAGTAATTTATTTACAATAGTGTTAACATACATGAGTGATCATATTACAGCCCAGATCTGATGCTCATTATTTTTAATTCTATTCAGTCTTTCTGAATAGAATTTCAAAACAGTTTAAAAGCCAGGAAAGTAAATAATATATTTTAGGAGCATCTTTAGCCAGAATAGTAAATTTTAATTTTAAATATAATATATAAAAATATATATTAAAATTTAAATTTCAATGTGAATTTAAACCTTTAATTACCACTGACAGATCAAGAACACCATCATCTCAGACAAACACCACCACTTTAAGTTCCAGCTCCCTTTCTAGCCTCATGCATTTCAAGGAAATCACTTATCTTCTAACCACAAGCAGCCAGAAAGAGCAGACAGTAAAACACAGACAAGACAGCTTGAGCACAGAGGGAGGTTGAGGGGAAGTCTTTTAGGTAACTGCCAAACTTCACTGTCATACAATGGGTCCCAGTAAAACAGTGGGCCTAAATAAGCACATTAGTTTCTCTTTAGTGTTCTAAGATAGGGAAGCTAAAAGCAGATTCAGGGTGGGTATGCCTGCAGCTGCAGGAAGATGTACGGGAACAGACACACAACTCTCCCTCCCAGATAAGCACAACAAAGAGAAACAGAAGCAGTCCAAGTCTCTAATAAACCCTCCCACGCCAAATCCTTAAAACTCTTAGTCTGTAAGAGAGTGGGCTCTGACTTAACTCAGCCAGAAGCCCCTCTCAGGTTTTTTTTCTCTAAAATAAACCTGTCCTTGACTGTGGAGCCACCTTTTGTGTTTCTTTCCTCTTTCTTTAATTCTTACAACCAAAAAAATAGTTTTCCTCCATTATCTAGAAATCTCTCTTACAGGAAAATACAACCTACACTATCATGTAAGCATTTCAATTAACTTTTGTTTTACTTACTTAAACTGAGAGGTTATTATATAAAAGTATTAATTATAACTATTAATAATAATTTATCTTTTATGACAAAAATACATGAACATTCACTTGTTTGTGCCTTGTACCAACTTTTGAGATTGGTTTATCAGTTATCATTATTATCTAAAGATAATTTTAAAGATCATGGAACTGATACTCAGAAAAGCTAAATGTCTTGACAAATCTAGTAAATGTTAGAGCAGAAACTCAAACCCTGGCTTTCTGAATGAAAGTCGTAATTTCCCTCGACATATCTCCTTATTCACTCACTCATGCATTCATTCATTTATCTAAAACATTTCTTAAGCCTCTATTACTTTCTAGACATCCTGTCAGGCATGAAGACACACAGGAGGGTAAAATTCAACCTTGGAATGCAATTTCTTTGAGGAACCAGACATTAAAAAAAAAAACTGAACAAAATAGTACATTTTAAAAAGCTGCAAGACATATTTGTACCAACTGCTATAAGCTCATAAGTGAAAAGTAAAGGGCATAATTATGGCTGCAGAGGATCAAGGAGAATTCAAAGGAACTTTGAAAGTTCACCAACAAGATTTGAGGACAGACATTCTAGGAAGAGACAACAATATGACCATCATTTTAACAATTTTGATGTTTGGAGAAAATGAGTGTGACAGGCTGTGTCTACAGCAGAGGGGACCCAAGCCATCAGGGTAGCAGAGGCTGAGAGCAACATTGAGCTTGCCAGGGGCCTTGACAACGATGCTCATAAGAAGGAGAGTTAGGAGTTAAATCACCAAAAGTACATTTTAAAAAAAGATCAGGAGTTTTCAATGGGGCAAGCAGAGACAGTGAGTTGAATTACAGTAATCCTGGTGAGAAATGATAGGAATTTGAGTTAAGCCACACTGGGAATGGGAAGTCAGGTTCTCATTTGAGCAATCAGCTTTGGGTAACTAAGCCAATGTAACGTGGAGCAAAGAAGTCAGATCCAATATAGGACCCACTGTATGATTTCATTTATATAAAGTACAGGATCAGGCAAAATGAATCTGTGTGTTAGAAGTCCAGCAAGTGCTTACCAGGGTAGTGGCTGGAGTGCAGCATGCACTTCTGGCGCTGGTGATGCTTTCTCTCTGAATCTGCAGGCTATTTACCTGGCTGTGATTGCTTTGTGAAATTCATCAGGGTGCACATCCAGAATATGTGTAATCTGGTGCATGTATGCTATGCTTTTGTTAAAAAGTTAAACAAGGAGGGAAAGAAGCTAGAGATGTTGCTGAAGTTACTAGTTGAGAAGGTACTCTAGGAAAGACAGGAAGACAAGGACGGAAGGCAGAACAGATCTGGAGTGGAAGATATTGCATTCGAAGGTCACGTGCTGAGTTCTCTCCAAGACGCTGCCAGTTACTAATGTGGTGATGCTCAGTAAGCATTCTTGAAGGCTAAGTCCTTGACATATTTGTTAAAAAAATTTTAAGGTTTCCTATTAAAAGAATATACACAAACTCAAATATAAGATTCAACTACTGCTATTTTTATGTCAAAGTTTTTGTTTTTGTTTCCAACTTTTCTAATTATTAATAACTGTTTCTGGAAAACCCAAATTCGTTAGTGTTGTGGGCAAACTCAGAAAGTAGTACAAACTTCCCAAACCGCCTCTTTCCAAACACCAAGTGTAATAGGGACCTGCCCTTTGCATAGACCCCTTCTTGCTTCCAAATGGCAGGAGGGACAGGTTTGCTCCACAAATCCCCTGTTCCAGCCCAATTCTGTGATTTAGGAAGGACTAGGTGCCCACTCCAAAATTCACTGAATTATTTTCTCATAGGACAACATGCTCACCATGCAAGGGTAAATGGTGACCTCAAGCTTTGGAGAAGCTCTCCAGCTTGTGCATACCCCCAGCCCCTTCTCGCCTTACCCCACTGCCCAGTGGTTGAGAATCCTGATTTCTGTCTAGGACCATGTACTCACCAGCTTCCTTAAGCAAAAGCAATCCTCTCTTTGCTTCCTCAAGGGGCAGCACAAAGGATGTTTTGGCTGTGTGGAAACAGAAGCCGCATTTGTAGTTGCACTGGCGAGTGAAGTGATAGTTGACGCTGGTTGGGGTGGTGGGCAGAGGAGGGTCCTCTTCCTCCTCTTTGGTCTCATCTGGCCCTCTCAGGACCAGCTGCTGCTTTCTCCTCTTGGTAGCTAGCAGCCAGAAGGTTGCCCTCAGCCAGCAGAACAGCGGGACCAGGCTCCTCCACAGAGAGCTCAGAGGTTGCCTGAACACACTCAAGAGCTTCCCAGCAAAAGCAGCAGGTGTAAGCACCCACATTGTGGCAGATGCCTGGAGCAGAGCAGTCTCTGTATGCCAGGGACTCTCTTTATATAGGGATGGAAATCAGCAGTCTCTGAGCAACCTGTCATTGGGGAGCAGGACACACCTTCTTTGACTAACACTCAGCTGAGTTAGAGTTTCGATTTTTCCACATGTGAAACTGAAAGTTGAAACAGGGCCAAGACTGAAGACTAGAGATCGGGGCGAGCATTCCTGGTTTCTCTGCTCACGGCTGCCTCAGTCCACTTGTATTATAACAGTCTCTCTAGCTTGATGTAGTTACACATGAGGATAGCAGTCTCTATCAATATCTAGCTCTCTGTCTGATAGAGATAGACAAGGTGCATTAATCAGCACGCTTTGTACTTGTTGCATTGCTTTCTCTTGACATAGCCAAGTAACAGTTTTTGCTCCATCATGGTGAAGGGGTTTCTTTTTAAAGCCAAATAATAAACAGACTGATTGGCTGGTGGAGGATGAGTACAGGATCATTCACCTCAAGACCCCTTTCAGATCACAGTAAAAAGGCATGGAACAAAATTGAATTTAGGTCTTATTCCATCAGCTATTCAGCCTAATTTATGCAAGGTGACAGTGTTAAAATTTAGATATTTACATCTTCCTATATTTTGATATCACTTTTTATAGATGTTTTTAACTAGAGGAAATCCAATGCTTTTCTAAGATGCTTCCTAATTGGTGAGAATTACTGCGACACATCATTTATTTACCTTTACAGTTTTTTTAGAAAGCCTTGTTGACCTTTTTACTGAAATCTTCCTTTTAGCCCTCTTTCATCAGAACTGTGTGTAAGTGTGTGGTCTTGTGCTTTCGTGACACCTGTAGGAAGTTGGAAGAGTCCTAGTAGCTGAACTTCCAGAGCCACAAATCATGTAGCTGGGTGACTGAGTAAGCGACTTTATTTCTCTGGATTTCCATTTCTTCATCAGCAAAGCAACGTATCTCAGGCGATTTTTGTGCAGAGTAAAACTGCTAATTTTTGTGAAGAATTCAGAATAGTGCCTGGCAAACTTTAAGTGTTCAGTTAGGGTTAGCTCCTGTTATTCTGATACTGTCATATTCTGAATAGAAACAGAAATGATTTATTTTACTTAAAAAAAATTAAACATGTTTAACTTAACATTTAACATCTGCAAAATTGTATGCTTAATGATTACCAAATATTCAACAGTAGATATGTCTCAGGTCCTTGAAATCTCAGCCCAAAGTTTCTTAAACTCTCATGCCATGGTCTTGCACAATTGAAAACCACTTTTGGATAGATCTCACTTCTTCATAAACATGTGATCATGAGAGGCATACAGGCACCTGTTAAATTTGAATCAAATTCTTTTGGGTTAACTTGGTTCCCCTTTCTGGCTGGAGCAACCTTTGAAGTCTCAAAGGTTAGGTCAGCACGATCCTAGTGGGGGTCTCTTGCAGGCATCTGTTAAAATAGGCTAGGAAAATCTTAAAGAGGCTCCAAATGCTTAGCCCAAACATAAGGAGGATCAAGACTTGTAGGGTGGCATGCAGAAGGAACCCTACTGCAGGGGAAGCCGGCTGGAAATATCTGGAGATCAGAAACTTAACCTAGAAGGTCCAGCCAGGAGGCTTTTTGAAGCTGTTTTTCAGAGATTTGGCTAGCCTTAAGATCTTAGATGTTTCAAATTCAACCTGCCTGGAAGTATTTACCCTGTGGAAAGTGGCAGCAACAGCACAAACATCACTCTGTGCAGGGAGGAGATAGTCTAAAGCAATGTGTTTGTCTAGGACCACACGAGCAAGGGAGTCTATGGACCTCTGTTGCACCCTGATGGCCTGGGTGGTAGAGCAGGCAATCCTGCGAACAGTTCAGGAAGGGTTTCTGATCATTTATGAATTCCAAGCAGAATCTAGTTTAAATTGGGACCGGAAAAACCTTCCTAATCTAGCTCCTTCTAGGGTTAACCCTTCTAGATGAATTATATCCTTGAGAGTATCCACAACTATTATCTTCATAATCTGAGGGATTATCATGAGTGTTGGATTATAGCTGTTAGAGAACAGGGCAGGTAGTGTTGGGGATAACTGAATAGATGGGAATTTGGGTAAAAGGTATTTCCATGGCCAAATCTCCTGGTGAGGATAACTCAAGCATTATTTCTCCTTTCTGGGAGAATAAAATATGGGCCTGGAATGTTTCTAAGAAGTCCCTGCCTAGGAAGTGTATGGAAGCCCAAAGGAAAAACAACTGCCCGTGAGGGGTACTAGTTGGAAAAGAATAGGTGAAGATTAGGAACCATCATAGGTTGGTTGGCTACCCCAACCATCTGGATGAATTCAGAACTCCAGGGAGGGTCCATGGAAAGCATGCTGGGGTTAAGGATGGACAGAGTAGCCCCAGTGTTGACCAGAGCTCTGATGAGTTTTCTCCAATCTTAATACCTAATTCCCCTAGTTGAATAATTCGAGTAGGGGAAATGTCCCAAGAGGCTCTATAGTTTTGCTTGAGGGAAGAGGGCTGGTAAACTTTATCAGGATTTAACTGTATCCAGATATTGTAGGAAATTAGGAGAACTCAGGATCCAGTCCAGTCTACAGGTAGAAAACCAGAACTTGAAAACAGTGCATAGGGCTTTAACCTAAAGTAGGTGCACGTTAGTTTTTCTTAAGAACATGACTTTTTCTCTCCACATTAATCATACAGGAACTTTCAGGTTTTAGAACCTCTAGAGGCTAGGAAGCCAAATCAAGGCAGGCTTTAGATTTTACTTAGGGTCTTAAGGTTCTTGGGCCTACCAGGAAGTGACAAGTTTTATGTATTCACTGTAAGGCTGGGAACTCTTGAAGCCAGGCATGTGATGACCCTTCTTAAATATGACTTTTCAATCAAAGCCTAGTAATATAATCAGTATTTCCAATAGTATCCTGCTTACAAAGGGAGAGCAGATTTTTACTGAACTTACAGAAATAAAATAAGAATGCTCACAAATAGTGTCTGAATTTTGGAGGACTCAAGTAGGGAGAAAGGCAAATGCTTCCACTTTTGTTCATAAAAGTATACTTCCCCAAATTATTGCAAACTATAACTAATGAAAGAAAAATTCCTTGAATCTGAAAAAAAATTTAAGTGTAGAACCAACATTTTAAATAAAAGTCATAAAGTTATCCTTATCAACTACTTACTTTCGGTTAATTAATTTTGCTTTCCTTAATTAGTAATTTTGGGCTATAGCTGATTGCAAATGCTTCTAGAGAAGAATTTAAAACAATAATCGTGGATGAGAAAAATCCAGAACAGCTATGATCAAAACTCTGATGAGAGTTTACAAGGAAATTGTAAGAAATAATGTAGAAATAATTGCAAGAAAATTTAAAAGAAAATTTAGGTATTTTTGTGGCATACAATCATTAAACTAAATAATCATACTCAAGACTGATAACACATATTATGATATATTAGTCAATTCTTGCATTGCTGTAAAGAAATACCCAAGATTGGGTCATTTATAAGGAAAATAGGTTGAATTGGCTCATTCTTATGCAGGCTGTACAGGAAGCATCATGCTGGCATCTGCTTGGCTTCTGGGGAGGCCTCAGGAAACTTAAAATCATGACAGAAGGAAAAGGGGGAGAAGATGTCTCGCATGTCCAGAGCAGGAGCAAGAGAGAAAGATGCTGGGGCAGGAGGAGGCGCTACACACTTTTAAACGATCAGATCTCACAAGAACTCACTATCCTGGGGACAGTACCAAGTTGACAGTACTAAGCCATTCATGAGGACCTGCTCCCGTGATCCAATCACTTCCCACCAGGTTGCACCTCCAACATTGAGGTTTACAATTTCAACATGAGATTTGGTTGGGGACACAAATCTAAACCATATCATATAACATCTTGGAATTTTAAGATCTCATGCAATTTGGAACACATATTAGTAACATATTTATATAAATATAACTTAAAGGGAGTTAAGCATCATTTCTTATTTGATATGCTTCCCATATGATTTGCCAAATAAGCCTAATCATTTAGTATCTCTTCAAGATCAAAAAGGCTTAATTTAGGGTTTTGATATTGAGGAAACCTGCCAAAGATGTCAAAAGGTTCAAAATACTTGATTAAGCAGAATCATATGTCACTCCTAAATAAGCAAAGTGATAATCAGAAGACTTCGAAAAGAATACAGATTTACATGGATGTGAAAACCCTGAACTTTTTAAAGTTCAGTTTCCCCAAGTAATCAAAAGCCTAATAAAAACAACATGAAGCAAAGGAATGATCTCAGCAAAACACAGACTCTTAGTTTACTAGGCCAGTTACCTAATAGGTAAAGGGGAAACAAACCTCCTTTAGTATGATTGCCTCTCCTTATGGAAAGCCCATTTGCATAACCTGAAAGTTAAACCTGGTGTGAAGGGTATTTGAATTTAATCAGGCACAGAAAGAATGTATCCAGAATTCTAAGCATATGCTATTATAGAGAAATGTAAACAAGAAAACTAGTACGTTGAACATGGAAATCCTTGGTTCTTAGGAATAGCATAGGAAGCTTCCTGGTTACATGGAACAATTCAGACACATCAAGAAAAGCCAAGAGTGTAAAATCAAGTTACAATGAAGGAAAACTTTGGTTTTCTAGATCTTCAAAATAAACATCTTAGCATCAGGCCATGACAGCAGTGTCAGAACAAGAGAAAAAGTTACAGGAGATGACAAAAAGGTTGAAGGAGATGGTTATCATTGTGGCCACGCAAAAAGAATTTACCTTTTCAAGGACCAAGAGAAAGAGAGCTGCATTTACAACCTGAAAACAGGAAAATTATATAGATCTCAGGAGGAAATATGCCAGAAACAGAAACTGTTTGTAGTTTAGAGGATTACTATTAAGGGAACAGATTTGCAAATTAAAAATTAAAACCTCTTGCAATTTTACTAAGAGCAAATCAGTATTTTAAGAAAATCTTGTTTTAATACTGGAGATCAAATTTTAAAGTTCTGTATCAGTGTATTTTTAACATCAAAGTTTAATCCTGAGAAAGACTCATATACGATTTCTTTTCAATTGTAGCCAACCTGAGTGCACAGAAAATTGCTTTTATCAACTTTCTTTTCATGCAGCTTATGATTTACTTAGACCTTTGATGACATGCTTAGACTTTCTTCTCTGTTCCATACTTCCTCTTTCTTAAATAACCAGTCATTTTACTGTAAGACAAAAATGTGTCACACAAGGTTCTTTCTCATTTCTCTTTTCTTTTCAACCTTCCTTATCAAAAAACACATTCTACCCTCCTCATACACTTGCAAACAGAATGCCCTCTGCCCTAAATAGCTTAATCACACACTTTAATCACCATACTATTTCTTAGCAACTCTAATTTTCAGTGAAAATCTGCCATACCGACAATCCAAGAATACACGTTTTACAATTTCAACAGACACAAGCTTTCTAACAGAACATCTTTTTAATATGAAAAAGTTCATTTTTACTAACAGATCCAAAGAACTCTTGTTCTTCTGAATTAAGAAGCCAAAAGTATGTAAGCCTAAACTCATATTTAGCAATAGTGTCTTAGTATTATCTTATTTCTAAATGATCTAGACATGCAATGAATATTAACCATTTAATTTAGCTCAGAAAAATTCTATAGCTATAGTTACTAAAAAGATTTGGAGAAGCCCTCCTAAGTAAACATATTACAAAACATAACCATTACCGAAAGTTAATTTAAAAATTTTTATCCCATCTGCATCCACCCCATCTATTCATTTTTAATAATTATGCCTGGAAAATTTCATGATACTTCAGGCAAATCTAGCATAATCTCAAGCTGTTTTCTATCAACCAACTTTATATTACTGAATGGCAGGCAAGTATAATAAAATTAAAAACCTTAATGTTAAATATATGCATATTTTTCTGATAACTCAAAGACATAGCCATTCTCATCAAACAAACAATATTAGACTAGTCTTATCCACCTAAAAATTACTAAGTGATATGAACTTGAAAAGCATTTTGACTTATTTGCTTAATTTATGAGTACTCATTTTTAGAAGCCAATCTGGTAGACAATATACTAACAGACATGTATATGCACACACACAAAAAAATACAGGTAGGCACAAGTAATGATCTTTTAGCTTTTATTTTAAAACTTGAGCCATGAGTCGGGTAAAACCCCCTTGTTTAGAAGACAGTTAGATTCAACCAGCGTTTCTGTAAATAAAGTAAGTTGAAATGTATCTGTCCCACATAGCAAAATCCCTTACCAAATTTTAGAGAAAAGAGGGTGGCAAATTTACATCTCAAATACAGAAAGAATTTAAGCTTTCTCAACAAGGAGTCTGCGTGTGCTAGAGGAGGATTAAAATTAATGCCAAAGTAACATAAATCACAGGAATTCATCACAGGACAAGAAAACACACAGATGAGTCTAGAGAAATAGTTTAGAACCTTTTCTTAAAATAACTAGGTGAAAACCTGAAAGAGGAAGGAGGGAATGAAGGATAAAGCTGGTGAAGAAAGGTGCAGAAGACAGGTAGAGCAACAGGCAAGGCAGCTAGTGGAAGAATGGTTTCAATGTTGTTTCTACAGCTTTGGTGTTGGTCCTGCAAGCGCTAATCTTTCTATTTCACTAATGTGCTCACTCACTTTGTAGTTATTTTCCCGAAGAGAGATGATGACTGCCTTGATTCCATTGAGGACTTTCAAAGTACCAACTGAAAAAGGCTTCCCATTGTCTCTGGGAGGTTTGGTATTTTCTTTTTTCCAGTTGTGTGTGTAGACTGGCAAGTTTTGGAATTTTAAAGGAGTCCCACTTTGGCCAGTAAAGTTTCAGATTATTTTGGGTAATTTTTGTCCAGAGACTTAGCCAATTACAACACCTCAAACCATAATTTTGGCTCGTAAATCCAGCTGGAGTGCCAGAAGGCAGCTGACCAGATAGGAAGAACTGAAAGCATGGCCTACTCATTGCAGTGACCTGACAAACTTGCTCCTTTCAGTGCCCTTACTGTGAGCATCCCCACAAAACCTTATAGACTGGCATAGACTGACTGAGAAGCCCTTGCTAAACCCTGGGCCAACAGGGAAAGTCCTCTCCAGCGTCTGGATGGAGAGAACTGGCTGGAAAGGCTTCCTCCTAAACTTGGGGTCAAGAGGAAATTTCCCCTTTGCAGTCTAGATGGGGGGACTGGCTGAGAATGCTCCCTTACCCAAGCCCATGGCTAAAAGAAGTTTCTCTTTGAGGTTCCAATAGATGAGACCTATGGGGGAAAAAATAGTCTCTGAGACCTCATCCAAAGCATGGAAGGTATGAATTCGGGAAGACTTACCAGAGGACCTCTCGACCCTCATTACCCCCACCTCATGGTCCCAAAGTTGTAATCCTGTTTGTGTGTCTGTGTATTTACATGCATGAAATGAAATATCAAAATACTCTAAAATAACAGTGAGTACTGTTCCTTGAAATTATTTAAGACAACTGAGCTCAAGGACTTCTTGGAGGCACAAATGAGTTTGTTAAGGACTGTGCTGGGAGAAAAATCAGGATTCTTTTCTTATTCCGCTTCTGACACTATAAATGTGAACAAAAGTTCTCCGAAAAGGAATCTGGAAGAAAGAGATTTTATTCCAGTGAATAATTTGCACCAGCCTTCAGTGTGAAACAAAGGTATTTTCCAGAGAACAAAAGGAAGTCTAGGGTTTTACAGCAAAAATCCCACCTAGGGTCCCAATCAGGTATATTTATGCAAATGAAGGATTGAAACTCACTTAGTTCTGATTGGGTGACATGGCTGCATCCTGATTGTTTTATACAACTGAGCTCTGATGAATCAATCCCATTGTGTTTTGATTGGTTGACCCAGGAGAGCTCTTCAAGCCCCAAAGTTAGAAAGGGTGGGCTTTCCAGGAAGTCACAGTACTCGTGTGACCTCTAGTCAGCAAATGGCTACTGGGTTTTATTTTAAATTCAGACCTAGTTGGCCACTTGAGCTCCGTCTTGAAGGACTATTTCTGTTCCACATTTGTTCACATCACAGATTTGTAGGCGTGCTGTTCCTATCATTGTAGTTGTAATTTCCAGTTCCCTTATGACCAATGATATTAAGTATCTTTTCCTCTGTTAGCCATTTGAATATTTTTTGTGTGTGATATGCATGTTCCAATCCTTTGCCTATTAGGTTTCCTGCATTTTATCATTAATTTGTAGAAATTCATTGTATATTGTACACTTTGTTAGTGATTGTACACAAATGTTGGTTGCAGACATCTTCTTTAACCTCTTTGGCTTTCCCTTTCACTCCTTCATGGGCCCAAAATTGTATTTGGGTTTACGTGTCTGTGTATTTACATGCATAAAATGGAATATCAACATGCTCTGAAATAAGAGTGGGCTCTAATCTTGGAAATTTTTTTTTTCTTTTCATGAGTGTGTATGTGTGTGTGTGCATGTGTGGATGTCTCAAGACCACCTTTATGCTTGATAATTCACAAACAGGACTCATAAGACTCAGGAGCATGTTAGACTCCCAACTGGGCTTTATTCCTCTAAAAGGCTGTAGAGCAAGAACAATAGGAAAAAGGTGTAAGTCAAGCAGTCTGGAGAGGGTAGCCATAAGCTTTTGAGTCCTTCACCACCTGAGTTGCACAGGGTGTGCTCCCTCCAGCAGTGAACTACCAGGACGTGTTTGAAACCACTGGCCAGGAAAAGCCTGTTTGAGTCTCAGGGTCTGCCATTATATGAAGGGCTAGATATGCAGGCACATCCTGCCATGTGCCCAGCTATAGTAACCAAATCTCAGGACCCCGACAATGAATGAGGTGCACATCGTTAATCTTGACGTTTGTGCAAAATGATCGCAAGCTGGCATGTCATGGAGTATTGCTCCAGGTGTACATAACAGAATCACCAACCATGAATATAAAGAGCCTCTGGAGGGTCATCTTTCCAAAGTTTGGCCCAACAGCAATCATGGTTTGAGGCTCCTGTGGAGATATGCAAGGGGTGAGCAGCTGGACCTGTTATGGCAACTCTTCCCTCAAAGGTAGCTGTATCAACAGCATTTCTTTGTGAGAAAACCAACTCCAAGAGAGAGGAGAATACTCTTCAAATTGTAAGCCCACAAATTGCTAGAATGAATTTTTATTTAAAAAAGAAACAGAAGGTTATGCGGGAGAGAGCTTATCTGTTCCTTGATAACTAAGTGATCTCTGAAACTTGCTCAGTGCTTTTTAGCCCTTTCATTAACTTCTAGCCTAGGATTTGGGTTACAGAGTTATAGACTCAACATTCTATCCTGGGCTCATTTTATTAATTCTTATTTTCTGAGCTCATCATTTATTTTATAATATTCACTTTTATGAATGTGGAATTGTTTGTAATATTCTCTTTTGGGTATCCTTTTGAACTTGTGGTTCTATCATCTCATTTATTCCTATTCTGATTTGCATTTTCTTTCTTTTTCCAATTGAATTAAACTACCTAGAAACATATCTGTTTAAACATGTTTTCAAAAACTAAGCTCTTTTTCAAAGTGTTATTTTTTCATTTTATTATTTATTAATTGCTATTTATATTTTTAATTCTCCCATTCTGTTTCTTTTTTTCTTAGGAGCAGAATGGCTAGAAAAGTTTCATTTTCTCTTGTTTAATACTGTAAGTGTTGAAGATTATGGCTTTTCCTATGATATAGCTGTGCTGTTCATTCATTTAAAGACACCTCTTTGAAGTATCTTCCCAGCCTGCAGCTTCTCTCCTTTCCACCTGCAACGATGGGTGGCTACAGGCATGTTTAGTCAATATAAACATCCAGCTGTGGCTCTCAGAGTCTCTGTCCTACAAATTTGAAGGGGCTTGAAAATCTAACAGAAATTTTTATTTATGAATGAAGATATATCTTCAACATCTTCAACACTTATATAATATTGACTAAGCCCAAATACTGCAGTGTTATTAACTTTACATCTCTTCGTAGGGCGAAGGTAGGTGAAAAATAGAGAGGAAAACTTAAATTAAAAAAGGTAAGATGCTTCATTTAGCAAACTGTGTGTCAGGTTTTCTTTCAGTTGGAGGCTCAGAGAAAAGTTAGGAAGAAGCTGGTCTTCCTACTTACCCTCAAGGTGCTCAGTGGTGGGAAATAGACTGGCACGTGACTGTGGAGTGTCAAGGTCCGAGGATACAAATAGCCTTGGTGGGGGACACAGGAGAGGCTACTAACCCAGATATGTGGGGGGTTATAGGCTATATCATGTCCCCCAAAATTCATGCTCAGGCCTAGCCCCCAGTGCCTCACAGTATGACTGTATTTCAAAATAAGGCTTTCAATAGGTGATTACATTAAAATGAGAACATTATGATGGGCCCTAACCCAATCTGACTGGTGTCCTTCCCAGAAGAGGAAATTTGGAACTTCAAGGAGACGCCAAGGATGCAAGCACAAAGGAAAGGTCCCGTGAGAACACAGAGAGAAGGAGGCGGTCTGCACGCTAGAAAGAGAGGCCTCAGAAAAAGCAAACCCTGCTGGCAACTTGATCTCCAGCTTCTCTGGCCACCTGAACTTTGAGAAAACAAATTTTCTATTGTTTAGGCGGCCCAGTCCGTGGTATTTTGTTATGGCAGCCAGGATAGACTAATACATCCAGAGAGGTGGATGGCATAGGGAAAAGGTCAAGCAGGCTTGAGGATGCAGTACTGTCTTAGAGAAGAAAAGGGAGTAACTAGAAGACTCTTACTTCCATATACTACATACACGTGAAACCACCGGTACATGCTAAATGTCCAAAAGTGAAATTCCTGAGAAAGAATAAAAACTATTCTATTCTCAAAGAGCTAAAAAATTTTAAACTCCTAATTCTTCTTTCTTCTTAGCCTATTAACCCACACTCCAACCACCTATCTATATTTCACGTTTGTTAAGACTTTTTTTTTCAGAATTAAATATAATCCCAAGTTTAAGTCCAATACTATTAAGACATAAAAAAAAAACTGCTTTCAGCTCATCTAATGTTTTCAATCTTCGTCTCAATTCTATTTTTTTGAGAGAGTTTCCCTGGAGAATATTATCTTTTTGTTTGTTTTTGGTTTGCTTGACATCATTTTTAAAAGGCATCAGTTAATGAGTAAACACAGAATAAAATATCCAAATAACTGCGCAAACACTGTTACACTGTTAGGCAGTTACACTGTTAGGCAGCAACAGTGCTGATGCTGGACTGTGGCAGGCAGAGGGTGCTATCCTGACACACTTCACCTTAGTGCAGGAAACTTCAATTTGGTGGAAGAAAGGCGATTTCGAGGTGCCAATCTGGGCGACACTTCCCAGTTGGAGAGTCAGCAAAAGGGAGAGGGCAATTCCAAGAAGAGGGAAAAGCTTGTGCACAGGTGAGTGTGTGCAAAGGTGAGTGTGTGCACAGGTGAGTGAGTGCACAGGTGAGATAAGATACAGGAGAGGGAAGAGCCAGAACTGCGCCCTGTTCCCGCAGGAAAGCAGCTCTGCAGGATTAGAGGGGCGGGGACGCGTGGTCAGAGCTAGGAGTTGAGGTCGGGGAGGGAGCCCATGGTCTGCAGGGCCTGGTCAGTCATCCAAGGGCAGTAGTGCGCCTGCAAGTGGGCGTTGAAGAGCCCGTTACACCGGGAAGGGACTTCTCTGTCCCTCGCGCGTGCACCCCCGCCCCCCTCCATGCACCCGGCATAAGCCGCAGAGGAGGAACTCAAACCAGGGTCGGGGCCGCCAGCCACCCGCAGAACGCACACGGAGCTACCTTGGGGCCGACGGCGCGGGGCCTCATTCGGTGTCAGCCCCGGGAGCCGGCGCCTGGGGACCGCGCAGGCCCGCGGAGCCGCGCACCTGGGGCCCCGGGGCCAAGCGTCTGCTCCCGAGCGCCGGCCGTTTATCGCGCACATCTCGCGGCGAGGAGGAGAGGCCGGAAGGGCGCCCCAGCCCCAGGGCTCCTGCCCCGCCTGGGCCTCCGGCTTTCGTTTCCCCGCAACGCTTCGCTTTCGTTTCCCGCTGGCGCCTGGCTCCCTCCGGGTTTCGTTTCCCGCCGGCGCCTGGCTCCCGCCAGGTTTCGTTTCCGAGGCGGGGCCGAGGGCGGCGTCGCTGAGGCGCCCATGGCCTTCGCCCGCCGGCTCCTGCGCGGGCCACTGTCGGGGCCGCTGCTCGGGCGGCGCGGGGTCTGCGCTGGGGCCATGGCTCCGCCGCGCCGCTTCGTCCTGGAGCTTCCCGACTGCACCCTGGCTCACTTCGCCCTAGGCGCCGACGCCCCCGGCGACGCAGACGCCCCCGACCCCCGCCTGGCGGCGCTGCTGGGGCCCCCGGAGCGCAGCTACTCGCTGTGCGTGCCCGTGACCCCGGACGCCGGCTGCGGGGCCCGGGTCCGGGCGGCGCGGCTGCACCAGCGCCTGCTGCACCAGCTGCGCCGCGGCCCCTTCCAGCGGTGCCAGCTGCTCAGGCTGCTCTGCTACTGCCCGGGCGGCCAGGCCGGCGGCGCACAGCAAGGCTTCCTGCTGCGCGACCCCCTGGATGACCCTGACACCCGGCAAGCGCTGCTCGAGCTGCTGGGCGCCTGTCAGGAGGCACCACGCCCGCACTTGGGCGAGTTCGAGGCCGACCCGCGCGGCCAGCTGTGGCAGCGCCTCTGGGAGGTGCAAGACGGCAGGCGGCTGCAGGTGGGCTGCGCACAGGTCGTGCCCGTCCCGGAGCCCCCGCTGCACCCGGTGGTGCCAGACTTGCCCAGTTCCGTGGTCTTCCCGGACCGGGAAGCCGCCCGGGCCGTTTTGGAGGAGGTAAGAGTTCTGTCCGCTTCCAGCTCCCAGCGTGGCATCTGAACCCTTCAGACCAGAGAACTGGACCAAGAGGCTGGTCTGTAGAGCCGGTTCTTGCCTGGGTGGTTTGTTTATTTCCGTTCACAAATCAGGTAGGGAAGGTGTCCTGTATGCCAGGCAACTCTTTTAAGATTCTTGTTTGCAAGGATCTTCCAACCTGACGTGGAACATAGACCTACACCAAGCCACGCGATGCTTGCTGTAAAAGCATCCCAACAGCAGTACAGAGGGAGTAAAGGGGCTGCCGGGAGTGAGGGAAAATAATGTCAGCTGGGAAGTAATTTTATTTGCTGATGATCACCATTCAAGGATCTTGGGGTGAAAAAGAAAATGCATGAGTTTAGGGGGTTTAAGAAATTTAGACTTAAATAGTGTTTACCTACCGACTGGCCATGAACCTTGTGCAGGTTACTCAACTACTCTAAGTTTTGCCCTTTGACATGTACAATTCCCATCTTGCGATGTTGTCCTGATTAAGGAAACATCTGACTCACAGCAGGTACCCACAGAAAGAGACTGAAAATTCTTTCTGATCGCAGGCTAGGCAGATGTCCTCCTGTGACACAGATGAGCCCTGAGGATGCCCCCATGGATCTTGGGAATATTTTCCAAGCTTACGGGACAGCGTTGTGGAGCAGTTAAGAGCGCAAGGTCAACCACGTGTATTTAAATTTAAACTCTGGCATTTATTAGCTGTGTCACTTTGAGCAAGTTTCTTCAACTCTCTGCCTCAGTTTCCTTAATTCATATGGTGGGAATAATAATAGCACCCCCCCACCCCAGTTCACAGAGATTGGCAACTGAATACTTGTAAAGCACTTAGAAGATTGCCATGCTCAGAGCAAGCACATAAGTGTCTGAGCCTCGCTCTGAGATGCTGTGAGCGTGCAGTGAGATAATGCACATTGAGGAACTGGGAATTCCCAGGGGGACGCTGCTCTGCCAGCTTCATGATTGCAGTGCTTGGCTGTTTATCTCAGCCCCCTGAATGGCTAGGAGAGGACATGCTGCAGATGAAGACTGCTCTCTCCAGCCCACTGTGCAGCTGATTTCCCATTCTTGTGAGACAGTGTTCCCAGCGGGCCTGTAGTTCCATGGTTGCGGTGTCACAGGACATTGTGATGATGTGCCTTGCCTGGCCTTTCTCAAAGCTGCTCAGTGAAGGCTGCAGGCCACCAAGCGATCCAGACAGGGACAGCTGTTTCGAGCCTCGGCTGCTCAATATAAAATAAAACACTCCAGTCCATCCTAGCATCGAAATACTCTGAATTCCCATGGCCTGGCACAGTGCTCAGTATAACTTAGGCCTTATTAGCATGCGGCAATATTGTGCTCAGCAATTTAGGTGTGATTTCTGCAAAAGCCCCCTGGCTTCATTGCTGATGGATAGACGTTGTTTTACAGTGTACCTCCTTTATTCCTGAAGCCCGGGCAGTGCTTGACCTGGTCGACCAGTGCCCAAAACAGATCCAGAAAGGAAAGTTCCAGGTTGTTGCCATCGAAGGACTGGATGCCACGGGTAAGATAATATTACCTTTTAGTTATAGGCAATGACACTAACTGATTAGTTGCAGAAACAGAAATACTTCCTGCAAAACCAAACTTTATATGGAGCCTTATGTGTGCCCCTACTGTGTGGCAGGCCCTGTGCTAGGCAGGCCCTGGGATGCAGAGATGAATAAGACCTTCAATATGAAGCAGCATGATGTGTGGGCGCGGATCCTCAGTGCTCTGGCGGAACACAGGAAGGGCACTGAATCTGGCCTCTGTGGGGCTTTGTCGGGTGGAGTGCATGGTCAAGGGTGATACCTGGATTGTATTTTAAGTACAGATAGGAGTTGGTCAGGTGATGAAAGCAGGTAACATCCTCCAGACAGAAGAAATAGCCTGGGCAAAGGTGCAGGGGCTTGAACCAGGGTGGTGTGTCCAGGAACCACAGGCAATTCAGAGATTCTTCTGGAGCAAAATGTGGAAGAACTAGGAAATGGAAGAAAAAAAAGCCTTCTGAGCTGTCAAACTGAGGTCAAAATATAATGTGTGCTCACATGAGACCAAAGTACAAAAGGGGCAGACATGCTGCTCCTGTGGCCCAGGACACACTGAGGAGAGGGTTGATGTTGGAGAACTAGCATCCGAGTGGTTCAGCGTAGGAGTTTCTCCTCCTGTGTAAACTTGAGGGGTACAGACTTTTAATAATATAAAAGGCAATTTCCATATAGAGGTACTTGTGAACCCAGCTAGGGAGATGTGGCACAGGTGATGGCCCATGTTGACCATCCTGGCTCCATGTGAAGGAGCGGGCCATGTCCTGGCCTTCAGGGAGACCAGCTGTCATCACTCAAATGTACTGGCCGTGTCCAGGACCCATCACAGTTTCTTTCAGCTGCAGAGGGAATTGTAACACCATCAATCCTTCAGCTGATGTGTTTTGTTGATCATTTATTTTGTACCCACAGCTAATTTAGATTTGGTGGGATTACAGGAGACATAAAAATTCAGCCTCAACACAAGCATCCACACATACAAATGTTACAAGGAGTTAGCATAGAGTGGCAGAAAGAACACAGGCTAGTGGTTCCGTCTGCCCTGCATTTGCATCCTGCACCAAGGCCTATCAGGAGGGTGAGTTTGGGTAAATTTATTAACTTCTCCAGTGCTCAATTTCTTCTTCTGTCAGATGATTAAATAATAACTGTTTTGCAGGGTCACTGGGAGAATTAGGAGTATAACGTGCTGAGTACTTGGCTCCTAGCAGACACTGAGAAATGGTAGCTACTGTTAGGGTCCGTCCTGACAACCTAAGAAAAAAAGAAAATAGATAGTTGGCAATAAAGTGTTAAGTGTGTGATAGAGAAACTTAAAAATAAATCGAAACAGTAGGAGCTCAGAGAAACTAGTGCACAGTGTGCTGGAGTAGATCTTCTCATCACCACCTGTCCTGAGCTCCAGGCAGCAGCTGAGAATTGTGAGATGGGCTCTGGGAAGGGACTAATCTGTCACCCGAGGCTGTGCAAGGGGGAGTCAGAAAGTCAATGAGGCCTAAGCAGTGCCTTTGAGGAGAAAGCTGAAGCCTAAAGCAGATACAAAAGCTCTAAAGGCCAAGGCCAAGCCCAAAGGGGCAAGCACAGGAGTGAGTGGTAGAACCAGGGCTGGAAATTGGAAAGGGATTGCACAGAAGTGGAAGCAGGGTATGAAGAAGGTAGAAAGAGAGGAGGGGCGAGAAGAGTTGCTGTGGATGCCAGGTGTGGGTTCATCAACTATAGACAATAAGAGGAGAGAAAGTCTTCTGGGTGGGGGACATGGTAAGAGGGTGAGCAGTAGCTGGGCTGCCGGGAATAAAAGTCACACGTAAAAGGGGCTCTTGTGTCTAGACTCCCAATATCAGATTTGATCACTAACCAGAATTTTTCCTCCGGGTTTCCTAATACCACACGGAGAAATCCTAACTTCCTATGGGTCTACAGCTTTTTATAAAGAATCCTGTTATTTAGTCTACTCATTTCATTTGCAGTTTGAGAGAACGTCTGTGCTCTTTCTACGTCAATGTTAACTTTGGGGCTGTGGTTAAGATGTATATATTTTGTGTATGACCTGCAGGTAAAACCACGGTGACCCAGTCAGTGGCAGATTCACTTAAGGCTGTCCTCTTAAAGTCACCACCCTCTTGCATTGGCCAGTGGAGGAAGATCTTTGATGATGAACCAACTATCATTAGAAGAGCTTTTTACTCTTTGGGCAATTATATTGTGGCCTCCGAAATAGCTAAAGAATCTGCCAAATCTCCTGTGATTGTAGACAGGTAGGTATAAAGATGCCTTGAATTAGGCATTTTCTCCCTAATATATAAGTGTGTGGGTGTGTGTGTGTGTGTGTGTGTGCGTGTGTGTGTATACGTACATGTATATGCCAGGAAAAAAATTGTGTTTAAGTCAAACTGTTATTATGATAATAATAGGAATTCTCCTTATGAATTGTTAATTACCTATACCAGGCACGGCATTTGCTAGAGAATTACATATATAATACTAGTATCTGGAACTATAACTTGGGTAGGTGAATGTTACATGTTATTCCCAGTTTACTGATGAGAACTATAGATCTCAGAAAGGTAAAATAACTTGCCAAGGTAAGCTGGAAATAGCATACCGGGGACATTAATGAGTCTATACTTTCAGTCATTTATTTGTTCATTGGCTTATTCAACAAATACTTACTGGACACCTCCTGTGTGCCAAAGACTAGTCTCAATTTAGAGGATTCAATGATAAACCAGTGTATTAGTCCATTTTCATGCTGCTGATAAAGACATACCCGAGATTCGGCAATTTACAAAAGAGAGCAGTTTAATGGACTTACAGTTCCATGGGGCTGGGGAGGCCTCACAATCATGGTGGAAGGTACAAAGCATGTCTCACATGGCGGCAGACAAGAGTAGAGAGCATGTGCAGGGAAACTCCCCTTTTTAAAATCATCAGACCTTGTGAGACTTATTCACAATCATGAGAACAGCATGGTAAAGACCTGTCCCCATGATGCAATTACCTCCCACTGGGTCCTTCCCACAACACATGGGAATTCAAGATGAGATTTGGGTGGGGACACAGCCAAACCATATAACTCCACTCCTGGCCTCTCCCAAATCTCATGTCCTCACATTTCAAAACCAATCATGCCTTACCAACAGTCCCACAACTCTTAACTCATTTCAGCATTAACTCAAAAGTCCACAGCCAAAGTCTCATCTGAGACAAGGTAAGTCTCTTCCACCTATGAGCCTGTAAAATCAAAAGCAAGTTAGTTATTTCCTAGATACAGTGAGGCTACAGGCATTGGGTAAATACAGCCATTACAAATGAGAGAAATTGACCAAAACAAAGGGGCTACAGGCTCCATGCAAGTCTGAAATTCAGCTGGGCAGTCAAATCTTAAAGCTCCAAAATTATCTCCTTTGACTCTATTTCTCATGTCCAGATCGTGCTGATGCAAGAGGTGGGTCCTCATGGTCTTGGACAGCTCCATCCCTGTGGCTTTGCAGGGTATAGCCCCCCTCCTTGCTGCTTTCACAGGCTGGTGTTGTCTGCAGCTTTTCCAGGTGCATGGTGCAAGCTGTCAGTGGATCTACCATTCTGGGGTCTAGTGGACAGTGGCTCTCTTCAAACAGCTCCGCTAGGTAGTGCCCCAGTAGGGACTCTGTGTTGGGGCTCCAACCCCACATTTCCCTTCCACACTGCCCTAGCAGAGGTTCTCCATGAGAGCCCCACTCCTGTAGCAAACTTCTGCCTGGACATCCAGGCATTTCCATACATCCTCTGAAATCTAGGCGGAGGTTCCCAAACCTCCATTCTTGACTTCTGTGTACCTGTAGGCTCAACACCACATGGAAGCTGCCGAGGCTTGGGGCTTTCCCCCTCTGAATCAAGAGCCTGAGCTGTACCTTGGCCTCTTACTCAAGGCTAGAGTGGCTGGGACACAGGGCACCAAGTCTCTAGGCTGCACAGAGCAGAGGGACCCTGGGTCCACAAAACCATTTTTTTCCTTCTAAACCTCGGGGTCTGTGATGGGAGGGGCAGCAGCAGAGGTCTCTGACATGCCCTCGAGACATTTTCCCCATTGTCTTGGTGATTAACATTTGGCTTCTCATTGCTTATGCAAACTTCTGCAGCCAGCTTGAATTTCTCCTCAGAAAATGGGATTTTCTTTTCTATCACATTGTCAGGCTGCAAATCTTCCAAACTTTTATGCTCTGTTTCCATTTTAAAACCGAATACCTTTAACAGCATCCAAGTCACCTCTTGAATGCTTTGCTGCTTAGAAATTTCTTCCACCAGTTACCCTAAATTATTCTCTCAAGTTCAAAGTTCCACAAATCTCTAGGGCAAGGGCTAAATGCCGCCAGTCTCTTTGCTAAAGCATAACAAGAGTTACCTTTGCTCCAGTTCTCACCAAGTTCCTCATTTCCATCTGAGACCACCTCAGCCTGGATTTCATTGTCCATATCATTATCAGCATTTTGGTCAAAGCCATTGAACAAATCTCTAGGGAGTTCAACCTTTCCCACATTTTCCTGTCTTCTTCTAAGCCCTCCAGACTGCTTCAACCTCTGTCTATTACCCAGTTCCAAAGTTGCTTCCACATTTTTGGGTATCTTTTCAGCAGCACCCCACTTCTGGTACCAATTTACTGTACTGGTTCATTTTCACACTGCTGATAAAGACGTACACGAGACTGGGCAATTTACAAAAGAAAGAGGTTTAATGGATTTACAGTTCCATGTCGCTGAGGAGGTCTCACAGTCATGGTGGAAGTTACGGCACATCTCACATGGCAGCAGACAAGAGTAGAGAGCTTGTGTAGGGAAACTCCCCTTTTTAAAACCATCAGATCTTGTGAGACTTAGTCACTATCATGAGAACAGCATGGGAAAGACCTGCCCCTGTGATTCAATTACCTCCCACTGGGTCCCTCCAACAACATGTGGGAATTCAAGATGAGATTTGAGTGGGATCACAGCCAAACCATATCAATGAGATAGATAAGTCCCTATTTTCATGGAGCAAACTTAACATTATAGGAGAAGAAAAGTATCAGGTGAACAAATACATAAAATAATACATAAGATGAGGTAAGATAATATCAAAGCATGATAAATGCAGGGAAGAGGAAAAATCAAAGTAATGTGCTAAAAAACGGCTAACCCTCCACTAGATATGGTTTAGGAAGGCCTGTCTGAGAAAGCACCATTAGTCAGAGCCCTGATTTAAAAAAAAAAAAGGCAAATGTGAAAATTCCCGGGTTAACAGAAAGCACTGTGGAGAAAGAAATCTGCAAGAATGAAGCTAAGACTGAAATAAGCTAACATATCTGACAACTAGAAAATGTTATATGTTCTGAGAACATAGTAAATGTGGAGGTGCTTTGTGGATGAATGGGAAGAGGAAGGTTGGGGCAGGTCTGTAGGGCTTGTAGGCCATTCATAGAATGGATTTTATTCTGAGTGCACTGGGGAGCCATTGGAATGTTTCTGATAAAGGAGAGACATAAACTGATTTATACTTTAAAAATTCACCTGTAAGAAATAGCTTCACTTTGGGAGGCTGAGGTGGGCGGATCATGAGGTCAGGAGATCGAGACCATCCTGGCTAACACGGTGAAACCCCGTCTCTACTAAAAATACAAAAAATTAGCCGGGCGAGGTGGTGGGCACTTGTAGTCCCAGCTACTCGGGAGGCTGAGGCAGGAGAATGGCATGAACCCCAGGGGGTGGAGCCTGCAGTGAGCTGAGATCATGCCACTGCACTCCAGCCTGGGCGACAGCGAGACTCCGTCTCAAAAAAAAAAAAAAAGAAAAGAAAAGAAATAGCTTTAGGTCAGGTGCAGTGGCTCACACCTGTAATCCAAGCACTTTGGAAGGCTGAGGTGGGAAGAGTGCTTGAGCCCAAGAGTTCAAGACCAGCCTTGATAACATAGTGAGACCTTGTCTCTACAAAAAATATTTAAAAAAATAGCTGGGTATGGTGGCACCCACTTGTAGTCCCAGCTACTTAGGAGACTCAGGAAGGAGAATCCCTTAAGCCCAGGAGGTCGAGGCTGCAATGACAAAGCAAGAGGATGACACAGCAAGAGGGGCCTTGTCTCAAAAAAAAAAAAAAAATCCCAAAAACAATAAAACAAAAAACAAAAAAGAAGAAAAAAATAGCTTTAAAAATACTATAAGAAAGAGGAAAGGATATGACAAGCAGGTCATACTGAACTTACATCACGATGACAAATGGATGAGAAGATTATAATCACCATGAGATTCCATTTTACTCCCATCTGGATTTCATTTTACTCCCCTCCAGTTGGTGAAACTACTATAACTAAAGGTTTCTTCATATGATATGGATCAATAGAAACTCTCATATGATGCTAGTCAGAACATATCATATGATAGTAGCATAATCACTTAGAGAGCAGTTTGAAAAGATGTAGCAAAGTGGAAGATTGCTCCTGCCTACTGAAGAAACACTCACAAAAGTTTCTTTCAGCTTCCTTCATACTGTTGCAAAATTTGAAAAACCTAAAGCCCATCAACAGGAGAAAGCATAAATAAATACCAGCATATGTATAAGGTGGAAAACCATACAGCAGCAGTGTAAATATGTTGTGCAATGCATGAGGGCACACACATTACAAAACCGTAATGTTGAATGAAAATGTCAAGTTGCCAAAAGATGTTTATTCAGTAGAATACATGCAGTTATCCATACTGCAAAGAGTAGAGAGATGAAAGGATGTTGAACAGCAGATTTAAGAAAGTTGTTCTCTGGGAAGTAGAGATAAATGTGGTTGATAAGGAGATCAGAAGGACTTTGATTGTGATTGGATTATTTCTTAACATTTCTTGAATGTTCATTTTCTCCAAAGATTTACTTATTTTTGTAAACATAAGCAATTGCATTTAAGTATGGCATAGTTGGTAAAGAACATTAATCATAAATGTAAATCTCAAGGAATTTCAAGAAGTGAACACAGTCAAGTCACCTGTACCCAGATCAAGAATGAGAGCCTGCCACAGCCCCTACACCCCTGTTCTGCCCCCACCCAGTCACTGCCCATTTCCTCCCCAGGGGTAGCAACTGTCCCAACTGCCATAGCCATATATTAGTTCTGCCTGTTCTTAAACTGCCTACAGATGCAACTATTTGTTAGGTATGGAGTTTTATTTGCACCTGACTTCTTTCATACCACATGTGTTTTGAAGATTTGCCTGTGTTGTTGTGAACTAAATTTTATGCATTTTTGGTGCACATATGGATGCAGTTCTGTTACATAGGTTCCCAGGAGCAGAACTGCAGGGGCATGGGGTTTGTGGCTGTTCAGGTTTGGTAGATGTTGCAAAAAGTATTCTAAAGAGGTTGAAAGAATGTTGAGTCTCCTCCCCTCCCCACAGCAGTATTTGCCAATTCCCTGTGACTAACAGCCCTGTTGACATTAGTATTACCAGGCTTTAATTTTGACTCCTCTAGTTTTTCCACTTGTTCCTGGTGGGTAAGCTGGTCACTGAAAAGCTGATTTGTCCTATCTGGACACAGAACTACTACTCCTTTCTTGAAAGTATATCTTTTTCTGTACACTTTTCTGTATGTCTGAAATATTCCATCAAGAGACCACCCTGACTGTATGTGGAGAATAAAGTGTGTGGTGGGGGAGGGGCAAGAAAGGAAAAAGAATCAGCTAGAAGGCTGTGGCTGCAGTCTAGGCTGTGATGGCCCTTGAGTAGTTTTAATCCTGGGATGACAATAGGGATGGCAATGGGGATAACAATAATAATTTCAAGGTTGGCAAGTTACATGGAATCTTAGGATGAACTGAGAAGGATACGAAATCTTGTTCCTTTATGGGAAGGCTTTGCCTGGAAAATGTTTTTGCCCTATTGTTAACATGCCCGATGTTATCATATGTGATATCTGTATTAGTTCTTTCTCACACTGCTATAAAGACGTACCTGATACTGGGTAATCTATAAAGAAAAGAGGTTTAGTTGACTGACAATTCTGCATGGCTATATGGGAGGCATGGCTGGGGAGGCCTCAGGAAACTTGCAATCATGGTGGAAATTGAAGAGGAAACAATGGCAACAGGAGAGAGAGAGAGAGAGGCAGGGGCAGGGGCAGGGGCAGAGGCAGAGGCGAGAGAGCAGGGGGAAGTGCTACACATTTTAAACACCCAGATCTCATGACAACTCACCATCACGAGAACAGCAAGGGGGGTGTCTGCCCCCATGATCCAGTCAACTCCCACAGGGCCTCATCTCCAACAATGGGAATTATTAGGTTGGTGCAAAAGTCATTGTGGTTTTTGATATTATTATTAATGGCAAAAACCGCAATGACTTTTGCACCAACCTAATACCCTTTGGCATGAGATTTTGGTGGGGACAAAGAACCAAACCATATTGACATCTTTTTTGATACAGTCCCCTTTATTTCCAAGAGAAAGACTAAGGTTTTCCTAGTAGGGTATGACTTTCGAGGTCCATTATGTCCTAGGATGCCTGCGGATCCTGAAGCAGCACTGGCCACTGTGTGCAGGCAGGGATTTCTGCACTCTGTCCCCCAGTTTTCTGATCTGTTAAGTGGGGATACTCATGCCCCCTTCCCTGCCTACTGTCAAGAGTTGTGATGATGATTCAGTGAGTGGATGTGTGTGGAAGTACCCTGAAAATAGGAAATTGCTATTAAAATATAAAGCATTATTATATGAGCAGTGTATAATGTGTTGGCAAATTGCTTTTGATTTGAACTAATGTGGCTTCCCTGATAGCAGGAGTGGAGAATACTAAATAGTGGGAAGCGTCTGAAATTGATGGGCTAAGGGTGCAATTATTTAAAACAAGCAGCCGTATTTTCAATGGGAGAACTCTATAGGAAACAGGTCCTTAATTCTTCCCTTGATTTGTCTTCTTTGTGTGTGTGAATTGCCTGCAATTTAGTTCTTTAAAGAAATGCTGTATCACCTTGTCAGATGAAAAGAAAAGAGCAGTTATTTGTTGTCTTTGTGGATTTTATTCATGTTTAAAGATTTTAATAAAATCCATTTTAGACAGTACCATTATCTAGCTGAAAAATATGAGAGACAGTAATTTTTAACGGGGACTGTGGTTAAGGTTGGAGTCTTAATCACCCCATTACCTTTAAAAATCTATTCTTGCTGGTGACTTTTCTACAATAAAGAAGACTTTAAAAATAAGATAATATCAGACTCTATATTCATAGGTAGGTATTTAATTCAATGAATCTGGAGCATGTGCTGACCATGGTGTAAATTATAGTTTAAGTACCAGAAAAAGAAAACTGAGACCCTAATTGGCTTTTTTTGAGCTTGAGGGACAAAATTCATCTGGCAGAGAGAGTGAAAGTACAAGTTTGTGAGTAACAGGAGTTGGGTAAGTAACACATAGGAAGGTGTCCAGGCAGAATTCACAGGAGCTGGCAGTGGCCTGAAGCTCTCAGAGCACACTTTTGGAGGTGAACAAGGGCTTTGAAGGATGGATGGTGTTGAGATTATCAACTCCCAAGTGAATTTTTCTTTTTTTTTTTTAGATGAAGTCTCGCTCTGTTGCCCAGGCTGGAGTGCAGTGGCGCGATCTCGGCTCACTGCAAGCTCTGCCTTCCGGGTTCACGCCATTCTCCTGCCTCAGCCTCCCGAGTAGCTGGGACTACAGGTGCCCGCCACCACGCCCGGCTAATTTTTTGTATATTTAGTAAAGACGGGGTTTCACCATGTTAGCCAGGATGGTCTCGATCTCCTGACCTCGTGATCCACCCACCTCAGCCTCCCAACCAAGTGAATTTTTTACTTGTTTCCTTTTCAGTGCTGTCCTGTGTTCTGTTATCATAATTTGCAATGATCCGGCTTTAGTTATAACCAGTGTCTGATAAGAATTAGATATTTATCTTATAGTAACAGTGTGATACAGTTTTTTTTAAGCACTTGTCTGTATTTGTAACAACTATGGAAGGAAAACAAACCTTGCATGATCTGTGTTTTCCAGATGAGGAGATGGAGGCTATATTAGCTTAGATGACTTTTACCTACATGTACAAAACAGGTGGGGCGGGGGACACAGGCAGAATAATGTACAGTTCAGGTAACACAGGGAATTTATTATGTGGATACCACTGTGTACTTTTCACTGTGGAGAGGAGTTCAATTCTAAAATGATCAAAATTTTAGGATTTTAAAGAATTGGGCCGGGCATGGTACCTCACGCCTGTAATTCCAGCACTTTGAGAGGCCAAGGCGGGTGGATCACCTGAGGTCAGGAGTTTGAGACCAGCCTGGCCAGCATGATGAAACCCCATCTCTATTAAAAATACAAAAATTAGCCGGGCGTGGTGGTGCATGCCTGTAATCCCAGCTACTTGGGAGGGTGGGGCAGGAGAAATGCTTGAACCTGGGAAGCAAAGGTTGCAGTGAGCTGAGATCGTGCCACTGCACTCCAGCCTGGGCAACAGAGTGAGACTCCACCTCAAAACAAAAATAAAGGATTGAAGGTGGTAATTTGAAAGTACAAATGAGGAGGGGCCCCTGGGTATCTCTACGTTGGAATGTTTATATCATAAATATTTATTGTGAGTGATGGTCCTTTTATATTGGATCTGAATTGTCCATTTAGTCCTTTAAAATTGGAAGATGGCATGAACAGGGCAAGAGTATAATAAACTATGCTGATAAATGAAATCGTTCTAATTCATTTATTCATTTATACACCCAAATAACATTCTTTCATTGCATATCTATTATGTGCCAGACATGCATTACTAAAAAAGATTTCCCACTCAAGAAATTACCTAATGGAGGAGACAATAGATATTACACTTATAACAAGTAGTTCTGATTTGCAATGAGGAGTTTTTCAGTAGAGTCACGTAGAAAGGGTTTTGAGAGCACAGAGGAGAAAACAGTCAATTCTGTTTGGGGGCTTCCTAGGAGTCTGAAGGGAGAGGAGAGTTTTGCTGGCTGAGAACCTCACTCTCACCAGAGGAAAAGGTAAGCAGGTGCAGACTAGGAGGGATGTTCTGTGTCTTACCAGAAGACCAAGCATTTCCTGTAGGTTGTAGGAAGCCACTAGGCATTTTTAAATAGAGACTGATTTGACTTTTGTGTATGGTAATAACTTTGTTTTCCTCCCCCAAAATCACTTTTTAAAACAGCCAGCAGAAGGAGCGACTGACTTGCTTAGGGAGGACTTTCATGGAGCTGGGCAGGGCATATTTGTCTCCCTGTCTCATACTGAGGCACCATCAGCAGACTGGATAGTTGGGAGAAACAAAGAGGCTTCTACCTCAGGGGTCCCAGAATGTGAATTTCATTGGCAAGTTCAAGTGAAAACAGTGTAGGAACTGACATGGCCTTTCCAGGATTTTAGTCTGCCAAGACACAGCCCTTAAATACAAATGAACTGCCAAACAGGTTCATTGTCCCCTGTCACCCTCCATTCTTTCATAGAGGAATGCGGACAGCAGGACCAAAAAGATGTGATGACAGAGGGGAGGCCACACTAAATGGTAGTTTGAGATGGGTCAATGGAGCTGTGTGAAGAACACACTGCATTATTACTGTTGTCAATTTTATTTTTTAAACAATATTGTATAACTTTTTTTAGTTTATAAAATTTAATTTTATTTAACTTATGCAATACTAGAAAAACTTCTGTAGAGCCAACCCTGGTTTCATCATTCCTGGCTGCTGATTTTCAGATGCTACTTTGACTTCTTCTGCAGACAGAGAACTCACTACCCCATTCCTTCTCAGGTACTGGCACAGCACGGCCACCTATGCCATAGCCACTGAGGTGAGTGGGGGTCTCCAGCACCTGCCCCCAGCCCATCACCCTGTGTACCAGTGGCCAGAGGACCTGCTCAAACCTGACCTTATCCTGCTGCTCACTGTGAGTCCTGAGGAGAGGTTGCAGAGGCTGCAGGGCCGGGGCATGGAGAAGACCAGGGAAGAAGCAGAACTTGAGGCCAACAGTGTGTTTCGTCAAAAGTAGGTGTCCCAGTGCAATGCAATGTGAGCGGCAGGCATTCCTGAAGGGAGATGAACCACTGGCACTGGCTTTAGGATTGTGAGGAAGTGATATTGTTTCCAGTTTTCAAACACAAGAGACAACATCCTCTAAGTTACTTCAGCCCCTTCCAATGGGCTTGTCACCACAGGGCTGCAGCATTGTTATCTTAAAGCAAAGGTCATCGGACTAGGGATCAGACCCTGCCACTGATCCTGGCTGTGCTAGGAGCAGCTGCACCTGGGTAAGACAGTAAGTGTCTCTGTGCCTCAGTTTCCCCAGTCATAGTATAATCACACAGAGCACTAGATAACGAGCTCATAGTAACATCTACCTATTAGATGCTTCCCGTGTGTCAGGCATTTTACTGATGTTATGTCATCCTTGTGAGGAAAACATTAGCCGTATTTTACAGTTTACAACTTTAAGGCTCAAAGGATTAAGTGATTTGTCTAAATGTACATAACTATTCACTAGTAAAACCGGGATTAAAATCTTTCTGATTTTGCAGCCAGTGTTTTTGTTTTAATTAGAAAGTTATAAACACGACTGCAGAAGAGAGTCTGGCCAGGCCTCCTGCCTCATGACTGAGTATGAATCAGTTCTACACCACTGCCTTTAAAAACTGAAGCAGAAATATTTTCTCTAACTGAACAATGATAGCCCTGTTATCATAACATAGTAATGTTATAAATAATGGTAGCTGCTGTGGGTAAAGATATTATGTTAAGCAATTTACTTGTATTAATTCCATTAAACTTCAGTGAACATTTGCAAGGAAGGTACGGTTTCAGTCTTCATTTTGCAGAACAGGAAACTGAGACACAGAGAGGAGAAGAGATTTGACCAATTCACTTGGCTAGGAAGTGGTCAGGCAGAGTTGTGAATGCAGACGATCCACCTCGACACCCCTATTTTAACCACAGTGCTATAAGGATTCCATAAAGAAACAGGCACTAGTCACTCTGTATACACATGAAGGCTAGCTAGCATGGAAAGGATATGTAGATTTCTGGCAAAATATTAGAAGAGTCCCATGCATATATTAAGGACTGTGGCTTGTATGAAAATTATTCAGGGCACAGACTTGGGGGAAATTTGCCACTGAACAAATTACCTAAATTCTTTGAGCTTCAGTTGCCTTCTCTGCAAAACAGGGATGACAATAGTCTTCCCTCCTAAGGTTACTTTGAGAATTAAATGAGAAAAATCATGCAAAATGCTAATGCTTGGCAGAAAACAGGTATTCAACAAGTGCTAGCTATTAAACATTATTATTCATTTATTATTTGTTAAACAAAATGCATGAACGTCTTCTGTGGGCAAAGCTAGTTACAGTGAGATAAATGACATGGGAAGCTTGCTTCAAGCTATTTATACTATGGTAGGAAAAGAACATTAATGCAAATAGCTGTGTGAAAAAGTAGACCAACTCTTTGTGTTTTGCCTGTCCCCAGGGTAGAAATGTCCTACCAGCGGATGGAGAATCCTGGCTGCCATGTGGTTGATGCCAGCCCCTCCAGAGAAAAGGTCCTGCAGACGGTATTAAGCCTAATCCAGAATAGTTTTAGTGAACCGTAGTTACTCTGGCCAGGTGCCACGTCTAACTAGATTAGATGTTGTTTGAAACATCTACATCCACCATTTGTTATGCAGTGTTCCCAAATTTCTGTTCTACAAGCATGTTGTGTGGCAGAAAACTGGAGACCAGGCATCTTAATTTTACTTCAGCCATCGTACCCTCTTCTGACTGATGGACCCGTCATCACAAAGGTCCCTCTCATCATGTTCCAGTGAGAGGCCAGCGATTGCTTTCTTCCTGGCATAGTAAACATTTTCTTGGAACATATGTTTCACTTAATCACTACCAAATATCTGGAAGACCTGTCTTACTCAGACAGCACCAGGTGTACAGAAGCAGCAGACAAGATCTTCCAGATCAGCAGGGAGACCCCGGAGCCTCTGCTTCTCCTACACTGGCATGCTGATGAGATCGTGACATGCCCACATTGGCTTCTTCCACATCTGGTTGCACTCGTCATGATGGGCTCGCTGCATCTCCCTCAGTCCCAAATTCTAGAGCCAAGTGTTCCTGCAGAGGCTGTCTATGTGTCCTGGCTGCCCAAGGACACTCCTGCAGAGCCATTTTTGGGTAAGGAACACTTACAAAGAAGGCATTGATCTTGTGTCTGAGGCTCAGAGCCCTTTTGATAGGCTTCTGAGTCATATATAAAGACATTCAAGCCAAGATGCTCCAACTGCAAATATACCAACCTTCTCTGAATTATATTTTGCTTATTTATATTTCTTTTCTTTTTTTCTAAAGTATGGCTCTGAATAGAATGCACATTTTCCATTGAACTGGATGCATTTCATTTAGCCAATCCAGTAATTTATTTATATTAATCTATACATAATATGTTTCCTCAGCATAGGAGCTATGATTCATTAATTAAAAGTGGAGTCAAAACGCTAAATGCAATGTTTGTTGTGTATTTTCATTACACAAACTTAATTTGTCTTGTTAAATAAGTACAGTGGATCTTGGAGTGGGATTTCTTGGTAAATTATCTTGCACTTGAATGTCTCATGATTACATATGAAATCGCTTTGACATATCTTTAGACAGAAAAAAGTAGCTGAGTGAGGGGGAAATTATAGAGCTGTGTGACTTTAGGGAGTAGGTTGAACCAGGTGATTACCTAAAATTCCTTCCAGTTCAAAGGCAGATAAATCTGTAAATTATTTTATCCTATCTACCATTTCTTAAGAAGACATTACTCCAAAATAATTAAATTTAAGGCTTTATCAGGTCTGCATATAGAATCTTAAATTCTAATAAAGTTTCATGTTAATGTCATAGGATTTTTAAAAGAGCTATAGGTAATTTCTATATAATATGTGTATATTAAAATGTAATTGATTTCAGTTGAAAGTATTTTAAAGCTGATAAATAGCATTAGGGTTCTTTGCAATGTGGTATCTAGCTGTATTATTGGTTTTATTTACTTTAAACATTTTGAAAAGCTTATACTGGCAGCCTAGAAAAACAAACAATTAATGTATCTTTATGTCCCTGGCACATGAATAAACTTTGCTGTGGTTTACTAATCTATGCTGTCATCCTGGGTACATATTGATTTGTCTGAAAAGTGCTTTCTCAGATTCCCCTTTTAATATTGTGATGTAAAGGAGGGAAATTTTGGTAAAGGAAGTTGAAAGGTGTGAGCTGGCAGGCTAAGTGGAATTTGTGGTCAGAGTGCTTTCAGAGAAAGGGGAGGGCTATTGTTTTATTTTACATATCATTTCCTCATTACAAATATTAAAGACATTTTGTAATTCATTCTTTTTACACCTGGACTTTTTATATACTGATAGGTATATATGACTTACGAGTATTTTGTAAAATAGCACCTCCTACCCTAAAACTGATGGCAAGTAACCCTTTGCTTGGCTCTGCTCATTGCAAGACGAGCTTTGGTTTTGTTCCTGTGATAGACCATTAGTTACCCCAAAATTTATTCTTCCTTTCTTCCATGGTAATGTAATATTTAGCTTGGTACATGGGTGCCAATAATTCCTAGTGCATTTCCAAGGCTCCCTTAACAGCTGGAGGTGGGCGACTGGCTAGTTTCTTGCCAATAGTATGTGAGCAGAAGGAATACCTGAAATGTCAAGGGGATATTATCACTTTCCCCTTTAACTCTTCATATCGGCTGTATTCAGAGGTGATAGCCATCTAAGGACCAAGAGATGAGGATGACACTAAAAGGAATTAGCTTGCCTTAGGTAAATAGCAAGGGAAGGGTCCCCAGAGAGCCCTCGGCCCACCAGTCAGTGCCTCACCCCACATAATGTAAAAAGCAGCCTGGGGAAAAAATCAAGCTGCAGGCACTGATAAGGGAACTAGCACAGGGTGTTGTGCCTGGAGACATGCCTACGGCTGCACAGATAGGAGAGCCTCTGGCCCATTCAGATAAAAGCTTGCACAAACCTCTGGCTCACTCAGATGAGGGAACAAGTCCTGGCATAAAAACACCTTTGTCCTTTGTATAGTCAGCAGGCTCCCAGGAAAAAGTTTTTTTCTCCTTTTGTGGGCGTGGGCACAGTGGGCTCCAGTTAGTTCCAGTGGGCACTTTCCTTGCCAGTTTTTGGACTGTGAGTCTGGCCTCTGTGAATCATAACTTCAGCCCCTGATTGGTCCCAGGCAAAGGTCCTAGGCCAGGCTTTCTGATTGGTCCTGGGCCAGGGTGCCTGGCCAAGCTGAGTCATGCCTTCTCCAAGACAGCCGGTAGACTAAGCACATTCATTCCCCTTTCCAGCCCGTAAAACCCCCACAACTGGCCTCATAGTGGGCACCCCATTAGAGCTCCCCCTTCTGCTGGCAGAGAGCTTTCTTTTTTCGCTTATTAAAGTTTCACTCCAACTTCACCCTTGTTGTCTGCACTCCTTAATCTTCTTGGAATTAGGACAAAGAACTCTGGATATTATCTCAGACAACGGGAGACTGTTACATCTTGGTGCATTGGTAAGATTACAACACATTTTGGTGCATTGGCTGGGAAGAAGGGAATTCATCAGAAGGATGATTAAGAGTTGACCTTTAACTTTCACCTTTACTTGCATTTCTGAGGCTTCTTGTCTATTCCAGTCTAGTTTGCTTTCACAGAGGGCCTAGCCATCATGTGGGATTGGAAGGTCCCAGGGCAACTGAAGGTTTCTGGCTGGGGCTACCCCCTCAGTGTTATCTGAAGGCCCTTGGACTAACTCCAGTCCCCTACAGCCCATCAGGGAGTCAGCACAAAGACTTGCAATCTTTTCCTATTGCATTTTCCTTCTTTCTTCTTGTGGCTATCATGTCTCCAACCTCTTCTTTCTATGCAATGTTGTGGGTGTTTTTGTAACCTAGGGATATAATCTTGCGGAGTAGAGTTAGTTGGTATCTTAATAATCAAGAATGTAATTCAAAGAGTTGTTGTTTTTGTGATTTCCTGGAAACAGGGAATTCAAGACTTCAGTCTAAATTTTCACCTAGTAAGGGCCTTTCTATCCCTCAATAATAGACATTCATGGCACCATATGGGAGGATCTTTCACCCCGAGTGAATATCCTCGTCTCCTTTTGGGTTGTTTTTTTCCTCCATATAATAGCTCAGCATTGTCCAGTGAATTTAAACAGTTCTTTTATGAGAGAAGTTAATTTTCTTACGGTCTGGGCTTGCTATGGGGGCAACCTATCAAACCCCAAATCTCTCTTTCTAACTTTTGCCTGAAAAGAATTTGGAGTCAGAGTTTTTACCTAACATTTCTAACCCTACAATGCCACCTAGTGGAAAGGAATTTTTCTCCCTGGGGAGCCTTATCATCCCTCTGCCCCAAACTCCTTGTTTCCCAATTCTTTTCCCTTTTACGTTCCTCTATCAGTGATCAGAGCCCATGTCCTATTTGTAGACCAAACAACAAAAAAAATCTCCACTTTCAACAGCTGGGAGGTAGCCATCCTGATAAGACAAATCTTAGCTTCAATACTCTCCCCATCAAAGGAATGGCAGCCATTCAATTCTTATGCTCATTTGAGGCACCTGTTCTGCATTCAACTACAATGGGATTTTTTAAAAAAGGAATTTTATGTTTGGAAGTTAATCAGTCCCATTCTGTGGAATTCTGATTTTTCACTGGGGCTATAGCAAGGGAAGCCACAGATGGTATTAGGACATTCCCTGCATTAAAGAGTCTTGCCCAAACCCAACTACTACAGAATCTCTCCTAGGCCTCTTAGGGTACTTTGGGAGCCTTTTGGGTTGAGTGGGTCTAGGAATCCAGCAGGGCAGAAAGCTAGAGCCTTATGCAGGTGAGCATGACTAGTCCTGCCCTACTGGCTCCTCTGGATCCATGGGTGAAGGATATGCTTGCATCCATGGGGCGGCACCTATGATGGCTGCAGGGACCCAGAGGAGAGAAGGAAGGAGAAGAGGAATGCCTTTTCTCTCTTTCCCTCCACCCTGGGTAACGCAGAGAGGAGGAAGGGGACTGAGGGATGCCTTGTCTCCCATCTCTTATTAGATGGGTAACAAACCATCTGCAGTCTGTAATCTCCTCGAGTGCATTCTGAATCACTGGAACTCCTTTGATGCTGAGGTTCTGATGATAAAATGGCTCATATTCTATTGTACAAGGACATGGCCTTTTTACCATCTTGGAGATGAAAAAACCTGGCTTTCTGAGGGAAGTCTTTTTTTATATACTATTCAACAACTAGATATTTTCTGTAGGCAGGAGGGTAAATGGTCCAAGGTTTACTATATACAAGCTTTCTTTGCCCTGCGAGACAACCCAAATCTTTGTAAGCATTGTACAGTTGACCCCACACTCTTGGCAGCCATGTCAGACAAGCCTACAAAAGATACTTCCCCAAAATCAGAGAGTCAAACCCTTTGGGGAATCCTCAAATGCAACTTCTGGGTGCCCTACCTGCCTCACTTATTCAGGGCTCCCAATAGCCAAATCATTAGTTCCTCTGGTTGTGCCACTTAAGGAATTCCCAACTTTGGACAGGTTCTCTGATGACCCTAATAGATGTATAGAGTCTTTCCAAAATTTAACGTAAGTGTTTTATCTTACATGGAGAGATGCTATGCTACTTTTAAGCCAAAACCTAACAGGAAGCAGAAACATTCAGAGATGAACAATGTATCTCCTATAGCCAGTCTAAAAGTCTGGAAGATAAGAAGTCTAAAAGAAGGGAGAGCAAAAGAGAAAAAGAAGGTGAACAAGTGGCAGAATCTCTATTACCAATAGGGAGGGAGGCAGTATTCCTTGAAAATCCCAGTTGGAATGCCAATGATCCCATAGATGAGTTGAATAGAAAACACTTTTGGATGTGCATACTGGAAGGCTTGAGAAGGACAAGTACCAAACCTCTTAATTATTGTAAGTTGTCCATGATAGATCAAAAACCAGATGAAAATTTCTCAGCGTTTATAGAAAGGCTGAGAGAGGCATTAGTGAAACATATCTCCCTATCTCCTGATTCAGTTGACGGAAAGCTAATCTTAAAAGACAAGTTTATTACCCAGGCAGCCCCGATATCAAAAGGAAGTTGCAGAAACTGGCCATAGGTCCAGATAGTACTCTAGAGAACCTCTTGAAAGTGGCTACTTTGGTCTTTTACAATAGAGTCCAGGAGGAAGCCCAGGAGAAGAAGAGGAAATATGAGAAAAAACAGAGGCTCTACTGGTCACATTAGAGGCCTATAAAATCCAGAATCCCCCAGGTGCATTTGCTAATCACTACCACTGTGGCAAACTGGGGCACTTAAAAGGGGTTGCCCAGACAGCAAGAAGAAGCCACCTCAACCCTGTCCACCCTGTGGTGGAGACAACTGGAAGTCAAACTGTCCCTGGAGATATAGGTTGCTAGGTCCAGAGCCAGTCTCCCAGATGGTCCAGCAGGACTAATGGGTCCTAGGGCTCAATTTCTTGGCTCCAGCAACTCGAACTGCCATTACTATCCAGGATCCCTGGTTGATTCTGGACGTAGAAAGGAGAAAGGTAGACTTCCTTCTGGACACCAGAGCCAGCCTCTCTGTTCTCCTCTCCAGTCCTGACCTTCTCTCCTCCCATATCACAACCATGGTGAATGTCTAAGGAAAGTCTTTAACCCAATATTTTTCATAGCCCCTCGGTTGTAGTAGGGGGGAATTGCTATTTACTCATGCCTTTTTAATCATGCCTGAGCATCCCAGTCTTTTACTAGAGATATTCTAGCCCATATGGGAGCCACCATCCTTACGGTTCCAGGACAGATTCTTTGTCTCCCCTTAGTAGAAATCAATATTAGCCCAGAGGTGTGGGCAAGTCACAGGAAAATTGGTCAGGCTGCAACTGCTATCCTGGTCCAGATTCACCTTAAGGATCCCACCTCCTTCCCTAACTAGAAGCAGTACCCCCTAATGCAGTACCCCCTCAAGGACTTTAAGCCATCATTAATAATTTAAAGGCATAGGACCTTCTTGGACCTTGCAACAACCCTTGTAACACTCCACTATTAGGGGTACAGAAACCCAGTGGGGAATGGATACTAGTTCAGGACCTCCATCTCATTAATGAAGCTGTAATTCCAATCCATCCAGTGGTTTGTAATCCTAATACTTTGCTAACTCAAATGCCTGAGGGAAATAAATGGTTCACAGTGTGGGACCTAAAGGAAGTCTTTTTCTGCATGCTATTGCACCTCCCAATACTTGTTTGCTTTAGAGGATCCCTCCAATCAGGCTACCAAGTTGACTTGGACAGTACTGCCTCAGGGATTCAGAGACAGCCCCCACTTGTTTGGGCAAGCATTATCAAAACACCTCTCTGAATTCTCTCATCCTCAGATTAAAGTTTTACAATAAGTAGATGATATTCCCCTCTGTGTCCCAACTGAGGGACTTTCTCAAAAATGCACTGAGGCTCTTCTTAATTTTCTAGCAGGTAGTGGATATAAAATTTCCAAATCTAAAGTTCAGCTCTGTCAAACTTCGGTAAGGTACCTAGGTCTAGTCTTATCAGAAGGAACCAGCACATTAGATGAGAAGAGGATTCAGCCTCTTTCCTCCTTCCCCCTTCCCAAAACCCTCAAACAGCTAAGAGGATTTTGGGGTTTTTTGCAGATTGTGGATACCTGGGTACAGTGAAATAGTTCACCCTTCATATCACCTTATAAAAGAAACTCAATAGCTGAAACTCACTCCCTGATCTGGGAACCTAAGGCTCAGAAGGCATTTAAACAGCTAAAGCAAGCTTTACTTAAAGCATCAACCCTCAGTCTTTCCATAGGGAGGGCATTTAATCTGCACATCTCAGAAAGGAAGGGGATAGCTTTGGGAGTCTTAACTCAGGCCTGAGGCCCAGCCCAGCAGCCATCCAGTAACCTAAGCAAGGAACTTGACTTGATGGCTAAAGGATGGCCAGCTTGCCTCTGAACAGTTGCAGTGGTGGCTTTGCTGGTGCCAGAAGTGACTAAGTTGAGCATGAGGAATGACCTGATTGTTTACACCCCCTATAATGTAAAGGGACTGTTATCCTCTAAAGGAAGTCTCTGGCTAACAGATAATCGCCTCCTCAAATATTAAGTTTTGCTGCTGGAGGGATCTGCAGTTCAGTTAAAGGCCTGTCCTTTCCTGAACTCAGCCACTTTCCTTCCAGATGAAATTGGAGAACCTGAACATGATTGTGAAAAAATAGTGATGCAAACCTATGCAGCCAGAGAGGACATCCAGGAAACTCCTCTAGAAAACTGAGACTGGGCTGTCTTTACAAGTAAAGTTCTATTATAGAACAAGGAACCTGTAGGGCAGGGTATGCAATAGTCACCCTGGATGACATCATTAAAAGCACACCTCTTTCACCAGGTACAGTGCTCAATTAGCTGAGTTAATTGCTGTCATGAGGGTGCTTGAACTAAGCAAAGCTAAGGCAGTTAACATATATATGGATTCTAAGTATGCTTTCCTGGTTCTTCATGCTCATGCCGCTATTTGGAAAGAAAGACACTCCCTGACTGCTAATGGCTCTTTTATTAAATACCATTAGGAAATAGATTGTTGTCCTCAGTTTTCCTTCTGCAGGAAGTGGCAATGATACATTGCAAAGGACACCAGAAGGGGATGGATGAAATAGCTGAAGGAAATAGGCTAGCAGACCAAACAGCTAAGTCAGCAGTAAGAAGACCCCAAAGTCCCAGCACACTTGAAGGCTGTCTAATTTGGGAGGGCTCCATAAGGGAAATAAAGCCTCAGTATTCTCCTGCAGAGATAGAATGGGCCACCTCTCGAGGATACACTTTTCAGCCCTCAGGATGGTTACAATCAGAGGATGGCAAATGTTATTTGTCAGTCTCCAGTCAGTGGAAAGTTCTTAAGATCCTTCACCAAACTTTTCACTTGGGAAAGAATAAAACTCATCAAATAGCCCAGAGGTTGTTCTCAGGTAAATATCTACCAAAAACAGTCAAACAAATTGTTAATGCTTATAAGATCTGCCTCAAAAACAATCCCCTCAACAAATGGCATCTCCCCATCCCCAGCAACACAAAGAATGGGAAACTGCCCAGGGGAGGACTGGCAAATGGATTTTACCCATTTTCCAAAGATAAGGGGAATTCAGCACCTCTTGTTGTGGGTGGATGCCTTCACTAGCTGGGTAGAGGCATTTCTATGTCAAACAGAAAGTCCTCTAAGGTGATAAAAGCATTAGTCAATGAAATAATTCCTCGTTTTGGACTCCCTAAATACCTCCAAAGTGACAATGGCCCCTCATTTAAGGCAGCTGTTACCCAAGGGGTCTCAAAAGCACTGAGCATACAATACCATCTTCATTGTGCTTGAAGACTGCAGTCTTCAGGGAAGGTGGAGAAAACAAATGATATCATTAAGAGACACCTCAGGAAGTGGTCTCAAGAAACTCACCTCCTCTAAACTGCTTATCTTCCTATAGCCTTAGTGCAGGTGAGGAGCACCCCTTCAAATTTGGGGTTGAAGGGGTGTTCCTTCACCCTTTTGAAATGGTATATGGACGGCCTTTCCTTACCAATGATTTTATATTACATCAGAGAACTTCTGAATTGGTTAAACATGTAACCTCCCTGGCCCAGTTCTAGCAGGAATTAAAACAGTTATCAGAATTCCAACCCCAAGAACTAGGGCCACCTCTGTTCTACCAAGGAGACTTGGTACTGGTGAAGGATTTTTCCTCTCTTTTCCCCTCTCTAGGTCCCAGCTGGGAGGAACCTTATACCATCCTTCTCTCCACCTGCTCGGCAGTGAAGTTTGTGGGACTGGAATCTTGGATTCATCACACTCGAGTCAAGGCCTGGAATGACCCCTGACATCCCAGAAGAACATCTCAGATATCAGTGTGAAAAGTCTGGGGATTTCAAACTGAAAATCCAAAAGATAAGTAAATGAGTGGGAACTCTCTGTTCAGTTCAATCCCACCCTTCCTTACCAGATACTAAAGTCATTTCTACCTTTCCTCTTGAGATTTGCTGTTAGATATTAGAACTTCTCTTTGTCACATACTTACAGGGAGATTTTGATTATCCATGGGATTCCATTCATAACCTCATAAACCACCCCCACGAAGAAATTATATATCTCGGTGAGTAAGATTTAAAGTGGAACTTTATTACTTCACACATATGGGAATTGTTGTACTCACCTTGCTCTTTGCAGTAGGACTGCATACTGTGGCACCTTCTAAGTGGAATATTGGGAAAAGAGTCTCAATTGCCATAATCTTTTGCTTAGTTATTATTCATATAGCAGGGATAGTAGTCACAGGCAAGAGATAAACATGAAGATTTTGTTACTATCAAGTTTACTAGCATTCACTGTTAGATGTAGCAATGCCTCACATTCTTTGGCTCCTACAATATCAGATATTACCGATCTCTACAACAAGACTGATTACTGGGTTTGCCCTGAACAATTTACTCAGTTTAATAACACCAATGGACTCTTTGATGATTCAGAACTCACTATCTTAGGGTTTCCCTCTGATGGCTTTACCTTAAATCATTAAGGACCTAATAGGTATAAAGGGAACATGGTATGGGAGCATTTTTAACTCCACCCAGAAAGACACACCTCCTGATGGTAAAACTCACACCCTTAGACTAGGTGAAGTTGATAGAATGATAGCCAATGCCTGTCTCTGCTTTAAGAGTAAAGGAAAAGGACCATACTCGGGAAACCTTAAATAATTGCAACAGTATGCTTGTAATTGCTGAGAGCACAGAGATCTGGAGACTAAGAAGGAACAAGGGTGACACCAAACATTGGGAGAGACTGTGGAAAAATTTTAACAATCTAGCCAGACCTCCCAGGTGGAGTTCCCAATGGGAATGTCTACCCCGGGCAGAAATGCCACCCCTCGCCAACCTTATTATCAGGTAATAAATAGCACATGGTCCTTCCCAAACATGCCCACACATGGAATCCTGGACCCTTGTATGATATTTGATAATGACAGTGATCTGCAGATTTGTGAATGAACAGGGGATGTCTGGGCCAATAGCCGCTGTAAGGAGGGTTGTCTAAGATACTGGCTGGAACATATTGCGTCTCTGATCTTTCAAAACTATATTTGCCAAACAGATTCTTCCCTCCCAGCATGTAAAGTTCCAAACAATACTGTGGATGACTATACTAAGTATGGATATCCTTATTCTAAAGATGCTTGAATTAGATGTAGGGAAGGCAACCTTATAAGGCCTGGACTAAACTTAGCTGGAACCCTCATAAATCACAACATAGAACCATCCCTTCAGGGAACAGGGCTTTACTTTCTCTGTGGCTCCAGGCTATGCTTATTCCTCCCCAGGCGCTGGAGAGGAACATGCACTATAGTGGCAATGGTCCCCAATTTGTTATTTTTAAACCCCACTGACAGGGTAGCATTGTTGGGTGACATCGCCAATTTGGGCTCTTTTACAGAAAGTGCATTCCATCACACATACCAAAACAGGAGATCACTTATCTCTATGCCATCATATGGAGATTAAAATGAAAGAGAGAGAACTGGCAAGAATATGCACATGGCAATCCTATATTAGAAAAACGGAATAAAATATGCAATAGCCAGAGGCCTATTTTGGCTTGGCGGTGTTCCCCTTCTTGAAAGATCAGTGCTTAATATTTCTATCATGATGTAACAAGGGTGAAAGGTAACTGTAGGAGCCATAAAAGCCCAAGAGCAGTCCATAAATTCTCTGGCCTCAGTGGCCATGCAAAATAGACAAACTCTTGATGTCCTTATGGCTGAAGTAAGGGGCGCTTGTGCATTTGTAAATGAAACATGCTGTTTCTGGATCAACACCTCCAGTTAGGTAGAGGAGAATTTATGAGTGCTTAAAGACTCAATTAGAATCATTGACAAATTAGGTGAAAATGCAAACTCAGTTGGCTACAATCCCTTTTTAATGGATTCTAGTCTTTGTTTTGGACCTGGTTAGCTCTCTACTAGGACCTCTTTTTCCCGTGTGCCTTGTGATAATGTTTGGACCTTGCATACTCAATGCTATAACCAGAGAGATGGAGAAAAAGATGAATGGTACTCCCATGTGGAGTGCCACCACAGCCCTGGGCCCTGCCTCCTTGTACATGTGATGAGCACATTTCTACCTGGTTTAAGCCATTCTTGATTTGGGTTTCTGATCCACACAGAGTTGAATGTATATTCTTTTACTTTTTGCACCAAGAACCTAGGACACCTTCACTAACATATGGGACTAAAATGTTGTTGTTGTTGTTGTTGTTTGAGACAGAGTTTCACTGTCACCCAGGCTGGAGTGCAGTAGCCTGATCTCGGCTCACTGCAACCTCTACCTCCCAGGCTCAAGCAATTCTCGTGCCTCAGCCTCCCAATTAGCTGGGATTACAGGCATGCACCACCATGCCCGGCTAATTTTTATGTTTTCTATAGAGATGGAGTTTCACCTTATTGCCCAGGCTGGTCTTGAACTCCTTGGCTCAAGCAATCCTTCCACCTCAGCCTCCCAAAGTGCTGGGATTACAGGTGTGAGCCATTGTGCCCAGCCAGTACTAAAACTATTTAAAAGGAACCCATGAGGCTGGGTGTAGTGGCTCACGTCTGTAATCCCAGCACTTTGGGGGGCCGAGGTGGGTGGATCACTTGAGGTCAGGAGTTCGACCTGTAGTCCCAAATACTTGGGAGGCTGAGGCAGGAGAATTGCCTGAACCCGGAAGGTGGAGGTTGCAGTGAGCTGAGATGGTGCCACTGCACTCCAGCGTGGGCAACAGAGCAAGATTCCATCTCAAATAAAATAAGATAAAAAATAAAAAGAACCCATGAGATATCAAATACTAAGCATATTAAAGAAAATACTGAAATCAATTATATGCAATTATTGATTGATTGCTTAGAGCTTAACAGACTAGATCCTGTGGAGTTTTCTTTCTATCTGCTAGACTAGGGTGCCTTGAGAGAAGGAACCTTGACGCTTTCCTATGTAAAAGTTGTCATACCCTGAAAGTGCCAGGTACAAAGATGACAGTCAATTCATGTTTCTTGTTTAATTCTCAAAGTTATAGTCTAGACATAAGTTACACTAGAGGATTAGAATATATAATAAAGTACGAATTATGTGATATGGACAATGAATCAGTTTAAAATATTTTTGAAGCCAGGAGACATGCCCAATGCTTTTTGATGTCTCCCACAGCCAACGTGGAGTTTGAATGTCTTAGCTCAGTGGTTCCCAACTCTGGTTATACATTAGAATCACCTGTGCAAGTTTTACAACAAGGGATGCCATGACCCTGCTACAGATCCATTAAGTCAGACTGTTCAGGAATGATGTGTGTGTGTGTGTGTGTGTGTGTGTGTGTTTTCCATTTGATCCAATGAACAGTTGGGATCAGGCACTGATCCACTTACATAGTTTCAAATATTCCTAAGCAAGTTGAAGGCACATGGCCAGCTACTAACACACCATTTTCCAAAGCATGAAGTTAAATCACAGTCTGTGAGGCAGACATGGAAAATAGCTAACCACTCCTTTGTGGAAAGGGCTGGGCCAGCTGAGCCTAGCACCACAATGTCAGTGCAATTCTGTGATTATCTCTTGTTCAATGTGCATTTTAAGGTATATATTATATGGGAGAGAGGTATTTGCAAATTTAAGGAGTCAAGAATATGTCAGGATTTAGTCCTCATAAATTTCATGTATTTAGAGAGTGACATAATGCTGTTTGTCCCACAGTATCTACTTACCACTTATTCTTGGTGACAGAATTTTAGCTGGATGCATGACTTTCTAGATTATGACTGCATTTCTTGGACTGTCTTGCAACCATATGTGCCACTGAAGTATGGTCTAGCCAATGGGGTGTGAGCAGATAAATATGTACCTCTTCAGGACTGTTTTTGCTCTCACAGAGGGTTGTGCTCAGATCCCATAGTCCTTTTCTGCCTTTCTGCTCATTGGAAGATAATAAGAATTGAAGAAGTCACTTTGACTGTGAGAGGGAAGTTATAGGTTGAGATGGTAGAGTCAGCTCACCTGCCCTTGCTGCTTACCTTGAACTGTTACGGGAAAGGAACATTCATCTCTATCTTGTTCAAGGTATGGTGATTTGGTAGTCCCTCTCTCTCTCTCTCTCAGAGAAAATAATGTTATATCTTAACATATACTTAATGTGCTCATTTATGGTGAGTTTGTATAACTGATCTCTTACTTTCTAACTTTATTATTCTCAAATAGAAAAGTAAATATATAACAAAGGACTATTGGGTATGGCATAGGCAGTTGTGAAATGAGTTAATATTGATATAAGCACACATTAGAAAAAAATTTATAGGGAAGGGAATGGAGCTTGGCTTTGAGAAATGGGCAGACATCCTTCAAATTTATTTTTGTTATATACAACTTTGTAAGTGACAGTTTAAATTATCTTAGAAAACAGACCAGGTCTTCAGAAGGCCCTGAAATATATGTCTTTCTTTTTCTGATGGGATCCCAAATGGAGTTTCTTGATTCTTGCCAATGTTAAGTCAGTATTCATTTTCACCACTGAATTTTGAGATATAGAGTGCATTAATCACTTGTACAGAAGCAGAAAAGATATGAACAAACTCAGATTGAAAAGTTGACTTCATGGCAATTTGTTCTCTGAGTCATATTTTTCCCTCCTTTTATCTGGGTTCAAATATGTCATTATATAATTTAGAAACAGATGTAATTCCTCAGCTACAGTGTCTTCTGCTCAATGCCATGTTGTTTCTGCACCTGGTATGACTAAGTAAGCTCTTATCATAGCTGTACTTCCTGTGGAAAACAACTGTCAACTCTGGAGAAAAAAATGTTCTGCAGGCAATGTAAAGAAGAGAGGAAGATTTTAGAGTGGACTTGAAACTTGGAAGAAAGGAATGTCTTAGGTTTTTATTCTAATGATAGGCCCATGTCAGCTCCACCTTGGTGACTAAACCCTGATAGAAAAGACATAAGGGTCTTTCTGTTATGAAATGAGACCACTGGGAAATGAAGGACAATCTTGCAAAAAAGATAGCCAAAAGGGGGAAACCCTAAATTTTGAGTATATACTCTGCCCAAATCTCTGGCTAATTCACAAATCATAGATGTGCAGGATAGACTTCACCAAAAGTTAAAATATTTGTATGAGATTTGAGCTGACATCCAAAAGAAGGTGTGCAGTTCTTGTCAAATGAAGCTAATTGCCCTCTAGAACTCAATTCTTTTTAGAGGACTATAACAGAATCCAGAGTCTCCACCATGTAATATACACAATATCCAATATACAATCCAATATTATGAAACATACAAGGAACCAAGAAAATATAAAGCATTATCAAGAGAAGGAAATTGATCAATTGAGAATAACCCCAAGGTGACCCTGTTGTTGGAGTTAGCAGATAAGAAATTTAAAGCAGCTATTATAATTATGCTCAAGGATGTAAAGGATATGCATGTCATAAATGAAAAGATAGGAAAGCTCGTGGAGAAGTGGAAACTCTAAAAAGGTATCAAATGGAAATTATAGAACTGAAAATTACAACAGCTGAAATTAAAAGCCATCACTGGATGGCTTTAGCGGTGTAATAGAATTGACAAAGGGAAGAGTCCATATACTTGAGGATAGATTAGTGGAAATTATCTGCTCCAAAATATAAACAAAGCATTGGAGATTTGTGATACAATATGAAAAGATCTAACATACGTCTAATTGGAATTCTAGAATGAAAAGAGAATGAGAATGAAATGTTTTTTAAATGTGAAGGAACCATATTTCCCCTTTTATGGGTAAATGTTTTCACAAAATGTTTCTCCAATATAGTGAAACATAAATTTACAGATTCAAAACATCTCAGTGAACCCCCATCATTGTAAATCCAAAGAAAACAATGCCTAGGCATATCATAGTTGTATTGGACAGTGACCTTCTAAAACTGATGTCCTTTCTGGAACTTCAGAATGTGACATTATTTGGAAATATGGTTGCTGCAGATGTAATCAAGTTAAGATGACATCATATTGGATTAGAGTGAACCTTAATCCATTATGACTAGTGTCTTCATAATAAGAAGGGAAGATGAGACAGAGACATGAGACACAATGTCATGTGATGATAGAGGTAGAGATTGGACTGATGCAGCTGAAAGCCAGGAACACCAAAATATGATCATCACTACCAAAAGATGGAAGAGGTAAGGAAGGATTCTATTCAGAGTCTCAGAGGGAAGACACCTTGATTTTGGACTTCTAGTTTTTGGAACTGTGAAAAAATAAATCTCTGTTGTTTAAAGCGGCCCAGTTTTGAGTATTCTGTCACAGCATAACTAGAAAATTAATGCACTCATCTAAACACTTAAACCAAAGATAAAATCTTGAAAGCAGCTGAAGAAAAAATACATTATAAATATTTATATGAAAACAAAGATGTAAGTTATTGCTGACTTTATATTAGAAACTATGGGCAAGAGAGTGCAACAAGATCTTTAAAGTACTGAAAGAAAAATATACCAACATAGAATTCTATGTACAGTAAAAATGTGCGAAATAAGGTGAAGTACTGACATTTAAAAAAAAAACAAAGGTAAGAGAATTAATCACAAATAATGCTACATTAAAATGTATGATGTGGCACATTATCAACATGACAATTAACGTGATTCATCAAAATGTTTTACATTTTGAGCCCCACTCTGAATTACTCAAACAGTTGAATGTTTGTTATGGACTGAATGTTTGTGTCCCCCCACCTCCAAATTCTTATGTTGAATTCCTATCCCCTAGAGTGGCTGCATTTGGAGATGGACCTCTAAGGAAGTAATTAAGATTACTGAGGTCACAAGGGTTGGGTCCTGATCCAATAGGATTTGTGTCTTTATAAGAACAGACACAAAAGTGTTCTCTCCCTTCCATGCGTGCACTCTCTCTCTTCCCCTCCCTGCCCTTGCCTCCTTGCGTCTGCATAAAGAAGAGGTTATATGGGCACATTGTGAGATGGTGGCCTCCCATGAGCCAAGAAAAGAGGGCTTAAAATGAATCCTACCTGGCTGGCACCTTGATCTTGGACTTCCTAGCATCCAGAAATGTGAGAAATAAATTCTTTCTCTTTCTCTTTCTCTTTCTCTTTCTCTTTCTCTTTCCCTTTCTCTCTTTCTCTTTCTCTTTCTCTTTCTCTTTCTCTTTCTCTTTCTCTTTCCCTTTCCCTTTCCCTTCCCTTTCTGTTTTCCTTTCCCCTTTCCTTTCCTTCTTTTCTCTTTCTTCCTTTCTCTTTCTTTCTGTTTCTTTCTCCCTCCCTCTCTTTCTTTCTCTCTCTTTTTCTTTTCTTTCTTCTTATTGGGATGGTTCTCTATTTCCCAGGCTGAAATAGCTCACTGCAGCCTCAAACTCCTGGGCTTAAGCAATCCTCCCACCTCAGGATCCTGAGTTGCTGGGATGGCAGTTGTGAGCCACCATGCCCACCTCGTGAGAAATTTCTGTTTAAGCCACTAGCCTGTGGTATTTTCTTATGGCAGCCTGAGCAGATTACTGCAATGTCCTTTAAGTTAAAATAAATTTTCCCTAAGCACAGCAAGCACTTCTATTAGTAAGTAGGAGGCTCAGTCAGTCTTCACGTATGCAAAAGTATTAATAGAATAGGCCTGGGAATGAAAGTGCCTGGTGTTCTATCTCAAACAGTCTACCCACTCAGGGAAACAGCTGTGAAGCAGACATAGCACTTCTCCATTGTCTTCCTTCCTCAGTGGTACATGCCTGGTTTTGTTTATTTTTTTCTTAGACTAGACTAATCTCCTTTTGTGCTGATCCTTCTCTCTGTAAAATCTCTTTTCTAGGAGCAATTATATAGTATCTTAAAAGTGTTTGGACACGTGGATCATTTTGGAACATACACCAAGAAAATAATCAGTGGTACACATAAAAAGGTTTTATTATAACTATTATCTTTAAATAATCAGAATATATTTATGTATGTGTATAATGTGTTTATTTGTAATACACACTGGTTAAATACATTGAGATAAATCCTTTTAATATAATGCTAAGCAGAATGCTGAGCACCTAAGAAGATGTAAATTATCAAAAATACATTTTTTCTCAGTGATAATCTGTGACTTTTTTAACATCTTAAAAATTTTCCCTATTTTCTACAACAGCATGGAAAATTAGAAATGCCATCTTTAGCAGCTTTATCGAGGTATGAATAGCTTGCAGAAAAGTACACACATTTAAAATGTACAAGTTAATTAATTTTGACATATGTATAATCTCATGAAACCATCACCACAGTAGAGACAGCAAACTGTAATATTACCTCTAGAAATGTCCTTGGGTCTTTTTGCAATCCCACCCTTCTGCCCTCCTCCCTGACCTTTTTATTCCCAGGAAAACACAGGTCTAACTGTACAGAAAATTAGTTTTTATTTTCTAGAATTTTAGATAAATGGAATCATACAGTTTGTGCCATTTTTATTAGACTTTCTTCAATTAGCAGCAAAATTATTTTGAGATTCATACATGTTGGTTTGTGGATCAATGATTTATTCCATCCTCTATATTTCTTTTTTAATTTTGTTGAGTAGTATTTCATCTTCTGGACATGTTGTCCTTAACCTGGGTTGGTCCCAGATTTTACCTGTTGCAAATAAACTGCTCTGGGCACCGTGTGCAACACTTTCTGTTGTTTTTCATGTTTTTGTGTAAATCTCTATTTCCGTCTAATATTTTTTCTTCTTCTGAATGACTTTCTTTAACATTTCTTACGGTGAGTCTGCTGGTGGGTGATGAATTCTTTCAGCTCTTGTATATGTAGAAAAGTCTATATTTTACCTTAGTTTTTGAGAGAGATTTTCCCTTCGTGTAGCATTCTAGGTTGCAGAGTTTGTTTGTTTATTTCTTTTAGTACTTTAACAATGTTGCTCCAATGTCTTCCCACTTGCATTATCTCTGATGGGAAATCTGCTGTCCCCTTCTGGTTGTTACTCTCTATGTAACCTGTATCATTTCTGGGCTGCTTTTTTTCTTTTCCTCTGGTTTGAATCATTTGATTATGATGTGCTTTGGTGTACAGTTATTCATGTGCTTGAATCTGTGTTTGATCTGTGGATTTATAGTTTACATTAAATTTTGAAAAAGAAAAAAGCTCAAATAGTTTTTCTGTCACTTCTCTCTTTTCTCCCTGGGGATTCTAATTACATATGTATTAGTTGACTGAAGCTGCCCCACAACTCACCGATGGTCTTTTATTTATTTTTTTGCAGTCTTTTTTGCCCTGTGTTTTTTTCTGGGTAGTTTCTATTGCTGTGTGTTCAAGTTCACTAATCTTTTGTAGTGCTCAATTGCAATGGATCAACCTAATGGACTATAAAGTTGTATAGTCTGGCTAGTAAGAACAGACACCAGGCAGTGTCTGACCCTGACCCTGGGTTCTAGTTCCTCTAATCTTTTTGGAATTTTCTTCACCTGGCCTTAGGTAGCATTTCTCACTCTCACGGTTCAATGATCAAGGAAGACTCTCTATAGAACTCAAACATTCTCTCTGTGCATCTCTAGCTCCAACTGCCTTGGTCTCCTGGGACTCCCAGCTCTATCCCTCTACTCAGGGAGACTGTTGGATTCTTCCTGTTTAATCTTTCAGTCTGCAAACTCCCAGAAGTCAGTGTGCTCAGGCACTTGTAGGGCTCACCTCATTTCTCTCTGGTCACAGGGACATTTTCAGTTGTTACTATTGTTTCATAACCTTGTCTGATTATTTGGTTTCTTCATGTTGGGGGATAAAGCTTTCTATTACTCCATCTTGTCAAGACACAAAAGTCCCTAGTGTAGTATTTTAAACAAGCAAAACCACCCTATCTTTCCCTCATATGTGACTTTTTATATCTTTATTTTGTAAGATTTCTTTAACTTTGTGTTTAAATCTTCTACTAAGATTTTCATTTCTGCTATCAAGTTTCTAAATTCCAAAGCCCCTCCTTTCCCCCCTTTTCTTCTTTCCTTTCTGTCTTCCTTTTCTTTTTTCCTCTCTTCCTTCCTCCCTTCTTTACTCTTTCTTTTCTTCCCTCCTCCATTTACTCCTCCTCTGCATTCTCTCCCTGCATTTCTTCTTTTCCTCCTTCCTTTTTTTCATCTTTCTTTTCTCATTATTTAAGGTTCTTTGAAAATATTTTTTTCTTGGATGCAATATCTGTACGTATTTTTCTGCCACTATTAATTATTGCTTCACTTACAGTGATTCCTGCAAACTTTCAATCTTCTCTAAGGTGGGGCTTTGTTTATTTATTTTATTTGCATCTTCCAGGTGACATGGTTTTCTGGTGCCTTGGCAACTGCTCACGATGCATGGGAAGACTAAACACTTTGTGTACAGCATTCTGTCTCATCCAGTGAAGACTTCCTCTGGATTATTGCAGCAGACACCTCTAACCTCCTTAATCTGTGTATGTAACCTAATCACTCTTTTTTTTTTTTTTTTTTTGAGACAGAGTCTCACTCTGTCATCCAGGCTGGAGTGCAGTAGCATGATCTCGGCTCACTGCAACCACCTCTGCCTCCCGGGTTCAAGCCATTCTCCTGCCTCAGCCTCCCGAGTAGCTGAGATTACAGGCATACGCCACCATGCCTGGCTAATTTTTTGTGTATTTTCAGTAGAGATGGGGTTTCACCATGTTGGTCAGGCTGGTCTCAAACTCCCGACCTTGTGATCCACCCACCTCGGCCTCCCAAAGTGCTGGGATTACGGGTGTGAGCCACTGTGCCCAGTCGAATGTTTGATATTTTTAAGAACCTTTTAGGTGTGGTTTTGCATTTTCACTCTTTTCATGCTTTAAAGCACACATCTTGTTACAACTCTTCCATGGAAAATCTCTGCCTTCCAGGGCTAAGCAAGGCTGTCCTTGGTGTGGCTTGCAGACTGAATTCAGCCAGCATGGTGCTATTTGATTTTACTTACAACAAACAAACAACTGTTCAGATTATTAGACAATGGAATGGGAATACCTTTGGAGTCACAATTTCTCCAATTCGCCATGTCTCTCTGTTGCTCTACAACTGTAAGGAGAGAAAAATAATTAGAAGAAGAGTCTCCCTCAATAGAGAGGCAGACATACACACCTGGTGATCATCACTGTGGTCCTGCCCACCCTGGCACAGGTGGGTCAGACAAACCTGGTCTGATTCTGATTTACTTTGCCTGAGGGAGTTAACAAAGGTTTCAGAGAGAGGGAATCAGAAAACCCTCATGTAAAACAGATACCATACATGTTAGATCGAATTACAATGGAGTAAACATTTCTTTCTTATTAATGTTGTTAGTGCTGTGTTTCTTGTCCTATTCAGTGACATGCTTTGACCTAGTAATTTTTATACGTGGACTGATTTTCAGATGCATGTGGGCATAAATTAAATACCAAGCATCTAATGTGGACTTGTGTATTTCTTTTTTTTTTTTAGACTGAATCTTGCTCTGTCGCCAGGCTGGAGTGCAGTGGTGCGATATTGGCTCACTGCAACCTCCGCCTCTCGGGTTCAAGCGATTATCCTGCCTCAGCCTTTTGAGTAGCTGGGACTACAGGCACATGGTACCATGCCAGACTAATTTTTGTATTTTTAGTAGAGATGGGATTATCACTATGTTGGCCAAGATGGTTTTGATCTCTTGACTTCGTGATCCGCCCTCCTCGGCCTCCCAAAGTGCTGGGATTTCAGGCGTTAGCCACCGCACCCAGCCTGGACTTGTCTATTTCATTTGGAGAACTTCAATTGATCTAAATCTACTTTGCAGCTTTTCATTGTTAATTTTGAATTTATTTAAACAAGTAAAATATTTAAGACATTTGTGTGGAAAACCTGTAACAAATTGCATTTGGTTCAATCCCTGATTATGTTTTAGATATGCCAACTCTTTTTCTCTCTTTTTTTAAAAATTTGATAAATACTGAAACCAATTCAATTTAGATCAAATACATTACATTTCCACTAGAGGGAGGAAAAGCGCTAATTTTGAACCTTTATGAGGGAACTGTGCTTTTGCCGAGATAATCACTTCCCTCATTACACACAAACTGTGTCTGGAAAAACAACAGTAGTTCCTTTCATTTTTATTTAAATCTCTTCTCTAATGGGAAAACAAAGGACAAAACAGGGAACACTTCTAGGTCAAAGTAGCAAATCTTTAAAAGTGGCTAATTTCTTGCTTCAAGAATTCTAAATACAGCCCCCAGGGTCAGAAAAATATTCAAAGGAAAACCTTAGTGATCATGGAACGCAATCTCTTTCTTTAATAGTGGTGAAAAATGAGGCCCACAGAGAGGCCTGCCCTGCCTAGGGTCATGTAATTTGTTAGTAGCAGATGCACGCGAGAATAGAAGTTCTGCAGTTCTTTTTCTAGTGCTCTTTATAATGCAGTATGGTCTCAGCATATCTGATGCAGTAAATGATATGTACATACACACACATTTTTTTAGGTACATATATATGGATGCATATGTTTTCTTCCATGTGAGGTAATGATTTGAAATTTGGCTTTAAGAGACATTCTGGGGATTTTATGTGTCCTTGTTTATTTGCTCTTAAAACCTCCCTACCCCCTCGTCATTGTAGAACTCTGGATGCACTGCTTATGTTGGATACAGCTAATGGGTCCTGCAAGGCCCAGGCTCTTGTAATTATTGAGCAATCGCCAAAATACTGTGGTTTAGAAAACACATCATAAACTTTTCTGTGGAGTCTCCAAAATTTTTATTAACATGCATGACATTAATGGTTGTGCTTATTTTGCCATAATTGAGGGTGTGTCCCATTTCTCTCAAATAAGAAGGCATTCAAGGGAGCTATCAAATTTCACTTTTGGCTGAACCTGGTCTGTAAGCTTTTCCAAACCTAATGCATTTATGCTCATCTTTGAGATTGAAAACATTATTTTCTGTGTTTTAATTGAAGAAAAAAAAATCCAAACACTCAAGTTCTCCATTCTGAAGCTGTAATTAAGAAAATATCCATCAATAAATGTGTAATTATTTTAAGCCATAATTTTTTTTCAGTAGGTCCTGTTGTAATAACTAACGATTGAAGAGTTTTCCTCATGCCTCCAAATGTCCTCACTAGTGTCTCTAGACTATTTCTACCTGAAGAGAGCTTGCATTAAAAATAAGGGTTAGGGTTAGGGAATTTGGAGATACATTTATAAGGTGAACTTTGGGTGGAACTGTGGTCATTTTATTAATTTTAAAAATTATTAATTCTTCCTCTTCTATGTGCATACATGCAAAGTAATGAATGAAGGAACTTCTGGCTACAAGCAGATGTAGGTACCACTTCTAACTGAGTTTGTGACCTCTGACAAGTTATTCATCTCTGGACTTTAGTTTTTTATTTGCAAAATAAGAAGGTCAGACATGAGGAGGACCAAGAGCCCATTTCTAGTGGGCCATGACTTTAATTTGCCATGATGAGTGGAAGTCACTTATAGTCTTAAATGCCTTATAATTTTTAACAGGATCATAACACAAGATATGCTGTTTTATGCCATTCTGTTACTATTCTAATAACTTGGGAAAGCATGGTATTGGTATATAATGTGTTCCATAATGCATTGGTTCCCTCAAAACCTTCAAGTAAATCAGTCTTTTGTAAAAAGACTTCACTTTATGTTCCCTAGGGAAATCGAAGTGACTTCTATGATGACTAAGGAGTGACCATTTCTATCACTTCCTTAGTCCAGTCCTTCATCTCCCATGAGAATCAACTGAGTCATTTCCTCCCTGATCTTCCTGCTGACACAATGCTCTACCGCCCCCTACAGTCTATTCTTTGAGCAGCACCCAATACCATCCCTACTAAACTTAATTAAAATCAACTCACCCACCTGTTCATCATGCTTAGGGCTTCATTCAGGCCTTGGTTCAGGTCTCTATTCAGCATTGCTCTTACAAGGGGCCTTCTCTACTACTCAGTCCCAGATAGTGCCTTGCATCGTTCTCCTCCCCTTGGCTCTACCTCCTTACTATTAATACCTACCTCTGTCTATGTCTATGTCCATGGCCATGTCTATGTCTGTATCACATCCATCATCATAACTGCATCTGTGTCTCTGATTACACTTGTATCTCTATCTATATGCATAGCTCTGCCTGTACCCACGTGCATATCAACAACCTTATCTATATCTGTAATATGCCTGTGTTGATTTCTACTCCTGAACTGGAGTCTGCACTCCATGAAGGCATGGACTTTGTTTTGCTCATTACTGTCATTTCAGTGTTTGGAACAATGCCTGGTATATACCAGGTTGGTGCAAAAGTCATTGTGGTGGTTTTGCTATTAAAAGTAATGGCTAAACACCACAATGACTTTTGCAAAGGAGCTCAATAAATATTTCTCAAATATTTATTGAGGTACAAATGTGGAACATTGACTTGAAGTGTCAATCAGACTTGACTGAGATTCGGATTGGGGCCCTTTTAGCTGTGTGATTGTGGACAAGTTATTTAATTTCCATGAGACTTCATTTTCTCATTTATAAATCAGAAATGTCATCATTTTTCTCAAAGGTCTTTTGTGAGGATAAAATTAGATATTATAATGAAAAAGAGCCATCTCAGCCCTGGCCAGGAAAAGCTCCAAGTTGAGGTCAATCTCCTTCTCCTTTCTGCTGTCTTGTTGAGAACATCCAGAATTTTATGCATTTTCTGGCTTCAAAGAGAAGCACACCTATTAATATTCACTGCTGGTTATCTTGAAAGTTGGAAAACCAAGACTTCCCAGCTGCAGGAGACGACATTAGATAAACATAAACATGACTTTCCACAGGAGGGACTGTCCCAATGCAGAGCAGATTTACTCGACTTTAAGCATGCTGATGGTAAATGTTCTCCCCCAAGGTCAAGAGCAATGGTGGTTTATTATTTAATTTTATTAGTAGACAAAAATGGGCAGTTAAGGACTGTATTTTTGCCACTAGAGAGCATCACCTTAAGCATTTTCCCCATCACCTGACATAAGTGACACTGTCTTATGAATTAAAACTTTGAAAGAGGCCTCTTTCTTTTTGTGGTTAAAAACCAAATACTTTTCCAATGGAGAATGCATCTCCCTTGGAAATAGTAAACATTCTAGTCAAGGAAAAGATGACCACTAAGCATCTGCTACGAGTTTCATACACCTCATTGTGCATATTGTTCACATCAAACCAAGCATCAGCTGCTACACTGATGTTGCGTAACCAGCCCCAGGTCATGTGGCTAATTACCCGTGGGTCCTGGAATCCATCTCATGTCTGTCTGACTCTGGAGCCAGGAAAGGGCTCCACCAGTGCTCTGTGATGCCTCAGGTGATGCAGAGCCAGTCTCTACTGATGGTTCTATCAAAAAACAAAAAAAACCAAAAACTGAGAGACAGAATCCCAAGTGTGTATAGTGTTACATTTGTGGAGCTCTTTGTTGTTCACTAATGGCTCCTTTATAAATCATTTCAGTTTTTCCCAGCTATAAAGTCACAAGATTTTATATCACTTTTCAGAGAAAGCAGAAGTTGTATGACTCTACTGAAGGTCCCAGTTAATAAGGAGCAGAGACCGGAATTCCTCCTTCTGATGGTAGACCCTTACTCTTTCCGCCATTCTCTGTGGACTTTTAGAAGAACTTTCATCCCGTAGTTACAGTCTTACTTATGCTTTTGCTGAGCATTTTCTAATAGACAGTCAGTCTAGCAACTGCTGGGAACACACAGAACCTAAACTAATGTGGACAAAGTCTCTGTCCTCGCACAGCTTTCGTTCTGAAGGACAGAGACAGGCAATAAACAAATAAATGTGTCTTTATAGTAGAATGATTTATAATCCTTTGGGTATATACCCAGTAAGGGCATTGCTGGGCCAAATGGTATTTCTGGTTCTAGATCCTTGAGGAATTGCCACACTGTCTTCCACAATGGTTGAACTAATATACACTCCCAACAGTGTAAAAGTGTTCCTGTTTCTCCACAGCTTCACCAGCATCTGTTGTTTCCTGACTTTTTAATAATTGCCATTCTGACTGGTATGAAATGGTATCTCTTTGTGGTTTTGATTTGCATTTCTCTAATGACCAGTGATGATGAGCTTTTTAAAATATGTTTGTTGGCTGCATAAATGGTTCATTTAATGTGTTTAAATGTACAGATTTTGTAACACTAAGAAGTTGCAATGCTATAATAACAGCATATCTTAGGTTGGGCATGGTGGCTTATGCCTGTAATCCTAGCACTTTGGGAGGCCAAGGCAGGTGGATCATTTGAATTTGAGGTCAGGAGTTTGAGGCCAGACTGGCCAACAAGGTGAAACCCCATCTCTACTAAAAATACAAAAATTAGCCGGTTGTGATAGTGGGTGCTTGTAATCCCAGCTACTCAGAAGGCTGAGACAGAAAAATTGCTTGAACCTGGAAGGTGGAGGTTGCAGTGAGCCGAGGTCACACCACTCCAGCCTGGGCAATGGAGACTCCGTCTCAAAAAAAAAAAAAAAAAAAAAAGTACATAATGTGCTTAGAATTTCAAAATTGTAAAAATTGTTTTGTTTCTTTTAATTCAAAGATATCTACATGCTTTTAAAATCAGTAAAGTTGCAATTAGCTGAAAAAAAATGCATAAGATATCAGGTGGTGTAAATACCACAGACAAGTCAAGTTCGTGAGGGGATAGGAGTACAACAGGGACAGGTTGAGGTTTTAAGTTGGGTGATGGGAGAAAGCTGCTTTGCTGGAGATGTTTGGGCACCTGATGGGAGTGACAAAGCCAGCCAGGGGATTGGCAGGGTTAAAGCAGCAACATCAGCACGATTATTTACAGCATCAACAAAACATTTAAAAAGCCGATTCTGTTTCCTAAATGTGAGGAGCTATCTGCTGCAGATCCAGTTGTGTTCCCTGAGAACAGGGAAGTGCAATGTAATGAAAGTCAGCCCCATTCCTTGAAGAAAAGTCCTCGTCTGAGCATCAGGAAATGGCCGAGCTGGTGTGTGATCTGCAAAGCGCATCTCACCCTGCCTGCTCTCTAAGACCCGGACAAAGCATGCTTTTGGTTTAAAGTAGTTTCTCTCAAAAGACTGCAATCTTCCTGGCAGATATCATGCATTTTTATCATATTTCCCAGAACAGCTCAGATTCTCAAGGACCATATACGTGAATTATCTATAGTGCAGTTAAATGTCATGAAGTTGTCTAAGCCTTTTTAATTAATAGGATTCATAAGTGCTCACTGGAAGTCAGTACTGTGGAATTCATTTTTTTCCTACTTGACATTTATGTAGCACTCTTTAACATTTGAAATATATTATCTCATTTTATTGTCGCAACAAGCCCATGAAGGAGTTGAATAGGAGATATATTATCTGTTTCTTCTACCTCTCTCCTTCCTTTCCTTTTCTTCCTTCCTTCCTTCCCTCCCTCCCTCCCTCCCTCCTCCCTCCCTCCCTCCCTTCCTTCCTTCCTTCCTTCCCTTCCTCCCTCCCTCCCTCCCTTCCTTCCTTCCAAAATGGAAAGTTAAATGGTATTTGATGGGAAGAAAACTGCTGGAATTCTACTGACTTAAAAATAACAGGATATACTTTCCAATCATCAAAATTAACAAACGTTTGTAGAAAATATAATGTTTGCTTGCTGAGAAGAGTCTGTGAGACAGCATCCCCTGCCATGGGAATGTAAAAAGATACAAATCTTATGGAAGGCCACGTGGGAAAATGCACCAGGAATTTAAAAAATGTGTTTACCTTTTGACATCAAAATTGTACTCCCCAAAGACATCATTAGAACTGCAATAAAAGTCAATAAACCAAAAATATTTATCCCAGCATTACTTATGAGAGCAAAACTTGGAATAAAGCAAATTGCTTAACAATAGGGAAAGGTTAAGTGAGCTGTGATACCCGGCTTTGATGGAATAGGATGCAGTCACTGGGGACTACACTGGGGGTATTCTACTCTCTGGAGGAGAGGTTAGAGATAACTTGACTTTCTGGCCTCTTACTTTTTGCCAAAACAGTCTCCAAATCCCAGCAGTGGGGGCCAGTTTGGAGATGCATGTAGGCTGCAAGTACTCTCAGCAGCCACAGCAGGCTAGACTTAGAGACAGGGCAGCTTCCTCTGTTTAGTCTGGTGGAATTTCTGAAGAAAGAGATGTTAGCACGAGGCCAGGCAGTGATGGCTCCAGGCGGGATGGGGTGGGGGTCCTGCTTCATGGAGGCTTGTTTTTCCCTACAAGGGAAGAATCTGGAGCCCAGGGTTCCAGGACCAGGCAGGTCATTAGCTCGCTGAATAAATGTGAAGAAACTAGTTTACCGCACACCTCTGCCATTTTCTCATCTGTGAAAGGACTGATGGAAAAGAGTGTTAATGTAAGCAATATTTCTACAGCTCCTAATTTCTGCTAGTCATAGTTCTAAGCACATTACAAATAGCAGCTTGTTAAATCATCAGGACAATCCTTCGAGGTAGGTAATGCTCTTCTCCCCACCTAACTGATCAGGAAACAAAGACGGAAGGAGGTTAAGTAGCTTGCTGATGGGGTTCGAAGCCACGCTTTTAAACTCTACACTCCACTGCCTCTCAATAAAAGATTTGTAAGTTCCCTCTCAGCTCTCATATCCAATGACTATAATTTTAGGAGGTGAGTTTTCAGCCAGTATATAAGAGTCTTGTTCCAATCCCTTAAACTGCATTTTGATTTCACTCGTCTCTTGTTCTTCCTTCTCTTAGGACAGATTTCCCATCTGAAATCCCATTGTATTAGTTACGGTGGATATGGGTCTGCACGCGGAAGGGAAAAGTCGGGTTCTAGCTATACACAGAGCTCATGAAAGATATATTTTAGCTCCTCGAGGCCTGCAGGAGCTGAGGGGGTGACAGGCTGGCTCTGGGCTCCCCACACCTGAGGGACCCAGCTACTCTCCAGGTGCTTCTCGTCACCTCTGCTGAGTGACTCCAAACTGTTCTGTCAGCCCCGCCTTCCCTCAGGCTCACAGGAGCCCAGGTCAAGAAGGAACCACAGACGTACTTCCTCCCCTGCCCCTTCCGTCCCCTGGGAGCTGACATTTCCTTTGCAGCAGTCCGTCCCAGTTTACCCAGGAGCCTGGAGCTCAACGCTGGGGTGAGCGTGCGCTCCGGCCTCTCTCCACCCCCTGGTTCCAGTCACCTCTCTGGAGGGGCATGGGGAAAATTATGATTTCTCTCCCCTGGGTGACTTCTGGGGGCAACTCCTGGGGTGCTGAGACTTTCTTTTTTCTCTCTAGATGAGAGCACCCACGCTTCCTCCAACTCCTGCCGCAGAGCTGCGTTTCCTCAGTACTGCTGTCCGCTTCCAGCCCCGCTCCGACGCATCTGACGTCATTTCCTCGTCTTGTCTCTGGACCTGGTTCTCCCAAGGCCTCAGTCCCTGTGTCCATGGTCCCTCTGTTCCTGGGCTCCCTGGAGTCCATTGGGAATCCGAGTCCTCGCCTTCCCATCATCTGCCTCTGGAATGACCCTTGGGTTTGTCTTTCGCTCTCTCTCCGTTCTGCCACCTTCCCGGTGCTTTAATCAGGCATCAGTCTTGTAGCTGTAGCCAGGACCCACCAAGCCACTCCATTCTCTTCTCAGCTCCCGGAGTGTGATGGTTAATATTGACTGTCAGCTTGATGAAATTGAAGGATGCAAAGTATTGTTCCTGGTGTGACTGTGAGGGTGTTGCCAAAGGAGATTCACATTTGAGTCAGTGGGCTGGGAGAGGCAGACCCACCCTCAATCTGGGTGGGCACCATCTAATCAGCTGCCAGCATGGCTGGAATAAAAGCAGGCAGAAGAACATGGAAAGACTAGACTGGCTTAGTCTTTTGGCCTCCATCTTTCTCCCGTGGCTTCCGTGCTCCTCAGCTTGCAGATGACCTGCTGTGGGACCTCATCTTGTGATCGTGTGAGTCAATTCTCCTTAATAAACTCCCCTTTATACATAAATCTATCCTATTAGTTCTGTCCCTCTAGAGAACCCTGACTAGTACACAGAGCAATCCTGGAAATAGCCTCACTGCCTCACCACTCCCCCTGGGAGACTTTTCTTTACTTCCCTCTTTGACTTGCACTCTCCCCACTGGGCCAAGCAGGCTTCCCACTACCGGGGCTCCTGTGCTACCCCAGGGACACTCAGGGTCTCACCCCTTAAGCCCGTGCCTCTCATTGTCCCTGCTCATCCCCACCTGGGCTGCCCAGCTTCTCCCACTCCTGCCTCGTGTTCTTTCAAATCCCTGATCAAGTTTGGCTTCTGAAATGGACCCTTCTTCAGTCCCCTGGGCCCACTCAGCCTTCCTTCCTCCCGGTGTTCAGGGGACTGAATTAGCCACAGTTTAACCTTTTGTTGGCCTTTGTTTCACATCTATTCATTATTTTAGAAATGTTGTGTTGTCGTGTGAAATAATGCATCTACAGGCTAAAAATTAAAAGACAGTGTAAAAAATATGCGGTGAAAAGTGAGTCTCCCTCTGCCTGAACATCCAGTGCCCATTCCCGGGGCTGACATGCACTGTTCCTTATGTGCCCTTACAGAAAATGGCCATGTGTGAAGTCACTATGCATATTCTATTTTTAGTTTGTTACTAAAGCACACAGCAGCTTACAATGCAATTTTTTTCTATACCTTGTTTTTCTCTCTAGAATATTAAAATATTGCTTGGAAAATATACATACTTTGGAATTATTTTCACATGAACATATAGCTACTTCACCTGTTTTCACATCTGTGCAGCATTTCATTGTATAGATCAATCTGAATTTATTGAGTGGATTATTGACTGTTGTTTCCAGTTATTAGCTAGAATCATCAGTGCCTCCAATGAACACCAGCATGTGTGTATGTGTGCCTATATGTGTGCATACATGTATTTGTGTATCCCTATGAGAATATCTGTAGGATAAATGCATTATAAAGTAACCACTGAGTCAAAGAATGCATTCATTTTATTTTTCATTTGTTCACAATTGATCACCTTGGCATCCAAAAAAAGTTACATTAATTTAGTCACACCAACAGTGGAAAATATCCTCCTGTTTTAATTTTCGTGAGTTATATAAGCAAACAATCCCATAGCACTGTTTTAATTTGTATTTTTTAATATAAATGAGTCTGTACATTAGCTTCTGTTTCTAAGCCTTTTGTATGTCCTCTGTCTCTTCACATACTCTGCTGATTACCCTACTGGGTCACTGTCCTTCTAGAATATCGATTGGTAGAGATTCCTTTATATATTTACGTACCTTTATATATTTACATACAGGTCCTGTGTCTTTTGCATTGTACAAATTTTCCAAGCGTGGCTTTATGTTATTTTTTTTCCTGAAGAAGTGTTAACGTTTTTTATGTAGAATTGAAACGTATTCACCTTTTCCTTAATGGCATCTGACTTTGATGCTTTGTTTAGAAAGTTTTCCCAATTCCAAGATACTTTTTAGTCTTAATTTTCTTCCAGTTCATGATTTCACTTTTTACTTCTATTTTGTAATCCATCCAAAATTATTTTAGTGTTAAAATATATGCTAATTTTTCTCTTCACCTATCTCTCATGAGTTATTTTGATGGCAAGAGCTGCATTTTGCATTTGAAATCTACTGAAGATGCAGCAACGTGTTTGGCGAGTACATGGCACTACATGCTTACTTGCTGCAACGACACATGTTCGCTTTAATTCGTATTAAGCAGTACCCCTACATGTAGGCACTGCTAGCATAGAGATAACTGTTGCTATTCACTGAAAACTTACCATGTGCTGAGCAAACTCTCTGGAAATTTTACCCATTTAAAATCCCACAACCCTGCAAGGTGTGTATTTTTATCTCTATTTAATATATAAGAGAAAGGAAGATCCTGAGGTCACACATGTTAAAACTGGTCTCACAGAAACAAGACCTGAACATAAGTTGTGTGTCTTCGGAATGCTGAGGTTTTCCAGTCTCTGTTCCTGCCAGTAAGGGTGGAAGCAGGGGTTGGATGATGCATGGATACATGGAGTAACCTCTTTTCGTTCCACTAACTGGAATTTATAGTCCTAAAGATTCAGTCTTTACATTAAATATTTTTCTGAATTGGATTTAAACCTCTTCACCATCTACTGAGCCTGATGAGGTAAGACTCATAAATGTTACATGTTGGCTTCTGTCCCGGTGCAGTAGATATGGACACTTCACAGTGATCATTTCCTCCTAATTGGTTGTAACTAATGCACTGCCATTCTGAAATTTGTCACTGACCGAAATGTACCTTAGCAAATGGACCGTGTTCTCCATCTAATTATAAATTGACACACACTAAAACACAGCTCAGCAAGAGGCAAGTGGGATTGAGAAGAAAAAGGGGACCTGAAGGATCTGCCCGAGTGGGCAGTAGTTGACCTGGTGAGCAGGCTGCTTCCTGCTAAATCTCTTCTGGGTGAGAGAGGACAGCAGAAAAAGCCTGGAGTTGGGAATCCAGAGACTGCTGGAGAGGCAAGCCAGTGCTAAAAGTCAGTGTGGTCTCCTGCATTTGCCTTTCCTCTTCGTGGGTCTATTTCCTCATAAGAAAAATGAAGAGGCTCCATTAAATCTATGGTTTCAAACTCTGCTCTGCAGAGGTCACTTGGGGTCACTGTAAAGAAGAAGGACCCCACGCTGGCAGAGAGCGAGTCCTCTGCTCCGACCCACCTGCACAGCTCTCTGCTTTACTTCTTTTATATCTTAGGGCTGCATGGATAACAATATCTTAAACACCAAAATTGGGGCTCTCCCTGGTGCCTCCAGCTCTGACATCTGAGATCTCCCTGAACAAATGCTTGTGCTCCAGCCACAGCACCAAGCCTCACTGTGCTCCTGCCCTGATGAACAGTGAGCAGGACAGACCCAGCTTGTGCCCTGCCTCCTGGTTTCCAGACCCTCCCTGCCAGCCAGGAGATAAAACAGAGGTGCGGGAGAGGTATCAAAGCCAAGACAAGCCAGTGGGAGCAGCCTTGGTTAGTCTTGGCACCCTCAGGAGCAGGTCAACACACCCTAATGGGGCAGCCAGCCCATCCCCTGTGAAAGGAACTCATGTAGCAGAGGGTGATGGGGGCACCTGTGTCCCTGTGCAGAGTTTCCAGGCCTGGCAGAGGCTGAGGACACATGCAGCACCTGCCTGCCCCAGCTGGTGGACCATGGGTTGCTGTCCTGGGTTGGACATATCCAGGCAGGGTGAGTGAGGGGAGCAAACATACTGAGAAATTGAGATGACACATGACACTTTTAGATGGAGGGGATCTTTGCTTTCTTTTTGTTAAACAAACCAGAATGTCAATGAAATCATCTTTCTCTCTCTCTCTGTCTCTGTCTCTGTCTGTCTCATCTCTATTCTCCTGAGCTGTGATTTAAGTGCTCCAAGGGTCTGAAGGTTTGCACACCAATGTGGTAAAATGGCACACATAGTATTTGTGTTGGGATTAATTCTCACTGCCTTGGGGCCAGGCTGAAACCCTCAAGCTTGAAAGAGCCAGACTTTGGAGGAGAAGCACACTTGGAAGTGAGAGAGTGAGAAGAAAATGAATTCAGAAAGATCTGCAAGGAACCTCATCTCTGCCTTTACAAGCTGGTGGGAAGTTACAAGCTGAAGTAATTTACAGGCAAATTACTTCACCTGTCTAATTGTCATTTTCCATATTTGTGCAAAGGTGATGTAGATTAGCTTTGGATCCCTAATGCTAATACTAGTGTCTACCTTCTAAATTTGTTCTAAGAATTGTTAGAAAACTACTTGTCTTAGCTAACACATCTGAAATATTTGTTCATTAGATGAAAGCAATTATTTTGCCCAGGTTAACATACCCTCTAATGGCTTTATACATGTGTGTTGCCATTGTTATTATTTAATATTGTATTCTACTTCCCCTCGGCAGACAGAACCCACCATGCGCACACGGAGTGTGTCAGCATGTAATTTCCGTAGACTCATGAAAAGGTCAAAGAATACAATTTTGGAGAAAAAGTTAAAATAACTATTTAAGTCCCAAAGGGCAGAAATTGAAGTCTACCTTCAAAGTCTTATCTTTCCTCACTGCCTTTTCCATGAACTATCCAGCGTTTAAAGGAAACTTTTCCACGTCAGAATTCAGAAGTATGTGTGGGCACCAGAGTGAGAGCTTGGGCTCTACCACTCATTTCTTTAGAAATGTCACTTCCTGTGGGTCATTTCCTCTCCTGAGAGGTCCACCTTTTCGATGTAATGATTCTGAAGTTCATTCGTTTCCAAAGTAAGTTCTTTGATTCTCTTCTATCTGCATCCTGAGTCCATAGTTTCTACATGAAAATTAAGAGACATGGTTTGACGAGTCCAAGCTTATGATGGAGAAAATGGGAAGAGATATTTGAAGTTGAAGTGGTCTACAGTTGGGACCTTTCTCAGGATCTTTCTGATGACTTGAGTTTATTGCTCAGCCTATTGTAATTCCCTACATGCCAGTTTGTATTTTTTTTTAACTTTTATTTTAAGTTCAGGGGTACATGTGCAGGTTTGTTATACAGGTAAACTTGTGTAATGGGGGTTTGTTGTATAGATTATTTCATCACTCAGGAATTAAGCCCAATACCCATTGGTTATTTTTGCTGATCCTCTCCCTCCTCCCACCATCCACCCTCCACCCTCTGACAGGTTCCAGTATGTGTTGTTCCCCTCTATGTGTCCATGTGTTCTCATCATTTAGCTCCCACTTACAAGTGAAAACATGCAGTGTTTGGTCTTATGTTCTTGTGTTAGTTTGCTAACGATCATGGTCTCCAGCTGCATCCATGTTCCTGCAGAGGACGTGATCTTGTTCTTTTTTTATGGCTGCGTAGTATTCCATTGTGTGTATGTACCACATTTTCTTTATCCAGTCTACCACTGCTGGGCATTTAGGTTGATTCTATGTCTTTGCTAGTGTGACTAGTGCTGCAGTGAACATACAGATGCATGTGTCTTTATGACACATGATTTATATTCCTTTGGGTATATATCCAGTAATGGGATTGCTGGGCCTAATGGTATTTCTGTTTTTAGGTCTTTGAGGAATCGCCACACTGTCTCTCACAATGGTTGAACTAATTTACACTCCCACCAGCAGTGTATAAGTGTTCCTTTTTCCCTACAACCTCACCAGCAGGCTGTTAGTTTTTGACTTTTTAATAATCACAGATCATCAGAGAAATGCAAATCAAAACCACAGTGAGATATTTATCTCACCCTAGCCAGTTTGTATTTTCTGTGTTGGAAATTCTATACTTCTAATTTTCCAAATACTCTTTCTTTGGGCAGTGTGTGACGCAGCCCCAGTGACGTGTGTGTCATGTAGTGCTGACACGTGGTGCTGTCAGGCTGGCTCTGGAGACAGGTACTGGGGCTCTGTTCAAGATGTCACCATTTTCTATGAAAACAAACTCATTTAAGACTGAGAAAATGTTTCCGCGAAATTTTCAGTTTCAGCTATCATACACTTAGTATCCAAAGATTAAGTTGCTCTCAGAATGCCCCCTGTCATTTTTAAATGAACTTTAATTGTGGGAAAACACACATGAAAAAATTACCATCTTAAGACTTCGTAGTTGTTAAATTCAGTCGTGTTAAGTACATTTCACAGTGCTGTGCAACCAACCCCTGGACCTCTTTTCATCTTGCAAAACTGAAACTCTGTACCCATTAAGCACCAACACCCTACCCTCTCTCTATCCCCAGTCCGAGGTGACCGCCATTATACTTTCTGTCTCTGAGAATTTACATCGTATCAGTGGAATCACACAGCATTTGTCTTTTTGTGAGCGGCCTGCTTCACTTAGCATAATATGGTCCAGGTTCATTCATACTGTAACACGTGTGAGAATTTCCTCTTTTTGAGGCTGAATACTATGCCATTGCATGCATGTTGCATGTTTTGTTCAAGGACGAAAGCTTGGGTTGTGGCCGGTTCCTGCCACTGTGGGGGGTGCTGCTTGAACGTGGTGTGCACCTGCTCTGCTCCCCACCCTGCTCTTCCTCTGTGGATGCAGCGTCTGCCTTGCCATCTCTTCTCAAACAGGGGATTTCGTGACCACCTTTCTGTCCTTTCAAAGAAGATATTTTTCTTGTCCTCATTCTCTCATTTTTTAAGGTTCCTTTTTTTTCACTTTTTTTCTTCTTTTTGTCTTTCCTTGTTTCTTCTGTGTGGGTTGAATGGTGGCTTTCATAAAGATAAATTCAAGTCCTAACCCCCAGAACCTGTTACCGTATTTGGAAAAGGGGAATTTGCAGACATTAAGCTAGGGATCTCAACAGAAGATCATCCTGGATTATTAGGGTGGGTGCTAAATCCAATGGCAATGCCCTCAGAGGATGCATGGAGAGCAAGGAGGAGGTCACGTGGAGACAGAGGCAAGGACTGGAAGCCATGGAACATCCAGAACCACCACAGCTGGAAGAATCAAGAAACAGATTCTCCCTTAGAACCTTACGGGGGAGTAGGATTCTGGCCTCCAGACTGACACCCTGATTTAGGATTCTGGGCTACAAAACAGCAAGAGAATATATTTCTGTTGCTTTAAGTGACCAAGTTAGTAGTCATTTGTTAAGATAGGCATAGGATACTAACCCTTCCTTCCTTCCTTCCTTCCTTCCTTCCTTCTTTCCTTCCTTCCTCCCTCCCTTTCTTCCTCCCTCCCTCTCTCCCTCCCTTTCTTCCTTCTTCCTCCCCGCTCCCTCCCTTTTTCCTCTCCCTCTTTCCCTCCCTCTCTCCTCCCTTCCTCCCTTCTTCCCTTCCTCCCTCCCTCCTTCTCTCCCTCTCCCTCCCTCTCTTCTTCTCTCCCTCCCTCCCTTTCTCCTTCTCTCTTTTCCTCCCTCCTTCTCTCCTCCACTTCCTTCCTCCCTCCCTCCCTTTCTGCCTCCCGTACACATCTAATCACATGTAAGTGTTGGGTAAAGCAAGCAGACAGCAGCTCTCAGGATGGCTGTGTGTGCTCCTGTGTGGATGCAGTGGGGTTGTTTTGTGCTGCTGCTGGGGACTGGGCAGGAACCTAGCTGTTTTGTCCACTGACGCGTCCTCCATCTGTTGCCTGATCTCTGGTCAGGGCACGGAAGGCGGGGCCCCTTGCTCTGTGGGCAGACTGTCATGGGCTCCTCCCATTTTGTGTGTGATGCCTTCTGCTCGGTGGGGCTGCTGTCCTGGCTCCAGGATCCTTTGGTTCAGCATCTCTAGTGACCCCCGTGTTTTCACAAGGGTGGGGCAGGGCAGCTCCCCTGTAGCTGATGTTGGAGGAAGGCACTGGGAGCCGCGTTGCCGCTTCTATAAATTCCCAGCCCAACTGCCTCTCGCTGTAACTGCCCAATGGGGCTTCAAGTCCATGAGCCTCCTCAGGGGGTGAGTGAGGGCCTGCTGGCTCTGAGCTGGGGTCTCAGGTTTCCTGCTTTGCTGAGTCAGGTGCTGCTTGTTGATGTTTCTCAGCCTCTAAACTTTTCTCTCTTTCTGATGTTGTCTTCTCTCCGGTTCCCTTTGTCCTTTAAAGTTTATGCCTTTTAGTTTTATCTCTTTGTTGTCATTTTAATGGGATTTTAGGAGGGTAAGGATGTTCAATCTGCCCTTTAACCCAAAGTCCTGAGGTCTTTTTATAAAAGCTAATTTGAATGCTTTGAACTGAATAAAAGGAAGTAGCTAAAATAAATGTTGAATTTGATATGGGAACGATAACTGTACAGGAGGGGAAATGGCAAAAATCAAAAGCATCCGGCATTATGATTGCTTCACAAGCATCTTGGAATTCTCATCCCACTTAGGAAAGAGAAGCAGGGAGTGGAAAACGATACAAGGCAGAAAAAATAGACTCACACTTGAAGAAAATTGATAGGTCTGAAAATTGATAGGTCCTACATAGGAATATACCTTTAAAAAAGAATTCAAATGCTGCATACATATATCCACCTCGCAAGGCGTGTTAGGGCTGGCTGGTGCTGGTGCAAGGCCACTGAGCACTTCCTGGCTCCTGACCTGGCACCTGGAGCATTTACCTCACGGCAGTGAACAAATGTGACAAAGGAGGGTTCTTCCATCCCCAGCCAGCTGTTAAACGTTCACCAACACATCACTGCATGTAATGTGTAAACAGATACACACACACACACTCGCATGCATACACCGCTTATAGGGCTTGAGTGTAAGTCCGTGAGCATGATCTTTCTTGATGACTTCTGCTTTAATTGATGTGGGCTTTCTGGCCACATAGGCCCTCATCATTCACACCTCTGAGGACGCCTCCGGTCCTCCTCTGTCTGTTTCCAGCCAGTGCCTGGGCTTGCACTGACCTGGCAGGTTTCTCTGCGTTGTTAGGGCCTGGCTCGGGGATCTTTTTCTTCAGGGACCCTCCTTGTCATTTTCAGGCAGAGTATGGGTCTCTCCTCTGTGTAGGCTCTGCTCGCCTCTCTCCGAGGCCCTGTATTCTGGAATCTTGTGGCTCTCTCTTGGATCCTAAGCTTCCTATGGCACTTGTGTTCCCAGTACTTGGCAGGGATCCTGTTTCTCAACAGTGCTAGGGGTCGATTAAAGGAAGAAGTGAGCACACAATGGTCCCATGGATCAAGCGGCAAATACAGAAGGAGGGCCCACCTTGCCCTGGGGTAGCCCAGGCATTGAGGTCGGCTTTTTCCCAGGAGATGCCTAGAAGGCTCAGGGGAGCCCATGCATCCCCAGTCTTGCTGACTGCCCCATCCCAGCTGGTCCCCAACAGCACAGCCTTTGGGCAGTTGGCACTGATTTCCTAGTCTGCGAACTTCTGTCCAGTGTGCGGTCTATGCTAGCCAGCTTGGCCAAGTCCCTCTCTGCAGGCTCTCCCTCTGGGGCCCCCGTTGTCCCCTGCAGCCTTTGCAGAGTGACACCAGCCAGGGCAAAGACATGGGAGAGGTGGCCGTGCAGCCCCTGCTCTCACACAGAGGCTGAGCCCCCTGAGAATGGTGGTCATGGGGAGACGGGTTGGATAAGCAGTGACAAACCATCTCCAGATGTGGTGGGGAGCAGGAGCCTTGGTCCAAGGTGCATTGACCACTGTTCTTCTCCCTAAACGCTCCATTCAGATTTTGAAGTAAAACATTGCTAGGGATAGTTATTTGTAACGTGAAAACTGAATATTAGCTCTGAATGGAAAGAAATACATGGAAAGCAACTTGCTGCTGACCTCGCTTTTCTGGGTCTCTGCCTAGCAGGGCTTCCCAGATGGCCTGCCTCTCACACAGCCGTGTTACCATGCTCACTGTGCTGCTCTGCCCCTGTGCTGCTTATGAGATGCCCTGTACAGCAGCAGATGGCCAGGGCCCCAGGACAAGGCCACCTGCTGCCACGGCTCTGGAATAGAGTGTGAAGCCATTGGAACCAGTTGTCCCTTGAGAGACATGGCACTCACCTGTGTGCAGGTGACTACAACATGTGGGGTGCCTTTGCTGGAGGAACAAAGCGGACCTTTTTGGGGGTCTCCAGAAGAGGCATTGGTGTTTGCCTCATGTTTTAAATCATTTTCTATAAACTCTGTTGTCATAATCTTTCTCTGCATCTTTCTCACTCATGAGTGCCCATAACCAGTCTTCACGGCCCCCTGCACACACAGACCCTCTCCGATGCACATGTGTATCTGATCTTCCCCACACAGGGCTACCTATGAATACAGGGAGAGTGTATTTCAACTGGGAATATGACGATAGCTAACATTTGTGTAGCACTTTCCATAAGTCAGGCATTTTGTAAGCCCTTTACCTCTATATACTCACAGATTCTTCCAGCACCTCTACGAGCTAGTAGCATTCTGATTCCCACGTCACAGATAAGGCCCCCGAGGTGTGGAGAGGTCAAGTCACTCGCCAAAGGGCAGCACAGCCGGGAGAGGCTGCGCTGGCTTGGAACCCGGGCTGTGTGGCCTCAGAGTTTCTGTTCTTCATGTCACATTTCTATCGTCATTCACGGAGTGTCCCAGCTGATTGTGTCCCTCAAACAGATGTAGAAGCCCTAGCCCCTAGGACCTGTGCATGTGGCCTTATTTGGAAATAGGGACTTTGTAGATGTAATTAGTTAGCATGAAGTAATTAGTGTGGGCCCTAATCCAGTAGGACTGTGTCCTTACAAGAAGAGAAGACAGAAGCATATAAGGAGAAGAGGGGCCATTGGACAGCAAAGGCAGGAAATCAGGGGGAGGCAGCTGTGAGTTCACTGTCAGACAGGGAGAGGCAGCTGTGAGCGCACTGCCAGTCGAATGACAATACAAATGTGATGTGAAGAACCCAGATTCTGAGGCCAGACAGCCCGGGTTCCAAGCCGGTGTGTGGCCACTCCCAGCTGTGCTGCCGTTGGCAAGTGACGTGACCTCTCCATACCTCAGATATCTCATGCCAAGGATTTCCAGCAAACATCAGAGGCTAGGACAAGGCAAGGAATGATTCTCTTCCATGGGTTTGAGAAGGAGCATGGCCCGGCTGATTTCAGGCTTCTGGCCTCCGGAACCATGAAAGGAAAAGATTTCTGTTGCTTAAGCCATCCAGTTTGTGGGACTTTCTTACAGCCATCCCAGGTAACTGACATACTGCGGGCTGCCCTGAGCCAGGTCCTTTCTCACTCACAAAGTCACCTGACCACCAGAACGCACCTGCAAGTTGAGTACATCCTCAGCCCCATTTCACAGATGAGGAAGGTGAGGCACAAAGTCACCCAACTTTAAAAATTTGAACCAAAGCTTGACTGCTTCCAAGAATTGTGCTCTTTCCGTAATGTTCCTTCAAATTCTTGCTGTGTTACTCTCATTGAATGAAATAGCTATTTTATTATATGTGCTAGTAGAACACCCACTGAATTTTCATTCTCCAGGGTAATTTCTTTACTCTTCACTTAAAATTTATTGATCATTTCTTATGTGCTAAGCCTGTTATGGGGATAAAAGAAGCTAAGAGATCGTCCTTTCCTTCAGGAGGTCATAACCTAGCTGGGAGACAGACCTACAAGGCACTGACAGTGCCATGGCGATATTGCTCCCGTGGAATCAGGAATAACTAATGCATGCTAAGAGGGAAGAGGAGACAACTTTCACGAAAGATGGAGGACACACCCAGAAAATGAGTAGCTCTTGAGTTTTAGACAAGAAGATAGATTTAGGAAGACAGCCTGGAAAATGGACTTAGGGGATGCCAGTGGGTGGAGTCATGGGAGCTCATGGTGCGAGTGGGTGCTGGTGGTGCCTGGTGTGGCTGGAGAGGGGAGAGGTGGACATGGAAATACTGCTATGTCCTGGACGCCTTCCAGAGCCACGCGAGGTCATTCCCAGGTATTCTGTTGGTCGGGCTTTTCTGGGTGCACTACTATCTAATCTCTCCTGGGGCTCCTAAGGAGGGAATGCAAGAGGTGTTTAGCAAAGAAGAGCCTTCAGTCAGGCAGAAAGTCAGGTCTCTGGCCCTTCTCCCCAGCCAAGCACAGCAGCCCCATCTGGATCTGATTTTTTCCAGCTTCCGCTGCAAGTTTTCTCCTCTTCCTCCTTTCTCTCTTCCTCCTCCCTCTTATTCTTATTTCTCTCCCTTCCTCACTCTTTCTCCTTGCACCTCTTCCCTTCCTCCTCGCTCCTCACTTCTCCCTCCCTCTCTCCTCCCTCCTCCTCCCCTTTCTCTTTTGCCAAAACATATTTTTGGTCTAATGGTCTAACTAAATAAAAAAATAGCATCCCTACAGTTTACAAATGAGTGTCACAGAGCATGACAGAAGACTTCCTGAGTAACAGAGATGTTCTAAGTAGCACTTTGAAGCTGCTCATTAAGCTTTTATGTCATGGTCCATTGTACACATAGATCACTACAGCTCCTTACGCTAACCTCCCAGTTCTCTGTTTTTAACCATAATATGTTCTGGCTCCTTTCTAGATGACAGTTTTTTGGTTGTCATATGTGATGACATCACTAGAAAAACTTTGACAAGAATTAAATTTCTATATCTGTCTTCACTGTGGCCTCTTTGACTACTGAAATGGCCCAGGGTGGGGTTCCTGGACCGAGCATGTGCAGAGCAAGTTTGGCCCTTCTGCTGTGGATCTCATGGGGAGGCCAGTTATCACATTCAGGACAAATCCTGGATGGGAGCATTTCTTTTGGGCCAAGGTAAGAACTCCATTTATGTGCTTCCTATGTTCATGTACACTTTCTCATTTAACCCCATAGTGATAATGCTAAGAGGGCTTTATTTTTGTTTTATGGATGTGGAAACTGGACACAGGAGTGCTCAGCAGTGGAGGTCAGTTGTTGCGTATAATAAGTGGGGAAGTGAGAACTGGAGACCATGGCTCTGAAGTTGAGTCTCTGCTCCCCCGCATCCTGCTAGGCCTGATCTTTTCTCTGTCCTCCCCTTCCTATTCACCCTAACCTGATAGAAGAGTTCCATCATTGACATTAAGAGCACTTTTCACAGCTAATCAAATATTGTGACTCACTTTGACCACCCCTTACCAGATAGAAGTTTCACACTGAAAAGGGCAAAAGGCGCCCTCATCTTGGTAACAAGGTTGGGATGGGGGTGAGGGCTGGGGGTGTGGAGGTAAAGGGGGTCAGTCCTCACTTCTTGTATTTTACCTTACAGAAGGCAGACTATGCTGTGCTTTGGGGTTCAGAAAATTTGGGTCCCTTATTCCCAAGTAAGATTGTTAACCCACGGGGACTTCTTGATACCAAGACCCCTAAGCCCATTCAGAATAGTCTGAGCGACCCTCACCAGGCAGGAACATTGAAGTCCTGTGGACAAAACAGAGGCTTTGGGACCTGCAGAGTGAGGTTCCAGGGACCCCAGCTGGCTACTCTGGGTGAGTCGTTTTATTTCCCTGAGGCCCCATTTTCTCATCCGTAAAGTTGGGAGAATAACACCTGTATTCCAGAAAAGCTCAAATGAAATGAGTTAGGGGATGTGTCTGGCCCAAAGTAGGCAAAAATACACTTTTCCTCCCGGTCATACCTGTGAACAGTGTTACAGGGAGGTCCCAGGTAGTGCATACGGATCCGACCTCAGGAAACACATGATCTGTTTAATATGATTAGATACCTGCTCTGAGAATATTCGGAATTACGGATTTGAGATCAGGAAGTTCAAAACAGTCTACATTATAAAATTTTTGCTTCTTTCCAAACTTGCCTACACAGGGACAAGTAATTATTTAAAGAGATATTGGGATTCTGAGTCCAGAAGACACATTTCTTACTCCGGGGCTTACTGGAAGAGGAGCTGGTTACCTACTAGCCACTGAGCTTTCAGGTCATTTGCCTTTGGAAGACGGCCCCATTGGACTGATTTCTCCTCATTGAATTTCCTGGTGCATCCAGTCCCTGCACATCCTATGCCTCCAGACCCTTGAAGGGAACTGGGAATCCGCCAGTGGCAAGAGAGGGAGGTCCTTGTCCATCACAGCCTGGCTATCTGGGGAGGAGGGAGAGGCAAAGGGTGTCCCTCTGGGTCTGGGACAGGAAATGTGACCCAGGGTGGCTGAGCCAGCCCAGCACCAGCTCCTCTCTGCATGCCTCTTGCCCCTTCTTTGTAAGGAGGCATTCATGAAATCTGGGAGAGCCTGTTAGGCCAAAGATACTAGCAGTGGAACGCGAGGCTTAGGGAGTGAGTACTCTGTAATCTATGGAAAAGAGATGTGATCTGCGTCCCTCCCATCCTCTGTCCCCACTGGGAGGCTTGGGGCAAGCCCTTTTAAATGCAAACACAAGACAGCAGGGACCAAACAACTTGCTGGGGCCTGAACATGACGCTGGCAGCCTCACTGGCTTTGTCCAGTGAGTGAGCCGGCTCCAGTCTCGGGATACAGAGACTCATTCATTTATTCATTTCATTTCATCCATTTCCTTTCCTTAACAGATATTTTCCAAACACTCATTGTGACAGCACCTAGAAATAAGTGAGCAAAATAAATAAAACAGAGCCTGTGACCCCAGGAACTTACACTCAACTGGAGAAGGCAGAAAGGCAAATAAACCCTCAGAAATCAATCTAAAAGTGGAATTTTGTGCTACTTTGAAAAACAGGCAATGGAGCTGTGACTGTCTAGGGAGGAATGGGAAGACTTCACAGAAGAGGGGTAAACTGCCTCTGAAGGAGATCAGGGTGAAGGCAGAAGCAGGAAGGCAGGCTGGACAATGTAGGGAGTTTCAAATCACTGGGTGGTTCCCACCTGGGCCAAGGGTGCAGCCCTGCTGGAGAGGTAGATGAGAGACGCACGGCAGGGTCAGATTCTGGAAACCTTTGTGAACCATGCTGAGGAGGTTGTTCTTTGCTCCCAAAGGAATACTTTAACAAGAGACACAGAGGAATAAATACAATTTCCCATTGAGCACTGAGTGCTCTGGCTAAAGAGTGGCCATTTACAGGGTGGGCAGAGGACCTGAGAGCCCAGCGAGGAGCCAGTCACAGTCTAAGAATGGCAGGTGGGGCTCGGCCCCCTAAAGGAGGTATGGTGCAGATAAAGGCAGGCATATTCAAAATGTCTTAACTAAAAAAGGGCTCATATGTCGACTCCATACTTTGCCCTTAGCTTTGAAATTTAGATGTGTGGATGTAACATTTGATCAAACGTAAAGATTGTTGTCTATTTAATTTTCTAGTTGGAAGTCCTTGTGGCTCTGAGCATCTGAGGAAATGATAGGAGGACATGAAGCTGTTTCTCCGATAGACTGCATAAAAATCTCATTAATTTTGAACACAAGAGACCAGACAATGGATTTGAAGTTAATTAGATTTGCAATACATGAAAATATTGCTCAGAAATACAGGACATCTTGTTGGCCGAGGAATCCCCGTTTATTCTATTAATCAATATAATGTTTAAGGTAAACTGATAATGACAATGATACTTCTTATATTTTTGGGCAAATGATTAGGTGGTTTGGGAAATATATTATTCCACGCTTGGTTACATTGGTGAAATTCATCAGATTCTTGCCTGTGTTGATAGCCTTAGATTGTATCTTGGCACCCATCAAATTCTAGACTCTAACAATGTTTTTCTTTCCTTTTTGAATCTTGACCAACCTGATGGTTAGTGAGATACCCCATACCTTGCCCTTACATTGACTGATTCCTAAAGATGCATTATTGTTATTATTATTTTTCACTTCAAGATCTTTCATCCTTCTTTCAAAAGTGGCTTGTGTTCATCAGAGAGCGCTTGACTTCATCTTTTTTTAAGACCTTGTCATTTGCATTCCATTTACCACTAATACAATCATTCTAATAGGTTTCCTTGACACTGGGCTTCCCTTTAGGTGTGTTCTGGCAGCCTCAGCAGAACACCTCTCTCTGTCAGTTTTGGTTGCTGCAGCATGACTTATTGCACATGTGGATAGATATAAGAGCAATTATCATGTCTGTGATTATTAACCTTTTCTTTCTGTGTTAGAGTCAGTTTAACCCAAGGCTTTGAGATGATTAAGCTGTAATGAATACTCAACATAGCAGGGAGGAAAGTGTAGCACTTTCAGAAGTGGAATAATGAAATCTAGAGAGGGAAGAGGAGGGTGGTAGAGAGTGCTTGGAGTTAGGGGACTGAGGGTGGGTTTTCTATTTTCTGACTGCTTTCCTAGAATCAGAAAGAAGGAGAGGGAAGAAGACCAACACAAAATAAAAGGTGGTTGATCTTCATTCTTTATGTTTTAAATTAAACAGTGGATTGGGAAAATTTGCATATAGTTTGCAAAGTGAGAGGAAAGGAGCTAAGAGAGGGAAAAAGCCTGAAGAGCAACAGAAAGAGCAGAGTTGAAGCCCGGTCTTGAGGAGCAGTGGAGAGGGGTTGTATGTTAGTCTGTTTTCACGCTGCTATGTGGAAATACCCGAGACTGGGTAGTTTATTAAGAAAGAGGTTTAATTGACTCACAGTTCCACAGGGCTGGGGAGGTTTCAGGAAACTTAACAATCATGGTGGAAGGAAAAGCAAACACATCTTTCTTCACATGGCGGCAAGAAGGAGAAGTGCTGAGTGAAGCGGGGGAAAGGCTCCTTATAAAACCATCAGGTCTCATGAGAACTCACTCACTATCATGAGAACAGCATGGGGGGACTGCCCCCGTGATCTAATCACCTCCCACGACGTCCCTTCCCTAACATGTGGGGATTACAATTCAGATTACAATTCAAGATGAGATTTGGGTGGGGACACAGAGCCAGACCATATCAGGTAGGGTCCAGAAGGCTGGAAGGAGAGGTTAGGCTAAGCAGCAAGACACATACCTCCTATTGAGAGAAGAGAGAAGGAAACAGATAATCTTTATGCAGAGAAAATTGATGTTAGGCTTTATGTTTATCCTATTTTAAAATCTAGGCTACTTGATCACTTTATTAATTTATCCTGAATTGTCTTTCAAACACTTAACTCAAAATTAGTTAAATTTTTGGTAATTTCCTTGCTGTGGGCTACTGGCTGTCAATAGGGGCCACTTGTATCCTAGAGCAGACCCTCACTGTTTTACCCAGGACTAGAGAGGGAGGGATGCTTTCCTCTAGGTCTTCAATGAGTATCCAGTGGCCCCTTTGATTCAGAAAGGGGAAAACAGGCTGCTATCTTAGTCTGAAAAGAGCAGGGTTCTTATTGTTGTTAAAAAACATTCTATATTGAAATGCAAATTTCCCGTGCTTTTTCACAGCCTAGAAATAATATCTTTTGAAAGCAGAGAAAGAAAATCTATCAAGCTATTGATTAAATGTGCAGGCTCAAGCCCTCCCTGGGGAAGGGAGGTCCACTGAGGAATGCAGGATGGGGATTTTAGCTTGCAGCACATGCCTCAGCTCCTCTTGCCTCAGTTTCCTTGCTTTGTAAAGGGACAGATGCATAGTTCTCTGGGGACTTGAGTAGAAAATCCTGCTTATGTATCATTAACTGAATGAATTTAAGCCTCCTTCTGGCAATGAGAAACTGTGAGTACTGGCTCAAATTTAGTGTGAGAACAATTTCTCCTTAAATTTTCCAGAACCTATGACTGAGGGCTAGAAAAGAGCACTCCTTTTGCTACACTGAGATATCCTATCCTCTTCTTCACCGATCCTCCCCCTCCTCCTCATCATGGTCATCATTCCTGGCATCTTCAGCTCCATGGTCTGTGGCCACAGCCATGACTCCCCAGCATTGCCTGTACCTTGCGAAGCAACCCCCTTGGGTTGCTCTGAAGAGCATTTGTCATGTCTCCTGGCCCGCATCACTGCCTATGCCTGCCACCCATGGAGCTCCTTGCAGGAGGCTTATTGCTGCCTTGGCCTCAAGTACCCATGGAAAGAAGTCCCGTGTCTGTGCAGATGAGCCAAGTGCTCCCGAGGCCACCAGCCAGGTGGAAGGGGTGCCAGAGAGGTGTTGGGATCTGGGCTAAGGCAAAAGAATGACCCAGTGCCAGTCTCCCCTGACCCAGTGCCAGTCTCCATTGGTTGGCCCCTAACTGTGTTTCTTGTTTCCAGACTCATAGCATTTCTAGCAAAGATCTGTCTTTCTCTGGCTTTCCCACTAACCACCAAGAGTCCCCCTCAACCACCTCTCTGTACTCCCAGTTCTCAGTTAAACCCAAACTCCTACCTCTTCTTTCTACCTCTCGAGTCTAGATAAAAGCTCCATCTGCATCAATTCAGACACATAACCCCAGTGGGATTGCACTGTCTACACTGGCAGCATCCAGGGAGGCTCTGTAGACTTCTAGCAAACAAAGTCAAAAAATTGGTAGTCCTTAAAGTTCCTTGAATAGGAAGAAGTTGTTTTCTGAACAAGCAATCAGAAAACCTGCACAGATAAGTTGATTTATGGGACAATGAGGTAGAGTATTTGTAATTAGGAGTTTCCCAGAAAATTCTGAATACTGGATTCATGCAGCTGAAAATCTTGACTACTCCAGGGAAGGAACTAGGCTAAGGCATGCTTGGAGAATGGGCTGAGTTTGGACACAGCGAGCCTTAAGACAACACCAATGATGTTGACATGCTGACAACATATGGTCATCAGCTACATGCCAGATACTGTAGGAGGCACTGTGTGTATGTTAACACCAACCTTGGTAAAACTGTCACAGAGCTAGGACCATCTTCATATGAAGCTCAGTGAAGTGATTTGCCCAAAGACACACTGCCAACATAGGGTGTTGATGTGATCTGTTTTGATAAGTTACAAAGCTGGGGTGCTTGTCACATAGCCACATGCGAAGGACATGTCCTGGCCGCCTGGATCCCTTTCATGGTCCAGGTCATTGTCCCAGGACCATGTGGTCTGTACCCAATAAGGACAACATTTAGATATCTCAGCCCTCCTCCCAGCAACATTACTGACTCCTTGTGCCTCTTTCTTAACTTTGGTTCTCATCTTGATGTCCAGATGTCCCCTGTTTTGGGTTTTGTACTTTACCCTCTCCCTCAACTCTGTCTTACCCTTTTACCTGAGGACACATTCGCCTTTTCTGGTCTCTCTCAAAGTCTCAAAGATCCACCTATCCACCTGCAAGAAGGTTCTGGCTCACACTGGATGCCTCTGGCTCCCGTTGCCACAGCCCTGGGTTCCAGGAACCAAGCCTGTCATTAGCCATGGTGGCCTCCAGGCCCACCTGTCATTAGCCATCGTGGCCTCCAGGCCCACCTGTCATTAGCCATCGTGGCCTCCAGGCCGACTTGCATTCTCACCCTGAGAGGCTCCTGCAGTCTCAGGAGGCATTGAATGTGAAGTTGGATCCCTCCCAGAAGCATCTAGAAAACAAAAAAACATAGAAAGCAGCCAGAGCTATGCTTGGAAGCACTGAAGTGATGCACTTGGCGATGAAGTGAGAGGAGAAAGGGCTGATCGCCCAAGCACGTCTCTGTTCCTGGACCTCAGTCAGCATGGGGAGCCCTCTGAGAAGGACAGAGGTGACAGTGACTGGGAAACAGTGTGAACCACCTTGGCTGCAGTTTTCAGTTTCATCAGTCACTTGTATTCCATGTGGCTCACATGTATTCCATGTGTCCTAGGAGGTGGCTGAGACAATGATGTCCTCGCTATGCCCCTGTAGATGTACTGCCCCAGCATAACCTGTGATGTTATGAATGGCTCACGTTGAATCTGACCCCTTAAATGCTGACTTTTAGCTTTTGCAGTCTGCCTAGTAGAAGGAGAGAAGACCAACTATTTCAGAATATGCCAATAAAATTGCTCATGGACTGAAAGAACCACTGGTCCTTTTGATTTATATCAGCATACACTGCTGTTTGTCAAATGTACTGAGGTTCTCTTGAAATTTCATGCTGTAAATAAGATGGCCTCCTTTGCCTAGGGAATATACCTGCCTCCATACACCCATTTTGATAATTAGTATAGTAAAATCAATATGGTGGAAACTGAGGGCCTGACAAGAATGAGAAATAGGGTGGCTAGTCCTCTGATTTAACTTTGGCATACATATTGCATAGGAGGCCCTTAGATGCCTAGGTAGAGGTGATTTTAATAGCTATTTGTAAACAACTGATAGATTACTATTTAAAAAACAATACAGAAAATACTCATGTTCTCTGTGGCTCCAATGGGAAGAATAAAGCCAAATTTATGCAACAGTTGAGGGTCAAAAGTTTCAGCTCAACACAGTCTCCATTCAGCGAGGGAGAGTTTGCTTTTGAACTGGGTGACCTATCAGCAGAGATCTCTATGCTGGATGTTTCTAAGATGAGTCTATTGTGGGCTGTGCGTTTGGATAAGATGACCTCAAATGTCACTTTGATCTTTAAGATGCTCTATTTTTTTTTTCTAGTCACATTCCATAGATGAGAGGACAATGATGAGCAAGACATGAAGAGATGTGCTCTGTTTTTTCTTCCACGTTTTTTAATCAAGAAGAGCAGAGCCACCGAAGAATTCTTAAAATATATACGTAATTAATACATTCATAACCCCATGAAGAAAATGTTTTAATCCCCCGTAATCTTACTATCCTCACATAACAACTATTTTAAGTTCTTTATATTCATATAAAACTTACAATTTTCAGGATGCTTGATTTTTGTGCAATTGTAATCGTGTCGCAGAGAAGGTTTGGTGAGAATCAAACTTTTTAAACTTGAATTCAGGTAATCGGGAATAGAATCATTCCTTAGATCTCACTTTAAGTGGGTAGAATAATAATACCAAATATTATAGTGCTTTCTAGTAAATGTATATAAATAATGAAATTTTGCACACACAGTTATGAATAAATCGTGTTAATCTTAAGATGTGTCCATTTCCTGCTAGCAATCTTTTTTGCTTAATGCTCTGCACTGCATATTTTTATAAATATGTGGTCCATACATGGGCTTCAGAGACACTGTGAAAAATGTGAATTTGTCTATGAATTTTTGCAAGGTTGTCTGTATGCTATTTTTTCCCCTGGGAGAAAGATCAGTGTTTTATCAGTTTCTCAAAAGAGGCTATGACCCCTAATCTCTTATGCACTATTGCACCCAGAATGAAGCCCAAACTTCTTAGGTAATGTATTCAACACCTCCACACCTCTGCACAGGCACGTGCACACACACTGTGCTCATTGCTGTAATCTGTTTCTCATTTCTCATCTCCTCTTCCTTCGTTCTGGCTCCTTTGTAGCTTTAAAAAAATTCTCTCTGTTCCCCCAAAAGGTTATGATTTTCACAAAAGGCATGTTTCAGAGTTTTAACAAATGATTCCCCTAGCCTGGTAAAAATGCTTTCTCTTTGGGGATACCATCCTCAGCTTCCTTCAACAGAGGTCCATCCTCTGCTGCCTATGAGACAGCACTTATCCATGGGGACATGGCTTGGGTGGAGTCTTATTCTACCAGGGAGCTGTTTCCACAGCTACTGTAGTGCCTTAGGGACTATAGTTGCTTAATCCATATTTGTGGAAGAGAGAAAGGATCTAACTAGATGGTCATGGTCACCATCCTCTAAGTGTTTTTACTGAAATGTACATCCCCTTTCCCTACCCGTTATTCAGCACAATCAGCAGAGCCTACCTCTACCTTTGTAAAATGACGAAGGGCAAATGGAGGGCAATTGGAAAGCCTTCTTACCTTCGAGAGTCCAAGCCACATTGCATCTCCTGACCACTCCACATGGCTATTTTAAAGTTTCATGAAGACTATTTGCTCAATCATTTAATAATTTGATGTGTGTTATTTTGCATGATTTTTGTACATCCTCAATTAACTTTCGATTTAGCATTTGTTCAGATACATCCCATTGGTTTGTAGTATTCAAAGCTCATTATCATGCCTTTTTTGAGAATAAAATATAATTTAATCATTACTCTTTGATTCATGTTGATGGTATCCATTGTTTGGGACCATGCTTTAGCTCTGGCATTTACAAAACATTTCCATTTCTTTATCTGGCAGAAACAGTTGACATATCTTCTACATGTACCCTTGATCCAGGCTTGACCAGCATTCCCTGAGGAATTCAGGAAGGGAAAAACAGAAGTTTAACAGTGAGGACTTGTGCCTGCAGATGGCTGGCATATAAACTACAACCTTAGAAAAACAAATGAGGTCTAAGCCAAACCTAAACACAAAATAAGCTCACTGTGATTGGTGGTTGTGTGTTTATGTGTGGGGGTGTGTGCATGTGCATGTACACACATGCACACTGGTAGTAAGGTTGTGTGAGAGAGGACAAGAAAAATCAGAGTAGCCTTGATTGGGAGAAAGCAATGGCTGGTTGTTCAATTGTACATTCTCTGTTAACATCTTACACACACACAGGTGTGCGATTGCAAATGTTTTGCCTTGCTGAATTCATCTCATCCCCTATGAACAAAATTGGTTGCTGGTAGGAGAAAAATTAAAGTCTAAGAATCGAATTGAGAACTAAGAGACTATGAGGAGCTGACTAATAGGCAATTGGGTAATTCGTGTGCCCCTCTCCACCTATAGACTCCTGTTTTTACAGAAGTCACCTCCTTAGAGTCCTATTATTACACAAGTCTAAAGACTCCTTACTAGGAAACTAGTCTTGGCATCGGTAAGCTAAAGCTAGTCAAGTGCTAATATTTACTGAGGATTCTAATTAGTGTTCTAATGCAGGGCCCGGCATGGCAACGTGATTGGCAAAGCTCGATGTGCCTGCATGTGCCGCACACTCGGATTCTTTCCCACGGTGATGCTGTGTGAGCCTAATCAATCTCCTTCCTCCCCTCCTCATTTTGCTTTTCCTGGGGAGTGAGAACAGACAGGAAAATGGATCATGGGCATGGTTTTTTCCCTTAGTATGACATGTCAAACAGTTTGAATGTCATTCAGCTGATACAACCTCGCAACGACGTGAGAACCGTCGTGGGAGAATGGCAATACAATCGGGATTAGGCTGAAGCTGGCTAGAGGGAGCAGGAAACACATTCTTTCCACTGCTCTTCTCATGAAGCTGCAAAACATTTAATTCAGAATTCTGGACCTATAGGATGTATAGGTGCAGAATCATAAGAGCAGTGGAGGTTGGTCTTTGGAGAGAGGACGCTGGGCCTCCTGTGGAATTTCGATAACCTCAGGATACTCTGTGGGTGAATGTGCTCTTCCAGGCTGAGGAAGCTATGCCTTCCCCACCACGTCTGGCCAGCTGTGGCCCAACCTCTGTTTCTGACCTGCACCCTTGACCACTCTTTCTGCTCTGGCCTTTGATGTTGGGCTCCACCGAGGCCAGGCCTCTGTTTTGCTTTCTTTTCACGTCTTGTCGATCATCTAAGACTCACAGCACTTGACTGTGGTGAGAATTAAAGGACATTATGGGTAAAGCACTTCTGGAGGGACTGGCAGTGTAAGACCTTGACAAGTGTCAGCTGCTCTCCCCAGGTTTCTCATTTTTAAAAATTTTGGTGCTAAAGTGCAGAAAGGCCCCATCCCAGGTCGGGTATTTGTGGCTCTTCTTTCTTGGTGCTTAGTGTCTTTAAAAGGGCATATGCTGTCCACAAAAACACATGGAAGAAGCCTGTAAGAAACCAGCTCAGAATGCTGCCGTCGGATTCCTGTCCCTCTTCTGATCTGCAGTTCCTGCCCTGCGATGAGATTTTCGGACCCTATCAGTTCTGCCCCTCTGCTTAAGAGAGTCTCTCCTGCACCCTGTTTTGATAACACATTTGCATGTACTTGTTTAGCTCAGTCTTTGGCCTTCACCCCTACACGAAGTCAGCTGCTCATCACCTTGCTTGAAAGGCTCAGAGAGCCACAGCAGTCTTCACCTGTTTCTATTTTTCTCTGATATAAATTGTAGACATTTTCTCATCTTCTGCAGAGAGCCCCATGATAATGTCAAACCCCCTCTTCCAACCAGTTTGCCTCTTCCAAGGCCATCTTGCATAGGAAATTTGGAGCCAATCTCTGAGAAGTAGAAACTGTTGGCCTCCATCTCAGTGGCAGGGGACTAACAAATATGCTTGCACTGACCCTGCATGCACACCTAGCTTCCCCAGACAGATGAGGCTGGACACTTTCTCTTCCTTCTGCACTTGCTGCTCTCATTGGGTTGCGCTTTCATTCTCTCCTTCTGCCTCTTTCTTGGTGATTTGATCATAAACATTGTGTGTTGGCTCACAAACCTGGGATTCCATCAGGCAGAATCCTGCCTGCAGGAGGGGGCAGGTGAGGATGCTGAGGGTGCGAGCATCTTCCTTTGTTGTCTCAGCATCTCTTTTTGAACCCAGGCATAAGAGAAGGCCCCTGTGTCATTGATAGGTAAGTTAAGACCAATAAAAGTATAAACATAACACATCTTAAAAACAGTGATATATCCTTTGTTTCTGAGAAAATACAGAGATGGCCTTAGAAAGGCTCTTGCACATAGGATGAAGCCTGAGCTGGTTTTAAAGCAAAGTGGTCTTTTTGATCATTTGAGAGAAGGGTGCTATCCTGGGCAGGGGAATGATATGAGCAAAGACAGGGATTCTAGAAGCTGAAACGTGTTGGGAAAGTGGAACAGGGAGCTGCAGGAAAAAGGAAAGTTGTTTGCTTACTGTGCATGAACCCAGAGTCTGCCACTCCCACATTCCCCGATCTTCTGGAGATTTCCTTTCTTTAAGATCTACATGCAGTGACCGAAGCGTGAAGCCACTTCCTAAGGGGAGCGTCCCCTTCTGTCCGAGGAGGCCCTTATTCTCATGGCCGGTGCTCGGGCCCCTGGATTCTTGCCCACCCACGTCATTGGTTCCCTGCCCACAGCCAGCATTTTACTCCTCGCTCCCCTCATTCTTTAAACTCCACCAACGCAGGCTTTGGAGAAACAGACTTTGCTGACATTTGGGAGCCATACAGTGGCCCCATCAGAGAACAGGCAACAACTTATGAATGACCACTAGAAATCCAGTCCAATCCACCACAGGCCATCCTGCCTGAGCTGCTCTCTCCTGAGCCTGCCTGACCCCATCACATCCTGGCCGACTCTCTCTCTCAAAACCTCTCTTCTCTCACTCTGTGTTTTCTCCTTTGTCTAATATCTCCACCAAGAGCAGGCAACAGTTTCTGTTGTTTACGATCAGAAGAGTTCATTTTTTTTTTCTAAACGTTTCTCATTTTGAACCAGTGGACCTTGACATTCACAGCCACACAGGCCCACTGAGGTCTTTTTCTTAAATAAAACAGCAACTTTTTCCTAAAGAGGCATTTGTCTTTCTTCTTAGACCACTGTTCTCCATCCTGGATGTGCATTACTGTCACCCGGGAACTTTTAGTGGCATCACCACCTGGGCTGCCATCTCTAGCGATGCTGATTTGCTTGGTTCCAGCTGGACTTGGGCACAGGCATATATTTTGTTTGTTCTGCTTTTGTTTTTATTTTTTTATTAATTTTTTTAAAAAGGGGATGGGCTTGTTGGAAAACATTCCCCAGGACATTCTAACACGCAGCCATAGCTCAGATCGGGAGTCGGCATCCTTTCTCCGTGAAAGGCCAGAGAGTGAAGATTTTCGACTCTGTGGGCCACATCAGGTCTCCGTCATAGATTATTCTTCTTCTTCGTCTTTTTTGATTGCTTGTTTTTAATTCCTTTACAAATATAAAAACCATTTTTAACTTGGGCCATAGCAAAGATAGGCTTTGGGCTTTTCTGACTGCTATTTTAGACCAACAAGTTCCATCTTTGGCCTTTCTTCATATAGTTCTATTTTCTTCTCCTTATGGAAAGTGGGTTTCAGGAGACTGGGCATTTTTAAAAATTTGTTTCCTTATCTTTAATGCAAAGGGATTGAATGTATGATCGCCTATGCTCCCTCCAGCGCTGAACTTCTCTCATTCTATTTTGTGGAGATGGCTGTGGTGAGCTCTTCTCAGGCCATGAGGCACGTGTGTCCTGGCCAGGAGTTCATCACAGCAGCCCACGAGGGGTGCATGGAAGATTCTAAGCTTTCAGGTGAAAAGATCTGGGTACCAATTCCAGCCTATCGTGTATAAGCCTCCCTCACTGCCCCATCTATGACTAGGATAATAACAGCGACTTGATAGGGCTGTTGTGAAGATTAAATAAGATGACGGAACCTGTGCAATAAAGTGGAAACAAGGCAGCTCCTTCGTCCAGGTGCCTCAGGTACTTGCTAACTGTGTGAGTTTGGGCAAATGCACTGCCCCAAGCCACGGTTTGCTCATGTGTAAAATGGGGATGATTATATCACCGCTTCCTTCAGAAGGCTGCGACAGTTAAATGGAGCAACCCATGTAAAGTGCGTTAGACAGAGAGGAGGCACTTAACAAACAGCTGCCATTAGACTTGCTGAGGTAAAAGAACCAGTTCAGTCACATGGCCCAGTGTAGGATCATGATCACGTGGTCAGAACATCAGCGAGAAGCTGAACAGTGCTTTTCTGTTGCTTCTCTAGGGTTTTTCCAACATATGCACAAAATCAGCAAAAATATATATAGAACCGAGGAGGCTCAGGGAAAATGACAGGCAGACATGCAGCTATTGCAAACCCGTGATGTGCCAGGCCCTGGGTTTCTTCCTGGAAATAGAGACATAAATAAGACACGGATGATGATCACCATCAAGGGTTCAAGGGCAGTGCATAGCTCTTTGTTCAAATCCACAGAAATATGACTCGAAGAAAGCATACGGTGGATAGAAAAGATCTTGCAAATCAGCCCTGTGTTCTTCTGTATCACAGTTCAGGAATGTCTCTTCTCCATGCAGGTTCATGGCACATCAACGAGTGTGACTGGGGAGTGCTGGCAAATCTACAGTTGAACTGCCTAATAATTTGTGGCATCAGAACCATGCAGGAGACAAACAAAATGACTTAGACCTTCTGTGTGATCTCACGAGGGTTGTGTTGTAGGGCTCCTGTAATAAGGTGAGTTATTATATCTGCGTAGTGCCGGGCAACATGCCTGGGCCTGCATGAGCTCCTCCTCTGTTCTTGGTCTCTCATTTGACATGAAGAATGAGAAGCAGACCGTTCCTGCATGCACTCACGTCTTCTGAGATCTATGGATCTCTGCTTTAGCTCTTCCCAGTTTACTATTTGATGAAGGAGAAAAGGAGAAAGGCACTAATAGGCACTAATCCTTTAACTTTTGACCAGTCTGTTTAACGACTAAAACTGCTCCTTGGAGGTTGACTTCATCCTCAGCATTTTACCTTTTTACTAATTTAGAAAACTAAAGTATAGAAGCTTTAATTTTTCCGGAGCCTCTGATCAGATAGTGGGAGAAACAACTTTTAAACTCTGGACTGTCTGCACCAAAAATCAAAGCCCTTTCACAATCCTACACAACTCTCCTACTTACCTCACAAGTAATTGAGCTTTAACAATAAAGAATATTTATAGAGTCCTTGCCTTGTGTGCTTACTGTATATACTGGAGTTTGTCATGCTCTCAGGAGGGAGGGTTTATAAGTGACCACACCAGTGCTACTTCACAGGCTAGGGAATTGCGTCACAGAGCAGAGTTTAGAAGCTTGCTTAAGGTGATGCAATTAATAGGTGGGAGAGTTAGTGTTTGAAGTAGCCAACGGGCCTGTTGTTTTTAAGAGCTGTGCTATAGAATCTCTTTTTGCTTGATTTTTGTCTCTAATCTTCTTGGTCTGGTCACAAGTTGCATCTCTATCGACAAATTGAAGCAGTTATCTAGAGTTTTCTGCCCTGGATTTTTAATAATTCATGCAAAGACCTTAGTCTGTTACTGAGGATAACATACTTGCCATGTGGAAAATGAAATAGGAGTCCATTCTTTAAAAATATGTGCTCCAAAGTGCAGATCCTCAATCTTTTCTTCCTGCATTCATCTATGCAAGACTTGAGACTAGGGAGACCCTATTTAAAACACTTGTTTATAGCTCCGTATCTCTTGTATTGGTTGGCATTCCCTGGTTAAATAAAATTCCCAGATGGACTTTATTTTTTCTTTCACCATTCCTCAAGTCAGAGAGTGACAGCACAAATTGAATGTGAGGCGTGATTGGAAGGATCCTCATTTCGTGTAATTTAGAAACAGAGACAGTCTGAATGGCTCGCTGATTTAATTACAGGATGTAAAAGTGGGTGAGACATGGCACAGCACTGACGGCTGATGGAGGCCTCCACTGTATATCCTTGTTTTCATCTCCCACAATTATTCGGACAAATCTTATGGGGAAATTTTGATGTGGCAACAGTAAACAGATGCTTTTCTTTAACTGCCAGGGTAAATTACCAGGTAATTTTGCTGGAAACGTGTGTCAATACAACACGGTCTCTCTTCCTGTCTGTGTTTCCGTCTTTCCTCCTTCCTCCTCCCTGTAGCCTTTCAAGACTGTCTCTGTTAGCAGAGAAATGGAGAGAAGCAGAAACCTTCTCTTTCATAAGGTATTTTCTGAGGATGCAATTTCTCCCTTTGCAGCCAAGTGGCATTTCTGAGCAGGATGTTAATGAGCCCAGTGCAGCCCTTGGTAGGCAGCAACTGACCAGCAGAGCTGGAAGTGTGCTCTTGGCTTTCAGAGATATCTCCAGTGATGCTCGTAGCCACCAGTTTTCCAGTTTGGTGGTGAAGCTGTGACTCAGAATTGAAGCCTATGGTAATTTTATCTCATCTTTCATTTTGGCCTCGGCCCTAAAAGTTCTGAAGAATTGATTTCAGACTGTGGAAAATCAAAGAACAAAATCTCATTTTATTCTGGAAACCATAGCAGGACCATCCACACCACTGCCCTGGCTCCTGACCTCATGCAACACTCCTGGCCTACATGCTTGGCCTGGCACTGCCGGCTGGTCCTTCTCACCACACCATGCTGTGTTGGTGACCTCAGCTGAGGCATTCCCTTAGCAGTGACTCAATGTGTTTCTTCAGTTTGTGCATTTATCCAGCAAGGAGGACATAGCTCTGTGGATAACCTATGGATCAATGACTCCATGGACAATGGTGGTTATGGACTAAAGTGTCACCAATGCCACCAAATGAGAAGCACTGGGATGATGTAGCAGAAGGAGCTTCCAGGGCAGCTGTGACAAATCGCAGAGGCAGTTGTCCTCATCTCACCCTGCACTTTATTTGCAGAATCTCCAGGATAGCTGACTGGCTCACTTTGCTTCCAGTAATTGCCTTCCTTCAGCCATCAACTTAAACTTGATCATCTGACGGCTCCCTCTCCATGGGCAGCGGGTCTCCCTAGGCTGCCACCTGTGGGCCAGTGTGGGTCAAGTCCTCTCTGACTGTATCTCTTTGCTCCTGCCAAGCTGTGCTGCAGACACACCCTCTGTCCCATGATTTTGGCATCCCGGTTCTCTCTGGTCCCTTTCTAGGGCCTCCCTTCCACCCTCAGGTGCTGTCATCATAGCTGGAGAAGGCATCTGGAGCACTCTTCAGGATGCACACTCTCTTGTTTGGTGAACCCCAGTATCTTTCTCTTTCTTCAAGAAGTCGCCAGAGTCTTCCATCCTCCTGGAAGCTTGCCTTAAGCTCTCCACCCACTTTTTTTCTTCTTCAGTTTTTTTTTTCTCTTCGCTCTCTCTTTCTTTCTTTCCTTCCTTTCTTTCTTTCCTTCCTTCACCTCCCCTCTCTTTCTCTTCCCTTCCCTTCGCTTATCTCCCTTTCTTTCTTTTTTCTTTCTTTCTTTCTTGCTTGCTTTCTTGCTTTTTTTTTTTTTCTTCCTCAGAGCCTCACTGTGTTGCCCAGGGTGGAGTGCAGTGGCACAATCTCAGCTCACTGCAACATCCGCCTCCCAGGTTCAAGTGATTCTCCTGCCTCAGCCTCCTGAGTAGCCAGGACTACATGTGCCCGCCACCACAACCAGCTAACTTTTGTATTTTTAGTAGAGACGGGGTTTCACCATGTTGGCCAGGATGGTTTCTTTCTTTCTTTTTTGACAGGGTCTCTTTCTTTTTTGACAGGATCTCTCTCTGTCACCCAGGCTGGAGTGCAGTGGTGTGACCTCAAGTCACTGCAGCCTCTGCCTCCCAGGCTCAAGTGATTCTCGTGCCTCAGCCTCCCAAGTAGCTGGGACTATAGGAACGCACCACCACACCTGGCTAATTTCTATATTTTTTTGTAGAAATGGAGGTCTCATCATGTTTCCCCGGCTGGTCTTAAACTTCTAGACTCAAGCATTCCTCCTGCTTCAGCATCCCAAAGTGCTGGGATTACAGGTATGAGCCACCCTGCCCGGCTTCTCAACCCACTTAACAGTAGCAACTGCCACCATTGCCATTTGCTGTCCTCATAATAATACTGTGGCATAGGTATTATTATTCCCATTTTGTGGGTAAGAAAATAGAGGTTCAAAAAGACTATGATTTGCCTAAATTAATAATTCGGTAATAATTGAAAATAACAAGCTTTAAGTGCTTATGTGCCATATAGTGGGTTAAGTTTTTCATATAGATCGTCTCATTTAATTCTTTAAAAACCCCATGTCAAACCCCATTTGACAGATGAAGAAGTGAGTCTAAGAGAGATATAATTAATGACAGAGCGGGATTTGAACCTTATTGACTCTATTTTAACTGCCAGCCTTGCTCCATATTTCATTTTCTGAAATATTATCCCAAATAGTTCAGTAACTGGCAGTTATTATTATTGTCACTTTTAAAAAAGTGTTAAAATTTTGGGGAAAAACTCCACTTTATTCCCAGTCTGGCCCCTAAGGCTTGTTCTTTTATTTTTAATTGGCAAACAATAACCCCTCTGCTTTCTTGAAAGGAAACTAGATATTGTAGGAGGCAGCATCAGTTTGCCTGCCTTTCCCAGAGATAAGACCACTGAAATGCATACTTTGTGCAGGTGAATACAGATTAAAAGCTGACTAGATGATAGTAAAAATGGAAATAAATAAAATGACAATTTGTCTCATTTCATATTTGTCTAATTACTCCAGTTGAGATATAAATGTGTCACAAAAATATAGCTTTTACTCACTCATATTTTGCATCTTAATTTCCCAGTTCAGCTTTTTCTGCCCCTAAGTATGTAACTCTTATATACTCCAGTGCTTTAGTAATAGCCTTATCCAAGCTATTGACATGAAAATAAGGAGTAATGTATACTCAATTGTACATAATAGGGTTGTAATTCCGTGGAGAGATGCCTGAGTGCTTTCCTAATGCCATGAGAAATTCAACGTGGAATTACAGGCTTGAGTTAATGTGCAAGAGTATCGGGTTGGTTCGTGTGCAGCTAGATGAGCTGACTTTTCTGCAGGATGCTACTACCAATGCAGCCCCTCTAGAGAGCAATGCTGAAGGGGAAGTAGAGGCTACAGCGAGGCCATCCACTCTTCATGATGCATTAGGATGTCCTGTTCCTGACATAGTCTGGCTGGCTTCATTACGCTCATCCTGCTACAAAGAATAAGACTCCAGGGATCTTCCTGGTGTAAAATGCATTCAATGGAGATTGACATTTCCAAATCATAACAACACAGTGCTCTATTCAATATGAGATATTTGTCAAGATTTTTATTAGTGAGTAGAAATTATGAGCTAGGCATTCATACTCCAGCAGAACATCTTGCTCTAATTATTAAGGGCTCTCATTTTTGGCCACAGTTGTATCCAACCAATACTAAATGACTTCATGTGAATCACCGTGCTAAGCTGTGGTGGTCATCTAGGTGTCCCCTGTACAAGTGTCTCAAAGGGAGCCCCACTGTGAATGTTTTGAGGGTACGTGAACCTGGGTATGTAGATCTGTGGGGGCTGGAGCAGTGTTGTTGGGTGGTAGAGCCAGAGCTGGTGTCAAGAGGAGCCAACATGCGAGCTAGAGCTGCATGAAAGGTTTGGTGGAGAGCTAGGAACGGATATGCAAGAAAAAGGATCAAGGATAGAAGATGAGAGGGTTGGAATAAGGATGGACTATGTATTAGTCCATTCTCACACTGTTACAGAGAACTGCCCAAGACTGGGTAATTTATAAAGAAAAGAAGTTTAATTACTCACAGTTCTGCATAGCTGGGGAGGCCTCAGGAAACTTACAATCATGGGAAAAGGGGAAGAGACACCTCTTACGTGGTGGCAGGTGAGAGAGAGAGTGTGTGAGCGAGAAGGGGAAACTGCCTTATAAAGTCATCTGGTCTCGTGAGAATTCACTATCACAAGAAAAGCATGGGGGAAACTGCTCCCATAATTCAATCACCTCCCTTCCTCAACACATGGGGATTGCAATTTCAGATGAGGTTTGGGTGAGGACACAGAGCCAAACCATGTCAGTCTGACATGCCTTAACTAGTCTGGGATTATGATTCATGACCAAGGATATGGAGGAACCCTGCAGCTTCCCTTAGGAGTACTTGATGTAAAGGAGTCCCATGAGGGCCAGGTACAATGGGAAGAGTGATGATCCACAAGAGTAATAATTTATATTTTATAATTTACAAAGTATTTTCACCTACATGATTTCCTGCAATTCTTACAAAACGCCATAAATTATAGGTATAGCACCTTAGGTCAAATAAGCTAGACCAATGGTTCTTAACATGGGATCCAAAAATATCTTGAAACTCCAAGCAGCCTTCAAGGTGGTGTTGTGTAGGCATTAGGAGCCTGGAGTTTGAGGCTGGGCCATGCGCATCCTGGCTCAGTTGTGCTAGCTGTGTGATCTTGGGCAAGTTACTTAACCTCCCTGGCTCAGGATCCCCATCTTTAAAACTAGAATCTAAATAATACTTATTATGATAATTCCTCCTAGTGTTGTTTAGATAATGTAGGGCCAAGGGGAAACTTCCGGTTTGCCCTATAAAGGTTCATTGAACATCAACTTTAAAAAGACAGATTCATAGGAGAAAAGCATACAAAACTTAATTTTCATTGCATAGCATGGAGAATCACAACAGAATGGTTGCCCAACAACCCAACGGGTACAGAAGCTTATATTCCCCTTTGCATAAGGGGAGGAGGAGATGGGGACTGGGGGCTTTTTTCTGAGGGGCAGCAAATAATTATTATGGAGAATAAATGGACAGAAATTAACTTGTAAATGATTCTTTTTTTTGGAATTTCAATGAGCCAGAGACACGGAAAGCAGGTGCTTTTGCGTTCCTCAGTCTTCTTTTCCCAGATAGACAATGAGATTTCAGGAAGGAGAAAAAAGCAATTGTGTTTCTTTTGGAAAGAAGCTTTCTTGATCAGATAAGGACATTCCAGGAGTCTCTCCATCCCTCCATGTGCTTGCTAGGGTCGTGGGTGAATAAGGCAATGTTAGAAGGACCTTGATTCTGAAGCAGCATATCAGGCCTCTCAGCATGGGAAAGCGCCATTTCTGAGGTACCACTTTCTGAGCTCCAACAATAATTAACTGACTTAATACTAAGGCACATAGTAATCCCTGCATGAGTTGTTCTCATTGCTCAATGCATTCTTCCTGCCCACTGCACAGACAAAACCAGTTCACTGAGACCATGGTACTGAAGTGAAGAAAGAGTTTAATGCTAGGGCAGCCACATGGAAGAACTGGAGTCCATTATTCAAATCAGCCTTTCCAAGAGCTCAGAGGTTGGGTTTTTATAGCCAATTTGGTAGACAGGAGTGCTGCTGATTGGCTGGGAGTCAGTCATAGGGGCGTGGAAAGTGGTCCTCATGTGCTGAGGTCCTCAGCTTCTGGGTGGAGACCACAGGACTGGTTGAGTCATGAGTCACAGGTTCATAGTTGATTACTAGAACCAAAAATCATGGAGTTGATTGCTAGAATGTAGAAATCTAAACAATATCTCAAAATACCAATCTTAGGTTCTACAATGGTGATGTTATCTGTAGAAGCAATTGGGGAAGTCACAGATCTCGTGACCTCTGGCCATATGACTCCTGAGCAGTAAGGGATTGTAGAAACTATGCCTACACTTGAGAAGAACTCAAGCCTCTCCCATAATCCTAATCTCATGGCCTTTTGTTAGTTTTCACTCACTGAGCAAGGAGGGGGTTAGTTTTAGGGAGGGACTATTTTCCTTGCATCCAAGTTAAACGATCAACTAAATTCCTCCCATGGTTAGCTTGGTCTATACCCAGGAGTGAGTGCGGATAGCCAGCCTGTAAGGCTAGAAGCGAGAGGGAGTAAGCCATGCTAGACCTCTGTCCTGTCATCATCTTCTTATGCAGAGGCAGTTTCAGTCTGAGGAGTTTCCAAGCCATGAGTGCAACTGTTGGAATCAAAGCCCATGTCATCTTTCTGTTTCTCATCAGAGAGGCTGAGTCAACTTCAGGGTAGGGGCAGTGTTTGAAAAGGGCCTTGAAGGATCCTTCAGATTTGGAAAAGGGGAGATATGGGATGCAGAAAGGGAGTGGGATAATAGGAGACAGGGATTGCAGGGATTTGCTGAGGGTGGTCCTTTAGCAAAACCCAGAGATGTGAAAGTGACCTTCAAAGATGTGGGAGTCATCTGTGCTGGTTTGGGATGCAAGAGAGAGGAGAGAGTAGGGGAGCAGGCACCTTTTCTTTTCCTTCTTATTTTCTACTTTGCTTCTCTCTCAGTGTCGTGATTTCATATCTCCTGCAAACATAACCCATCCTCCTAGGTCTTTGGCTTTAGATTATGAAGGGAGTGAGGGGTGTTTATGTGTGATGGGAAACTGAGAGAGCAATGGGACTTGATAATTTATTCCAAGTTCAAGTTGCAATGGAAGGAGGCACTGGGACAAGGCTCCCGGGCTTCTGCTGTGTACGTATTTTTCCGAAAAATAAGTCTTGGCATGGTCAGGGTGTCAGGGCCCCTCAACATGTGGCCTTGTGCTCCTAGGGAGGGGCTGGCCCTCCCCTGGCTGGGCTGCTGCCATCTGGACCAGTCATGTTCACACATGGGCTTTGGAGGTCTAGTCCTCAGCCGGTGTGTATTAGGTCACTTTTGCACTGCTATATAGAAATACCTGAGGCTGGGTAATTTATAAAGAAAAGAGATTTAATTGGCTCATGATTCTATAGGCTGTATATAGAAAACATAGCACTGGCATTGCTTCTGGGGAGGCCTCAAGAAGCTTAAAATCATGAAGGGAGTTGAATGGGGAGCAGGTGCATCACAGGGCGATAGCAGGAGCAAGAGAGCACGGGGGAGGTGCCACACACTCGCAAGAACTCACTGACTTATTGTGAGGACAGGACCAAGGGGATACTGCTAAACTATTTACAATAAATCTATCTCCATGGTCCAATCACCTCCCACCAGGCCCCACCTCCAATACTGGGGATTAAAATTCAACATGAGATTTGGCGGGAACATGTATTCAAACTATATCACCATGTGAGCTCAGAAGGCCCCTGTGTGGAGCCAGCTGCAGCAGATGCAAACTCCCTGTCCCTGGCCCTTTCCTTGGGCCTTCCCTTCCCACTTGGCCCATATCCTGCCTCCCTGCTTCCTCCTCACTGTGCTTTCACACAGGACTGTGGGGAGGGCTATGCGTCAGGGCTGCGTATACACTGCAGATGTTCATCCCAAACAGAACCCTAGGAACAGTCATGAACAGATGCTGTCTATCTGGGTATTGGCCAAGTATAATGGCTAAGTTTGTGTATCAACTTGACGGGGCTAAGAGATGCCCAGAGAGCTGGTAAAACTGTATTTCTGGGTGTGTCTGTGAGGGTGTTTCCAGAAGAGATTCACCTTCAGATTGGTGAACTGTGTAAAGAAGACCCAGCCTCACCAAAGCGGATGGGCATCAGGCAATCCATTGAGGGCCTGGCTAGAGCAAAAAGGAAGAGGTAGGGTGAGTTCCCTCTCTCTGCTTAAGTTGAGTCATCCATCCTCTGTCGTCCTTATGCATTGGAGCTCCTGGTTCATGGGCCTTCGAACTCAGAGTCTTACACCAGTGTCCCCCCAATTCTCAGGCCTTCAGACTCGACTGAGAGTTACACCATTGCCCCATCCCCCAACCATCTACCCATTTATCAGTACTCAGGCCTTTGAACTCAGACTGAATTACCTCATGATCTCATGAGTCCATTCTAATAATCAATCAGTCTGTCTACATTTATCTATCCATCCATCTATATCTATCTATCTATCTATCTATCTATCTATCTATCTATCTATCTATCTCTATATAGCTATCATCTGTATTAGTCTGTTCTCATGCTGCTTATAAAGACATACCTGAGACTGGGTAATTTATAAAGGAAAGAGGCTTAATTGACTCACACTTTAATTAGCTGGGGAGGTCTCACAATCATGGTGGAAGGCAAAGAGGAGAAAAATCTCATCTTACGTGGTGGCAGGAAAGAGGGCATGTGCAGGGGAGCTCCCTTTTATAAAACCATCAGATCTCGTGGGACTTATTCACTATCATGAGAACAGCCTGGGAAAAACCCACCCCCATGATTCAGTTACCTTCCACTGGGTCTCTCCCACAACCCATGAGAAATATTACAATTCAAGGTGAGATTTGAGCGGGGAAACAGAGCCAAACCATATCATCCTCTATCTTTCTTATTGCTTCTGTTTCTCTGGAGAACCCTGACTGACATGCAAAGTTCAAGCTGTATGGATTAAGTCCTCTTAATTGCCTTCATCATGTTTGCCCAGATTGCCTCAAGCAATGATTTCATAATCTTTGTTGGTAAATGAGGTAATCCTTGGCGGGAAGTTTTAGCCTTACTGCCTGAATTTTCTTCTCAAATGCTGTATTGTCCCTTTTCTGCTGTTTGCCACCATTTTAGCTAACTCTTCTTGACATTTTAGAGTTTATACTGTGAGCTTTTACAGGGAGGAGAGGTTCCTCCCTTCTCTTTATCTCTCCTGGGGTCATATTTGTAACTTAGCCTGTGAGAAAACCACCTCTTCTTCCTATAGCACTCTAAATTTTTCAAGTGTGTTAACATCTTCCCTTGGGAAGATGCATGAGGCAGTGGAGCACAACATTTTAAGGAGGTATAAAAGGTGGTCCACAGATCCGTGGCCAAGCTTATCTGTTTCCCTGCTTTTTCCTGTGTGACTTTACATAGGTGATTTAATTTCACTTTCCTTGTATGTCAAATTAAAACAAAAGCAATTTTACCACCTTGCATTGCAGTGCAGAGCAAGTGAGAGGCTACATGGAAACCATGCACGCAGGTTGACACACACTGAGCCAGCACTGCACACCGTGGTCCCTTCCCTTCTCCTGCATCTTCACTGGTGTGCCCTCATGCTTCCTCTTTCTCACTCTCTTTTTCTCTCTGGTTTTTATCAGTTTGTTTCTGTATAGCTGAGGAATAATGATAAAGCACTAATCTACCATTTCACTCAAGTGTAAAGCCAGAAAATCTGTTCTTACACTGATATACCAGTTCCTTATATTGATATGCTGATTTATTACATTTGTTAAATATTTTATAATTTGCAAATGCACTCATTTCTTTGCTTATTCATTGAACTCTTCATTCAACAGAGGGTTTATGTTTGCACTGTGCCTGGCATCTGCTTCCTTACGGTACCTGGCAACACCTTCTGAAGTGCCAGAGTGAGGACGTTCCCTTTGCAAGTGTGGATGCCCAGATGAGGGATGCCTCAAGGTCACGCAGGACGTGAGGTCGGCTCTTCTGACTCTTGGTGCGGTGCTCTTTCATCTCCTACAGGCTTAGTGAATCTCAGTTAGCGTCAGAGAGCACATTGGTCAGGGAACCAGGGGAAGCTAAGTGCCCTATAAAAAGCCTGTGTGCCTCCCAAGGAATCCTCTTTTCATTGGAATGATTTACAGTGGGATTTTCATTCTAAAAACCTGCCACCTCCTGAATGATATTTGTAAAATGTTTAACCCCATGGGGATTCCTTCTGGTATGCAGGAGAAGGTACCATAAATTGTTCTGTTTTCTTTTTCAAATGGGAAGACATTAATTATGTTCTAAGAGGTATGCCAAACTAAGTGCACAGGAAAATGCATTTATAGTGAACATTTTGACTAAAAAATGCAATAGACCAGCAAGGTTACTATTTCTCTCTGTCCAGAGTTCCCTGGAGAGTGACTGGAGCTCCTGGCTGGGTCATAGGCCAACTAGGCTAATTTCCGGAGGTTTCTGAGCAGGAGGTGCAGTGCCTGAGTGCAGATGGAGCCTGATGGGAAGGAGGAGGGGAGGTGCTCAGGTGCACGCTGGCACATACCCGCTATCCAGTCAGAGAAGCCAGGTCTACTAACAACCAAAGAACAACCTTGGCCCCCGAGAGGAGGAAGCAAGGCCCGCGTGAGAGCCTGGTACAACAGCACGAGGGACGGGGTTGGCCAGCATTCTCGGGCTGCTTACCTGGGCATCCGGCCCGGAGGGCTAAAGTGGCCTTTGCTGCACCCACTTTGCTAAGTGGTTGTTGTGAAATTTGATGGTAACTCGCGGGCACAGAATTTAGGACAACCTGTTCCTCTTTTTGGATGAAGCTGAATTTATTCACGTGCCACTTTGAGAAAACAGAAAAAGCACAAAGGTCCCAGAAAAAATTGTTCTTTCTTCCCTAAAATCTCCTGAAATACTCCGCAAACATGAATCGTAAAGCCACCCTATCAGGGAACTGGATGCATCTCCAGGAGACAGCCCTGCTTCCCAGTCCTAAATGTGATGCTGATGCTTGTCTCCCAGGGAGGAGCTGGGAAAGACCACATTTCCCGAGGTCCACATTTCCATTGATTCTAGACAAGTAAGTGGAAGGAATAAGGACGGACGGGGTTACCAGGCCTGGGTTCTCGCCCGGTCTCAGTGCTGTGGGAAGTAAAATCAGTCCTTTATATGGGTCTCCTAGGGGCCGACTGTGGGCTTGGTACTGACACGTGGTAATTTATTCAGCACTAACTCCAATCCCACAAGTTAAGAATTGTTATCCCTGCTGTGCTGTTGGTCAACCGGACTCAGATCAGTTTCCATACAGCACGTGTTTGACAGGCGTGTGTTAACTGGGGAAATGGGTAACCCAAGGGTTAGCAAGAAGAGGGGGTGTGACACCCCCTGGGCTCCCACCTTACAGCAGTATGCTGGCCCGGACTCTACGGCATGTGCAGCGTGTGTGGTATGTGTGTATTGTGTGTTTGTGTGTGTATTGTGTGCATGTGTTGTATGTACGTATATGTGGTATATGTGTGCATATGTGTGTGGTGTGTATGTATTGCATATGTGTGTGTACGGATGTACATATATGTGTGTATATGTGTGCATGTGCATATATATAGTGTATAAATTGTGTATGTGTGTATAGTGTGTATATTGGGTATGTGTGTATATTGTTGTGTAGAGAGTGTGTGTGTGTATTGTGTGTATATGTTGGTGTGCACATGTGTGCTTGCCAAGGAAGGGGCCGCTCTCCACTGCCCTATCCCCAGGTGCAAGTATAAGGAGGACTGAGATGCTTGGAGTTAACAGGGAAGGGTCTGACCCAGGGTGTCTGTGGGTAGGGAGCCCAGCTTTGCTGGAGTATTCTGTAACTGGCGACCTTTGGTGAAAAGGGGTTCAGGCTGCTCCAGAACCTGCTCCTCCCTCGCCTCTCCCCTTGCTATGGGGGTCTGAGCTCAGGGCAGCCCTCCAGACAATGCACCCATCCTGCTCAGCCACTGCTAAGTAATCTGGGCCCACAGGGCCGGGCTCTCCCCACTGGGCTAGAGAGGACCCTGCGGCTCCCGAGGCAATGCCTGCTATCATAAGTCGAGTGCACGATGGAGTGAGGATGCACACTCAGTCACTTAGATTTCACATTTTACACTCTTTTCATCATACTCTTTTTCTTTCTTCTAGTATCCCTTCTTTAGCAGCCTTTGTTTCTCCGTTCTAAAAAGCGGCTAATACTGAGTGAGCTGTGTCATAGCAAAGTAACTCGTCTGGAACCTTCTCATGAAACTGTTGTCCAAAGGAGAGAGGAAACACACACACACACGCACACAGGATGGGGGATGTATTGATTGCTTTTTACAGTCATACTCTGTACATATTTTATCACAATTAATCTCTATGACAATGTTGAGAGGCATTCATTCTATTTTATGTAAGAGGAAACTGAAACTAAGAAAGTCAAAGTAACTTCCTCACATATACACAGCCGGTGCCTGCTACCATGTGGAAAGATGATGCCAATCTGGCTGGCAGCCAGAGAGAGAACATCTGTTTTAATAGACAGGAAATGCTGGGATGCCGTGAGAGCCCCCGTAAGAGCCAGGTACTGGAAGCAGCTGTTTCCAGGCGTTGTTGCCTTCCTTGGAGCAATGCACACAGCTGCTTCTGATGGAAGCCACCCTTGGCAATGGCCCCGTGGTGCATGCAGCAGGAGGAACTGGTACTTGGAGCACTGCCAGTGGAACCACCGAGTGAGCGCCACTTAGGAGTGGATTCCACAGGAGCTGCCCCTTCCATGAACTTTGGATAAAATGTGCCCCTTAGAGCCACCATGTGTCACTTCAAGGTAGGGGATGGAGTGCTTAGACCCATGGCTCAGAGGCCTCTATCCCACCATCTTGTTGGGCTTTGCTAGTGGATGTTTCTCTCCTTAGAGGAGGCAAGAGCTCACTAGTCTTTCAATGTATGTCTTTCTGAGGAGTGGGACCCTGGATTTTTATTAGGGCCTCTGGTGGAGTGCAGACCAGGACACTCTGGTAGTGAGCCCTTCCAGCCACACATGATGGAGTGGAAAGATTCTCAGTGTTGGTGTTTCAATGGCTGCAAAAGCTGCCTGACCTTCAGTGAAGTCCTCGATGCCGCCAGACCTCCATTTCATGTGTATAAAATAAAGGCCCTAATGCCTTGCTCATGGGATTGTTGTGAGGAGTATTTGAAATAATGCATCCAAAGCACCTGATGCAACATTGAGAGATTTACTGCCTTCTTGGCCAGAAGTCGTTTTCCTTCCCATCCTTCTCCAATAAACTTTTCCTGGCTCCCAAGTCTAATTTAGGTTCCTGGAGAGTTTGGAATGCTTTTGGTTACAAGTGATGGAAGAGATGAGAAAGAAGAAAGTTATATTGATGAGAAAGAAGAAAGTTATATTTTACAGTCAGTTCCACTGTAACAGGATGCAAATGCGTCTAAAAATCCCCATCCTATGCAACACTGGATAATAGAAACCACAGGGTTGTTGGGGATAAATGGGACTAGCGACACATCATTCTAAATTTTTGTCCATGACATAAAGAATAGTGACCTAATAAAAACAGTAGTATAGTTTTACACAGGCTAAATGATTAACATATGCATAAATACTACAGAAACTATGGTGCTTAACCTTGAAAAAGGCCTGAAGCTTGCTTGAGAGTGTGGGTACTGGGGTTGCAGCTTGTGCACTGTGGTGAAATGGGGGGAGTAGGAGGCTATGATCTGAATGTGTGTCCCTCCAAACTTCATATATTAAAACCCTAACCCCCAATGTCGTGGTATTAGGGGGTGAGGTCTTTGGGAGGTGATTAGGTCATGAAGATTTCATGAAGATGCCACCCTCATGAATGGGATGGTTGCATTTATAAAAGAGGCCTGAGGGAGTTTGTCTGCTCCTCCCCCTATGTGAGGTCACATAGGAGGGTGGCATCTATGAGGAACAGACCCTTCCAGACATCAAATCTGCTGGTGCTTTGATCTTGGACTTCCCAGTCTCCAGAACTGTGAGCAATAAATTAATCTTGTTTATAAATTACCCAGTCTAAGATATTTTGTTACAACAGCCTAAATGGATTTAAACAGTGGGTGATCTGGATTGGGAGGGAAAGTTGTAGCCCCAGAGGTGGGTGGTGAGGCTTCTAACACGTGAGGTGAACTGGAGGTTGGAAAATGCTGGGGTGTGTGTGCATGCACTTGTGCGTTCCTAGTCTCAGATCAGCTGCGTGCAGTTCTGTGTTCACCTGGCATTTCTTGCAAATGAAATCACACATACACAAACACAAAATTTGCCTTATTGTCAAATTGTTCCCTAATATCAACCTCGTTGCAACAAATGTGAATGTGAAATCAACATTGGAGCAGAACCACCTGCACCGGTGTGCCCTGGTGCTCTCCCTCCACTGGGGCAGATGATCTTCCCGGGGAAGACAGAACTGACCCTGGGGCAGGTGGTTGATGGTGGTGGCCCATGCACTTCTGTGTGTTCAGTGTCATGAGCTACTGCAGTTTACTTGTCTCTGGCAAGGTGCATTTATACATTACTTTATTTTTAACTCTGTCAGCCCTCCAAAATGGATAGATACCTTAGAAGTATCCTTGCAGTAAGCAATGGATTGAGGTTAATAATAATAACAATAAACAATAATATTGCAAACATAAGTGAACACAAATAAAACAGCTGGTGTACGTTTTCCTTCTGAAGCAAGTTATCAACTAGTTATAACCGGGTTAAAACAAAAGTCATCTCATAAGATTTGACAAGAGCACAAACAAAGTTTAACATTATGTGAAATTATTTGAAACAATATTTTCATCCACTATTATTAATTTACTCTGTTTGTGCATAGGACCTTGAGGTATTAGCTAAGAAAGTACAAATCCAACACAATTAGTAAGACCTTTAAAACCCCAGTATCCGAATATGAAGACAAACATGTATCATATTTTTGGAAATGCTAAAATTTTTACATGATTCAGTCCTATACGTTGCAAAATTCCGCTCACTCAATGGGAATTCTCTAGATGCCCCCTTTGAGTTTTCTTTCTTAATAGAAAAGAACAAGGAGCAATATCAATTTAAAACACCTTTCCTTCCTACTTTGCTGAAATAATTCACAAAACAAGGTGGCACGTACAAAATCGTGCCCTTCGCCTTCAAACACTTTTGGAAGATGAACAAAAATATTACTGAAGATTGAAGGGCACCAATGTGTGAATAAATTATTCAGTTTGAGGGGTTTTCTACACAGCTGAGTTAAAGTACAGATGTTTCTAACATGCCCAACATTCTGATACTTGCAAAGTTCAGTTTCAATAATGAAATACACAAAGAACAACTTCTTTGTGATCTACAAAAGAAAGACCTGTCAGAAACAAGCTCCATTCTGAACAGCAAAGCATTCATTTAATGAAATAATATTGCATGGAAAAAATTATAGAAGGGTAATCGGTGATGCTTTGTGCAATTAACAACAACAGTTATAATACAACAAGATCCGGTCAGGTATCAGTCATTCACAGGGTTATTCCTGATAAAGTGTCAATTAAAATGTTGCAATATCTTTTAAAGACAAGGGAAATACATATGAAAATATTTCATAGCACACATACGTTTGCTGCAGATCACATGGCAAAGTACTCAGAAGAGCTGTCAAATTTAGAAAAGAGTTATGAAAATTATTATTATTTGAATGCAAGTGATCCATGGGGGACACAGGTGCTGAGTGCTAGTTAACCGCAGATGCTACCAACCAGGTATTTTTTAAATTACTAAATTAAATATAAATAAATTCACACATACAAAAATAATTACCTAAAGTATATAACGTCAACTCATAGGTGATTTATAAACAACAAATGAGAAAGTGACTGCTTTTTTGAGATAAACGTACGCTGTGGAGAGTAAATGGGCAATTCGAAATTAGATGTCTGGAAGTGATTCTATGATAATGTGAATTTATCATCAAAACATATCTCAGCAATGACAACGAAACTCTCAAATCTGTACATTGTGAAAATGTACAAAAACATCTTTAACCTATTTTAAATTTTCTAAAATGAGTTATAGTGTTTTGAATCCATTTGATAAAATTTAAAAAGTGCACTAATTTCTTAATTCACTTGCAAGAACAACTCACTTACATTGATGAAAAAGAAAATTCAGTAGGTGTATTTTAGTAACAGCAACAGGTCTAGGTATAATTGTTGAATGGAATTGAAATGTGATACCAAAATGTAAAAGGCACAGTTGATAATGCCCTTCTGTTTGGATTTATGTACTTTTGTCATATGCACTTTTCAACTATGATTTAGTACAAAAAATGAACTGAATTTACAGCTTCACCTTTATTATATCCCAAAGTGTCAAAGCAACATAAAAAATCATATTTTCTCATTAAAATTATTATTGATAAAATATTTCTTCATTAAAGCACAGAGGTTTGTATTTTTAGTGATAAGCAAAAATTAAAAATTGATTTAAAACCTTATTCATTTTCCCTTAACTCATCCTTTAAGGTGTTTTTTTCTTTTTGTTTTTTTGTTTTTGTTCGTTTGTTTTTCCCTTTTGTTTTGTAAAGCAGTGATCCTTTTTGGCACCAGGGACTGGTTTCGTGGAAGACAATTTTTCCAAGGACAGGGTTGGGGTGGTAGTGGTTTTGGGATGAAACTGTTCCTCCTCAGATCATCAGGCATTAGATTCTCATAAGGAGTGTGCAGCCTAGATCCCTTGCATATGCAGTTCACAATAGGGTTTGTGCTACTATGAGGATCCAGTGGTGCTGCTGATCTGACAGAAGGCAGACCTCGGGTAGTAATACTCACTCGCCTGCCACTCACCTGCTGCCGTGCGGCCTGGTTTCTAACAGGTCAGAGGTTGGGAACCCATGTTGTAATGTATTCATCTTTTTCAGTAGTACGTGTATATAATTACATAATTATTAATACATAATTAATTAATACATAATAGGAGTAGATTCTTTATGTTCTCAGATTGTCCTACTAAATAAATAATCAGAAAACAAGGGAAACCACTGTTTTAGACAATAAATGAGACCTATTGCAACACAACCTGATCATATCAGACAGCTATTGTAAGGACAAAAAGCAAGTGAAAACGGAAGAACCCTTAAGGACATCAGATGTTCTCATCACCATAAACCTATTTTAAAAAATATACAAACACTTGTAAAATGATCGTGGTGTGCTGGCAGTCTGCCAGATAGGATTTCAAGAAACCATTCCTGGGTGTATTTGGAGGAGAAAATAGTATTGACGCCACCGCAGATTCTGAACCCCAGCATCTGTAAAGACTTTGCTAACATTTTTTGCCTTCTTATTCTCCATACATTTTAAAATTGAAATGATTTCATTGTATTTAAAGATGAACCATTCATTCACAGAGATATATATTTTTAAAACCATTAATAATCCTCTCACCTTTACCCCTTTAAGATGCTTCCCTTCTGAGGTCATCAAATGGAAGTTTGCCCGGAGCCCACCGCTGCTGTGTTGGTCACTGTTTGTTAGTCTCCTGTGAAGAAGTGTGTCCTGTCAGAGTGTGGGGGGCATTCTGCATTGGCACTGATTGAGCCTGCGCTCATCCTGCAGGGCGGTGATCATTGTCCACACTGTACAGAAGGTCAGGTTGAGGCTTGGAGAAGCTGAGTTACCAAGTTACCAACCTTGTTCTGCCCCATAGGGGAGTGGTGCCAGCCAAGCTTAATCCAGGAGGGAGGGTGCCAAGCTTAATCCAGGAGGGAGGGTAGGCACTCTTTTTTTTTGAGATGGAGTCTCCCTCTGTCACCAGGTTGGAGTGCAGTGGTGTGATCTTGGCTCACTGCAACCTCCGCCTCCTGGGTTCAAGCAAGTCTCCTGCCTCAGCCTCCCGAGCAGCTGGGATTACAGGCACGCACCGCCACACCAGCTAATTTTTGTATTTTTAGTAGAGATGGGGTTTCACCATGTTGGCCAGGATGGTCTTGATCTCCTGACCTCATGATCCACCCGCCTCAGCCTCCCAAAGTGCTGGGATTGCAGGCGTGAGCCACCATGACCAGTCGGCACTCTTATCTCATTTTATCTTATCTGTGCTCTGTCTTAATGTTCTCTCCTAATCATGGCATAATTCTCTGACTCAGTTCATGTGTGTCGGCCTGTCCTGGTGTTTCCAGGACACTCATGTGCAATTGCACACTGTCTTCCTGGTGACATTAGTGTATGTATGCGTGTGTTTGAGTGAACGGCTGGAACTGCACATGGGCCAATTACATAGGTGGTGATGTGTGTGTATGAAAGATGACAGCAGAATGAATCAGCTAAAGCCATGTGCTAGAACTCTGAAGAATGGGTTCAAATCCCAGGTCTGCCACTTAACAGCTAGATGGCTTTTGGAAAATTTCTGAAATCTCTTTAAGTTTCATTGTTTCTCATCCTTAAATGAGGAAGAAAGTTCCAAAGATACCACTTTACAAGATAATATGAGGAGCTAGTGAGATAACGCATATGCGTGCTTAGCATGTACCTGGCAACAGGTAAGGGATCAATAAGAGGCAGCCTACTGGATAATTGATTCATAGCCAATCATTGACTCACACTCTTCCCATGCATGGTTTCCTTTAGGCTCCAGCACATTTTTTTTTACAACAAGGTGGTACAATGATAAAAACACCACTCTGCTGTTAGACCACGGATTTCAGTCCTTTGTACATCCTAAGAGTTCTGATAATCCAGGAGGCTGGGGGCCATGTTTTCCACTCAAATTGCCCTGGTGCTGAAATGCACCACGTATAGCGGACACTCAATTAGTGTTTGTGGGCACCAATGAGTGACTATAACTGAGTGATTTAATTCTCTGGAAGAGCTATTTTAGGTTATATCTTATGACATTTTTTCATAGTTGTTAATTTTTGGCCAATAAAACAGCAATTTTACACGATTTAACCTAGTAATTTACAGGACTCACGGAATAACTTTTTGAAATAACACACTATGTGAGATTTTTAAGAGGCATCACTAAGTAATTAGCTGAAAACTTGCAGGAACTACAACAAAAATACTGCAAACTTTTCCCCAGCCCAAACTTTCATTTCATGGATGAAAACAAAACAAAATAACAGCCCTCTACCTAAATCAAGGGATTGCTCCTGTTGATTTGGAGAGATAAGGCCAGATACGGAGAGATGAAGTCAGATCGTGGATCCAAGTATTTTGCCTTAAGATTCAGGTCCTTTCTGCCTTAACATTCAGGTTTTTCTAATTTGAAAACAAGCCAATTCACTAATAAGGGTTTCTAAAGCATCCACAATATGAGGAAAGAGCTATGGGGAGAAGAATACAGGAAAATACAGAGATCCATCTTGACAACGTGATCAATCAGAAAACCTAGAAGTGAGAATCATCAGCTTTCATGGAGCGTTTGGAGAAGAGGCTTGTTGGCGCAGGAGGGCGGGGTCTGCGTTGCGCTTACAGGTCTGTAAAGAGAGAAAGGGGACATTTAGGCGGAAAGGTACAGTGGAAATGGCATTAGGAATAGAGGCAGGGGTTCAAAAGGAAGCTGGGTGGTAACAATACTCCCATTTCTTTCGAGTTCATCAATTAGAATCACTTTCTCTGCAAATTTGACTTCACAGGTGATCCGCTTCACAGATGAGGAGGCAGGAATGCCCACAGGGGATTCACCCATCGTCATCAGCCACACGCGGGAGATGTAGGGCCAGATTTCTCCCTCCATCTGTGTGATCCCCAATCCTGTGACACTCCTGCTTCCTTTTCCCGTAGTGGGGGAACTCCCTCCAAATGGAATTTCAGTTGCTTAGATCTTTGAATTGGATAGTACTACCTATGCTCACACTAATTAAACAATTAAGTCGATGCATTTAATTTTATTTTCCCCTGGAAGATGTAATCACCAGTATCGTTATTGAGGAGGGAGGAGGGGAGAAGAAAACTCCAAACAGCAGAAAACATTCCTGAGTTCTGTGCGCAGTGCCTTTGATGGGTGTGCTCAGATTTTTTTCATCGAGGTGGTTTTGAATCAGTTGCAGGCCTTCTTTCATGTGGGTAACTATTTAAAGATGTGATATTCGGGGCAAGCGTTTGTACCAACTCATTTTCTCTGTCTTCTCCCAGGCCGCTGAGGACCGCACAGGGGAGCGGGCGGCGGCATCGCGAGGACTGACCACTGGGTGGCACTGTTGCTCCATGGAGAGCTGCCAACGGCGTCCCCGGGGACCCGGCCACGTTGAGCACAAAAGGTGGGATTTCTAAGGTGTGCTCGGTGATGAGTTTCTTAATGAATTTACCTCTTCTATGGAATCTCCCTCTGCAGCGTCTCCTGCCGCCCGGGGCCGGTTTCTGACTGTGGACTCTGGGTTGAGCCCATGGGGTCAGTGCGCGTGGAGCTTGCACTGCCCAGACCCACAGCCCCAGGAGCAGCCACCTCCCGTGTCACCCGGGCGGCGTCCTGATGACATCACTTAGAAGATTAAAAATAAATTGAAGCACATGTCACCTTAAAGGGGGCACAAAAAGGACATCTGCATGATTTGATGCATCCATGAGAAAGGGCTGCTGGCTTTTGATTTAAACTGTTGGGAAAGAGGATTTTAAAGCTTGTAAGCTGCTAGTATTTCCAAAAGAATGACTATTTTTTATTTTTTATTATTTAAATTAAAAAAGCACTTCCCTGTTCCCCTGTCCCTACACTCTAATTCTTCTTGGCTTTGATTTGGGCGATATTGTAGGCAGCTTTCTGCTCCACGGTGAAGGTCTGCCCGAGGAAGGACGGGGACAATCTTGGGGAAGATGGGGGAGGCGGGGACCGATTTTCCAGCCCAGAGCTGGGGTCTGCAGAACCAGGAGCCCGGGCCAGGCTGGCCTATCAGCCATGACCATCTGTGCACCTTAGCCACCTACTCACAGCACAGCCTCCATCTGCAGATCCACCTAGGACTCATCCATTCCTGACTGGTCTTTTGTTTCAAAACCCGGCAGCCCCGGCCCCTCCCAAGCCTGAAGTCACCACACACGCCCATCCTCCCATCAGTCACTTCCTGGCTAATGGGGACTGAGGCCCAATCATTCTCGTTTTTCATGCCTTGTCAGAGGCCTGAACACAGAGACAGAGGAAGGGAGAGAGAGAGAGAGGGCAGCTCTGGAGGAGGCGCAGAGTATGGGCAGATGTCCTCATGAAAAATTTACAAGGAATAATCAGAGGCCCCTTCTCTCCCCTCTGGCCAAAGTCCCCCTAGGCTTGTTGCCCGGGCCGCTGTGAGAATATTGGAAAAGTCCCCCTCGTTTTGAAGGCAATCTGGTTCTGGGGGGTTAATGCCCAGCGTTGATGCACTTGGCTGTCCTCTTGAGACCGGGTTGCAAATGCAGTTCAGGCAAAATTGATGAAGTATCAGTTAATCTGAGGCTGACAGTTTAGAGAGGTCACAGCTGCGAGGGGCTGCCAGGGTCTCCCAGAGACAGGACTAAGAAGAGTTAAAGCCAGGGAGGGCCCGGTGAAAGGAAGCATTCATCTTCTTCGCCTGGGCATTTCTCAAACATTGCGCCTGCCAGGATCCCTGAGCCTCTCTCCAGGTGAGCAGTGTGAGTGGGGAGGCTTTCACTCTGGTGCGCACAGTCATGCCTCCTCCCAGACAAATCCAAACCCACATGCCTGGTGTTCCTGGCTCCTTGGGAAGGAAGAAGGAGGGAGTTGCTGCTCCTAATTGAAACAGGCAGTTAGGTCTCCTATGCAAATCCCCTTGCTGTAATTGGCACTGTGAGTGCCGCCTGCTCATTCCTCCGTTTCCCGCTAGGGGAAGGTCATCTTGGTAAGAGATGTGTCCACACGGGGTGGGCTCTGAGCTGCTCAGAAGGAACTCTGCAGAAGTGGGGAACCATTGACTCACACCCTTCCCATAGGTGGTTTCCTTCAGGCTCCAGCAATTTTTTACAACAAGGTGGTACAATGAGAAAAATACCGCTCTGCTGTTAGACCACATATTTCAATCCTTGTACTTCCTAAGAGTTCTGATAGTCCAAGAGGCTGGGGGCTATGGCCATGTTTCTCACTCGAATTGCCCTGGTACTGAAATGCATCACGTGTAGGGGAGACTCAGTGTTTGTGAGCACACACTGAGTGACTATAACTGAGTGATTTCAGAGAGACAGAAGAAGGCATGCAAATGCACTTGTCTTGAGTTGTTTTCTAGGGGACATGCTCAGGGCTCTGGGACCTACCTAGTCATCTCGCTGCCTGGAGAGGCGGCTGCTTGGCCATGTTATCTCCATGCCTTCTAAATTAGGATGCGGCTTTAGGTTCACATTCATAAATAATTGGGTTTTATGGGATAGGAAGCAGCAAGGGCTTTGCGTTGATCGGCCCTGGGTTGGGTCCTGGCCTCCCTAAGCTTTGAGAATGATTTTATCATCACCATTGCCTGCTTATGGGAAAATAGGGCGGCAGTTAGTCGTGGAGTCCCTGTGACAAAGTGGCAGGTGGATGGCTGCGCCGGGGGTCTAACCTGCGCTGTCACACTCCGTTCCCTCTTCCTTTCAGTGACAAGAATGCAAGTAATAGTGCTGAGAATCGTGTGCTCAGCTGTGCTGGGCTGAGCATTTTATGTGCATGAACTCATCCCTCCCTGCGAACTTGTGAGAAAGGTATTATTATTATCATTATTAATATTATTATTACCGTATTCTCTCTGCTTACAGACAGAGAGATTGAGGTGTGGCAAGTAGGTAGTAAAATCCACCTTCTTCTTCTGTGAGGTTCCTCCTGTTCCCAGGGGTGTGGGGACGGTGAGTGGTGGATGGGTGAGGTCTTACAATGCAAAACTGCTGATTTCTACATCCGAAAAAAATCATGAATATGAACGATTATAGCCAGATTGAAACTATCATTATTTTCGGTAAGAAAAAGTGCGTCTATTCACAGAAAGTCAGGTACTTTTCCCCAAAATCACATGGGAAAAGTGTGCAAATACAGAACAGCCCTTCCAGGAAGGAACTATTTTCTCCGAAACAGGAAATTGTTGTACATTCAGACACACCATAAATACACGTCTAGTTTGTACATGGCAATTCCAGGGTCTGAGGCTCTTCCTTCCTGGCCCTAGAATGGCGTCTCTTGCGCTGTGGGCTTCCTGTTGAGGCAGGGGCTGAGGAGGTGGGAAGCAGAGGCTGAGATTTTCCTTCACCACGGTCACAGAAGATGCGCTGTTCCAGGGGCCTGGGTGGGAGCAGCCCAGGAGCCTGCGTCTCCCCTCCTCGGCCCTGGGAGGCGGCTGGACTGTGCCACACGGGACGGGTGCTGAGGGACCGCTGGGTGCCCACCTCCCTGACCCCTCCTGCAGGGGTGCCTGCCAAGCAGCCTGGGCACTGCCGTCTGGAAGATGCGCCGTGCCGGTTCTACACGGTGTTCCCTTGCTCCAGGCAGAAAGGTCAGTCCAGGCTTCTCACTCCATCGTGGCCAGAAGCCAAGTCTCATGGCATGAGATTCAACCAAAGAGAATCTCCTGGAGCTTCTTTACCTCATCAGACTTATATCCCACACAACACACACACACCCCCATCCATAAATGTGTGTATGTATATACCACACACGTACACACACATATGCCACACACATGCACACCACACACACAGAATGAATACACATACACCACACACATAAACACACACGTGTGTATGTATATATCACACACTTAAACACACGCATGCCACACACGTGCACACCACACACACAAAATGAATACACAGACACCACACACACAAACACAGAGATATCACACACATACATACACACACCATGCAACACACAAACATGCATACACATATTCCACACACAGAAACACACAGACACCACACATATACACACAGACATGCATACACACAACACACATATAAACACACAAATGCCACACACCAACACATGCCACACACAAACATGCACACACATACACCACACACATAAACACACAATACCACACACATACACAGACACTAACACACACTACACAAACATGCACACACATACACTACACACAAAAATACACAGATACCACACACATACACAGACACTAACACACACTACACAAACATGCATACACATACACCACAGATGTAAACACACAGATACATACATACACACACACCAACACCCACACTACACACATAAACACATGCATCATATGTAACACACATTACACAGACTTATATCCCACACAACACACACATACCCACATTCAACACACACACTTGCTCACACCCCTTCCCACACAATCCAACACACACACCCCCACATTCAACACACACGCATGCTCACACCCCTTCCCACACAACCCAACACACACACACCCACATTCAACACACACACTTGCTCACACCCTTTCCCACACAACCCAACACACACACACCCACATTCAACACACACATATGCTCACACCCCTTCCCACACAACCCAACACACACACACACACGCCTCCACGTACATCTTTTTATGGTAGTTATTTTTTTGTAAGTAAAATATTTGTATAATATCAGCTTATTGTTTGCCATAGCATAACTTATTTCAAACTTGTCCAACCTGCAGCCCATGTGGCCTGGGGTGGCTTTGAATGCAGCCCAACCCAAATTTGTAAACCTTTTAAAAACATTGAGATTTCTCAGCTATGATTTTCTTTAGCTCATCAGCTATTGCTAGTGTGGTGTATTTTATGTGTGGCCCAAGACAATAATTCTTCTTCCAATGTGGCCCAGGGAAGCCAAAAGACTGGACGCCCCTGAATTATGTGGTTCTCATCCTAGGTGATTTTGCCCCTGGAGGTAGGTGGAAAGTCTGGAAACATTTTTGGCGATCGCAGCTGGAGGGGGCTCTTGGCATCTACGGGTGGAGCCAGGGTTTAGGGTGTGTGCAGCACCAAAGGCTCGATGCCTCCCCAACACCAAAGAACCCTCTGAGCCCGTAGTGCGGAGACCAGAAACCCGATTTCAATTTCCTAGTAAAAGAAAACGGAAATGAAAACGACAAAACGGTCCTGTGTCTTCTCTCTTCTCGGTGCAGCTATCTGGATGGGGCGACTTGGAATTCCGAGTCTAGGCCTTGCACTGATTTTCCCCCCTGACATCTGGGAAGCCATTTCACTGTTTAAAACCAAAGATGCTGAGTGGCAGCTGCCACCAATTGGAAGGGGACAGGAGAAAGGGATTTTTATGAAGAGCCTGTGTGCCTTGGATGCTGCAGGTGGAGACCTCTGCAGTTTGTCCAGCAACTGCCTGCCAGAGATGGGCCAGAGAAGGGCCAAGCAGCTCCCTCCTATCGGAGGTCCACAGGTGGACCCCCACCCCCAGTCTCCATCCCCGGTCCACGCCCCAGTCCCTGCTGGTGGGGAAGCTGGGGAGCAGGCCATGCGTGTAATTCCAGAAGCTATTGCATGGCAAAGGCTACGTGCCCTCAAAGCCCGGGCACCTCCCTGGCCCCACAACTGCTTCACACAATACTTGTGTTTCTGTACGTTCTATGTGAAGTTTCAGGAAAGAATCTGTAAGTGATGTCTAAAGCAAGTTTCTGAATATTTATGCTGTAATACACGGCCATGAGCATGCTGGCTACTCATTTCTAATCCTATGACAAATGCACAAGGGCAGGTACTGGGAGAGTGAACTGTTTCCCTGGCCAGGGACCCAAGCACCACTTGGGGCATCAGAAGGAAGCCCTCTGGTTTTGGCCAAGGAGAAGCTTGCACTGTTTTACTAGAAACGTCCTATGTGAATCCATCCTCTGTGATTCCACGACTTTGTATGACTTGCTTGGTGCTTCCAAGGACGTAGGAACTGAAGGGTGGGGCATGTTCTGTGCACTTTTGTCATGGGAAAGCTGGCTTTTGGGAAACCCCCTGGCCCCACAGTTGCTCCCAGAAGCCATACTGGGGGAAGGGCCTGGGGAATGTTCCCAGAGGGTCATGTTGCCTTGATTCATCCTGATGGGGATTTGGGGAAGGGCGAGTGACACCATCATGACTGGGTGCGCCCAGACTGCCTGTCTGCCCTGCTATTTAGAAGCAATATTAGCGAGGGCTATAGTTTTTTTTTCTTTCTTTTTTTTTTTTTTTTTTAATCAGTAAAAATGAGTTCCTAACTTTAGTTCAGAGTCTTAGTTAGGTTTCAGTTTCAGAGAACTCTTTCAAAAAAGGGAATATGTTAGAAGGCCCACAGTGGCCCTTAATAATTTTGAATTAGCGTTAGAATGAGACACCTGATGGCAGTGATTCCGAGTGGAGACCCTGGGCCAGCGTCCCCAGCACCGCCTGGGAACCTGTGAGAAGCACAGCTTCTGGGCCACACCGTAGAGCTGTCTTTACATTTTATACCTCTTCAAACACCGCATAGTCTCACTCATAAGTGGCAGTTGAACAATGAGAACACGTGGACACAGGGAGGGAATATCACACACTGGGGCCTGTTGGCGGGTGGCGGGGCTAGGGGAGGAATAGCATTAGGAGAAATAACTAATGTAGATGAGGGGTTGACGGGTGCAGCAAACCACCATGACACGTGTATACTCATGTAACAAACCTGCATGTTCTGCACATGTATCCCAGAACTTAAAGTATAATATAAAAAGAAAAAAAAATTTATAACTCTTCCAGCAGTTTCTATCCATAGCACATAGAGCTTGTGTTTTGGTTTGGTTTTGCTTAATTTTCACAAGCCTGCAGTTGAAAGTGAAATGAGATGAGGTTAGCGAAAAGAGGCAGGAACTCTGGAACCTTAAGGTCCTACAACTTCAAATGTGTCACTGGCAATAACCTGGCTGCCATTTTGGTTTTGTCTAAATGAAAGCAATGATCAGTTAGTGTTATATAAGATATAAACATTTAAAATGTTCAAAATTCCCTAATCTTTCAGAAATGTAAATTGAGACAAAGAAAGGTCAGGGTTTCTCCTGGGACCACCCGTTGTCCCCAGATCAGACAAAAATCCAGTCTTCTGAATTCCCGTTGCAAAGTTGTGTTTGCATCACTGCATCTTGATCCTCTTCCTACTGCAATGTTTTAATTATCTAAAGAATAAGGGCATTAGATATGAGGGATAACATCATGAAGGATTTCCAAACAATTCGGTAGCCAGCGAAGATCACTGTTTGCTTAATTTCAATTGAGAGAGACAGGTCCGTCTTCTACAATGAATGCATTTTACACATTTTTAAATGTTTGCCTCATTTATGACATGTTTACCTTAAAAAAAATTTAATAAATGATTTTGGGCCAGGCGTGGTGGCTCATGCCTGTAATCCCAGCACTTTGGGAGGCCGAGGTGGGTGGATCACGAGGTCAGCAGATTGAGACCATCCTGGCTAACACGGTGAAACCCCATCTCTACTAAACATACAAAAAATTAGCTGAGCATGGTGGCACGTGCCTGTAATCCCAACTACTCGGGAGGCTGAGGCAGGAGAATCGCTAAAACCTGGGAGGTGGAGGTTGCAGTGAGCCGAGATCGCACCACTGCACTCCAGCCTGGGTGACAGAGAGAGACTCCATCTCAAAAAAAAAAATTTCATAAAGATGGGTTTTCTCTTATCCTGCCCAATCTTAACAGATGTTTGAAACCGACTCCCATAAAAAGTAGGCTTTGTAATCGAGTCTCAGAAAGTCTGAGGCTGCCTAGGTCTGCCGGATGCTCCCATTCGGTGACCTTGATACTAAACAGGAAAGGAAAGGGCAGCTCCATTTGCCCGAAGGCTTTTAACAGAGCTGGTGGGGGCTGCTCCACTGCCCCAGACCCTGGAAGAGAGTTGGGATCCAAGCCTGGGCGGAGGCCTTTCTGAAGTGAGAGGCTTTGTGGTAGGCACAGCCAGACACCATTGGTGGAACTGAATTTGTCATTTTACCTGGTCTAGAAATGAACCCTAAACAAAAATCTTCAAGTATCAGTAAGCTGAGGAGGAAGCTACTGGGGCTGTTGAAGTGCTTGGTGTCGAAACATCTACGTTGGAGGGTGACGCCGCCAGGTGTGCCTGTTGGCTTGGTTGATTCTTCTTGCCGATATGCAGCCTGGACTTCTCAATGCAGAAAGCAGAGGCTCCTGACTCCAGAGATATCTTTCAGGCAGTGATTTCCTTTAAAAGAAAATAAATAGTTTCAAAATATAGTGAATAAACTTGCATGTGAATAAACTTGGAAAGCACGTTAGCCTATATTACCAAGTTGTATTTGAGCACACTCATTTCAGGGAGTAAATTTTTAACATGTGTTCAAGGGTGATAAGAATTGTGCCTATTCTCTGACTCCTCTATGTACATAAATTACAGGATAGTCAGGTATTGACATGGAGATCAGGGACAGAGCAAACTCAGTTTCACCATGGGCTCATTTACATGTCAATGCCAGACCAGGGCTGTTTGATTACTTTGCTCTTGTCTGAGATCCCAGGGCAAGTAAGAACAAACAGACGTATTTGTGGATCTAGAATTTCTTTCTCTTACTCATATGTATATGCGTATGTGTATGTGTGTATAAGTGGACAGATGATATATCAGAATATGAGCATTCTAGAACTCTTATTTTATAGTGCATTTTGTGCAGTAGTGACTGTAACGATGGTTTAACATTTGGATAGCAATGTGAAATAATGAACAAAACGGTTTATGAGGCCTCGGGTGGAATGTCTCCAATGGTATTTATCGATTCCAAAGGAAAATATCTAAACCATTTCAACTGTGTTGATCCTTTTTAGGCCATATCTTCTTCTGTCTCTATTGGCTCTACCGAACCAGATCAACTCAAGGTGCAGCCTCAGTTGGGCACTGTCTCCTTGTGGCCATGTTCCTGGGGAAAGGCATCTTCTTCAGCTGGGACAGTTGTCACTATTCACATTTGGTAGCAAGTGAGAAAACGGATTTGTCCTTTAATTGGACAAGCACTGTTGACAGGGTGATAGATTTCCTGGCTGTCTAAAGTGCACATCTGGTATTTTCCACTGCCTGGCATCCCTTCCCATCCTCTTCTGGATGCAGCACTTTTTTCCTATGGAGCGACGCCTCTTCCACTCCATAGTGTGGTCCAAGATTGGCCGTTCCTTGTTTTCTGTCTTCCTGGCTGGAGTGGTTAACACAGCGGCAAGCATAGGCCCCAGGGGACTATGCTCTGGGAGGACTGTGGACTCTGGGAGGAAGACCATCTCTTTTTCTAGATTCACCAGGCCGAGATGATGAAAACCGGATCTTTTTGTGGTCATGCATCACCCTTCCCTGCTGCAAGAAAGAAAGCTGTCCATATTATCAGAAAATGGTATCAGCCCATTGAAAGAGTGGATGCTGAGAGATACAGAGAAAATGTTGACTGGGTCATTTGTGTCCCTCGACTCTAGAAGTCAGCACCAACTTTTAACTTCCCACTTAGTGTGAGTGAATAAATTCTCTTTTTGGCTTCAGCTAGTTTGGGTTGTGCTGGGCACTTGCTACTGAAATAATTCAGGATAATACACCATGTTACAGTATCACTAATTGTTGTGCATATCATGTTTATGACACTATTTAAAATCATCAACTCTAAGTACATTGTGGACATTTCTAGAAACCTCTAGAAGAAATCAATAGCAAATTTTCCCATACGCTTTCTTCCCTTCTCTTCCTTTTTTCTCATGGTGGATATCAGAATATTGTCTGCAAATATCACCAGCACTCACCACCCAATTCAAATCCATCTACTTAGAAATATATGTTCTTTTTTAATGTAAGATTTTATTTTATTTTATTTTATTTGAGACGGAGTCTTGCTCTGTCGCCCAAGCTGGAGTGCAGTGGCGCGATCCCGGCTCACTGCAAGCTCCGCCTCCCGGGTTCACGCCATTCTCCTGCCTCAGCCTCCCGAGTAGCTGGGACTACAGGTGCCCGCAACCACACCCGGCTAATTTTTTGTATTTTTTAGTAGAGACGGGGTTTCACTGTGTTAGCCAGGATGGCCTTGATCTCCTGACCTCATGATCCGCCCGCCTCGGCCTCCCAAAGTGCTGGGATTACAGGCATGGGCCACCGCGCCTAGCCTAATGTAGGATTTTTAAAGACAGCAAAGAGAGTGTAGTACAAAAAAAACACAGTATATTAAGTCATTCACTTAAGGATTTTATAAATGCACACAGTAAAAAGCTGTTGTAAGATCCAAGCTTTTTCAATTGGTATTATGTCAGGGTGCCCCTAGAATACTAAGTCCCGCCTTGGCTCAGCCACTGCCCCACCTGTAAGTGAACTATAAACTGGAGGAGGGTGAGAGGTGCACCTCACCACTCCATTATTGTAGCCGCCACCACATTGGAGTCAAACCTCAGCTCAGGAGCAGAGTAAACTGAAGAATTTACTTCCCTTTTGTTAGTTTAGTTTTTTTTTTTTTTTTTCCAAAAGCACTGAGTGTCTACTGCTGAGTATTGCTATGCCAAATTTAAAATTGAGCATTTTCACCTTGGATGATGTAAATTATATGCTTTTGAAAAGTGCCATCTGAATTGCATTTCTGTTTAAATCTATTTATCCCCTCATATTTGTTACACTTACAATCATTCATGAAAGTGTTCAGGATTCTTGCAAGGTTGTGTGTTTGTCAAAATGATGAAACTCTGCCTCGTATCTGTCCATGTGTTGTATACAAGTTCTACCTCAATTAGAAACAACACGACAAGAGCAACTACAAATGCACACTTAGGGACAGCGTGTCCTCTCACCCAAGAGCATCTATAAGAGCATTTGCAGCTGGCTTCTTTAATGAAGTCACCTACAGCTTTTGGGTTTGGGAATCGAGGGAGGCATGTCATCGGGCCCTTCGCAGGTCTCCTCTGACTCCTGTCTGTGGAGTCTCCCTCTTCTCTCATGAATACACTGTAACTTAAACCATTGCTTCGCAAGAGCCTTGCAGTCAATGACACACCTATCTGGACCTCAGCAAGATTCCAAATTAGTCCATGGCATATACTAGGAAGCTATAAAAAGGAAAATATTTAGTGAGCGTTGGAGAATTAAAAATCTTTTTTCTTTGTCGTCTGTATTAGTCAGGGTTCTCTAGAGGGACAGAGCTAATGGGATGCATGTGTATATAAAGGGGAGTTTTTTAATGAGTGTTGACTCACCTGATCACAAAGTGAAGTCCCACAATAGGATGTCTGCAATCTGAGGAGCCAGGAAGCCAGTCCGAGTCCCAAAATCTCAAAAGTAAGGAGACTGACAGTGCAGCCTTGGACACTGTCTCCTTGTGGCCATGCTCCTGGGGAAAGGCATCTTCTTCAGCTGGGACAGTTGTCACTTCAGCTGGGAGAGTCTGTTGCCAACAGCCCGAGAGCCCCTGGCAAACCACTGGTGGAAGTCCCAGAGTCCAAAAACTGAAGAACTTGGAGTCAGATGTTTGAGGGCAGGAAACATCCAGCATGGGAGAAAGATCAGGCCAGAAAACTTAGCTAGTCTAGTCCTTCCTCGTTCCTCTGCCTGCTTTTATCCTAGTTGTGCTGGCCGCTAATTAGATTGTGCCCACCGGGACTGAAGGTCCCATGGTGGTCCCCCAGTCCATGGACTCAAATGTTAATCTCCTTTGGCAGCACCCTCACAGACACACCCAGGAACAATACTTTGCATCCTTCAGTCCAATTAAGTTGATACTCAATATTAACCATCAGTCTTGTCTTCCTTCTTCTTGTTGCTTAAGCATTGTTCATGAGACTTTAAAGTCCTCTGTCCTTCAATATCTATGAGGTTAGGCAACCTGGTGATTATTTGCAACCATTGTAGTCTTGAGACATGTTTTTCCTTCCTTCACTTGTTTATGTAGGTGCCGTACCTACAATGCTACTGAGAGCCAAAGAAGGGATTTTTGCCACACCTGCTATGTGTGGCACAGTAGACTCTTAGCTTTTCTAGACATCTAAGTGTAGGTGCTAGATATCTAAGTGTCTAGCACCTACATTTAGATATCTAGAAAAGCTAAGAGCCTACCGTGCTTATGGATGGATGCTAAGCTCCAAGAACACAAATGCTGACAAGCAGAATATAGAGAGGACTTCAGATAACTAATCTTTCTACATGGGGAACAAGTTGCTGAGTCTCTTCTGTTGCAATCATGATTGGGGTAAGGAGGATCCTGAAATTGGGGGAATATTAGGAAATATTGTGCAAGGGAAGGAGATTGGAAACTATTGATGTGGTGGACAAATATGTCCACCTTTAAGAAAAGTGTGAAGGTTCACGTTACCTGTCCCTCAAACAGCTCTTGGGTATCACTAGGATAAGAACATCTTGCAAATCTACAACCAGATTGGCCATGGCCTTTATGGGTTGCCCCACAGTTTAGATACAGTGCCCCAGCAGGGGTCCAGGGTGAGTCAAACATGAACATTATGTCTGTGAACACCTGGCCTCTACTATAACAGCAAGATTAGAATGATTAGATTTTTTTTAATAGATAAGCAAGACCGCTTCACAGACATTGAAATAATCTAACAGGGCTATTCAGTCTGCAGAATCAAATCCTTTTAAAAGGAGATCCTGAAAGGAGCTTCAGGTAAGAAAGACCCCAAATCTGAATATCGTCAATGGTATAGTGAACAAACCTCTAAGTCTGAATGCAAGGGCCCTGGATCTTTCAACATCTAGCTATGTAACTTTGATTATGTCATGTTTTTGCTCCCCAGGACCTACTGTCTTATAATGTCCGGGCTTTCCCTTTTGTCCTTTTCTTTCTTTCTCTAGCAGCTTCTCTCCCCTCACCAGCTTACTCTCCTCTCCTCCATTGCCCCATTGCTGAAGGATGGGGTTACTCAGCTTGGTCTTGGACCCTGCTCTCTATCTGTCCTTTTTGGGCACTGTCTTGTTCACTCTTGTGTCTGGGAAGCATGCCTGGCACAACTGGCTTTCAAATACCTGGAGGAATGAATGAGTGAGTGAATAAAGGCAAGAGAGTTCCAGAGCTGGGTGATCGTTAGGAGACAATGCAGCCATAGAGTATGTGCATGCACACGCACACACACCACGCATGCACACACACATACATGCACACCACACAGATGTGCATACACATCACACATGCATGCACACCACCTCCTCACATATCACACACCACACACACATCACATCCACACACACATACATGTACACTCACACTATACACCTCCTCACCCTTCACACACCACACACATGCAAACCACACACATGCACACCACACACATGCACATACCCGTCACACATGTGTGCATACCACACAATCACACACATGCATGTACACACACATGCATACCTAAGCACACTCACACTACACACACACCATGCACCTCCTCACATATCACACACCACACACATCACACCCGCACATACATGTGTACTCACGCTATACACCACCACACACTGCACACACCACACATACATGCACACATACACCATACACCCCCACACTTCATAAACCGCACAGCCATCACACCCACACATACATGTGAACACACACCATGCAACTCCACACACACCACACACAACACACACACAAGCACACCAACACTATGCACCTCCACAAACACATAATACACACAGATACACACATACACACCATGCACCTCCACACATATCACACACCACACACAGAGCACACGCCCACATGCACACACACACCACACACACACAAACACACATGCACCATACCTCCATATATACCACACACACCACACACATGCACACAAACATACCCCTTCACACCCCACAGACACACATCCCACACACCCACACCCACACATACCACAAACACACACCACATACACACCACACACACAAATCCCTCCCCCCTACTCTCAGCTCACACACACAGAGCTGTCACTTCATCACCAAGAAGAGAAGTTGAGTTTTCTGTACAGCCTTTCCTTTGCACTGTGGGAGTGCCACATCTAGAACTTTCAGATAGGGGACCCTCAATACCACATAAATCTGTTGACAGATCAGAGGGGCTTACAAAAGAAATCGTGATGAAGGGACCAAAGAGATGGATGTATCAGCGAAATTAAACATGCTCGATGCATCCAGCTTTCCCGGAACGCTGTGCAGCATGAGCAGGAGAGGCTGTACAGAACCTGGAACGTAGAGTTGGGACAGAGGTGAGTTCCTGAACAGTGTGCATGGATTGGTGAGTGGAGGGCAGAGCCTGAATGGAAGCTTGAGGCCCGTTAGCCTGAGGAACTGCCCTCCCAGGGCTCTCATGGCGGTACTTTTATTGTTGGATGGGAAAATCTACCAAAGGCAGATATGAGAATTAGAGTTTGCTGCTTCCAGCATTTCTTAATTTTCAAGTGAGGTCCATATTCTGAAAGTCTTTGAAAGAGGAGAGGAACTTGTTGGAAAAGTGTTATTATTTTTTAATATTTATTCTAATTTCTTACTAATTATGGGGCTCAAACTCAAGTTTGTATGAGCCTCAAATTCAGCATAGATGGTCAGAGGTTCAGATGAAATAAAGTTTTTCAGAGAATGAAGTGTGAATGGGTAGTTTCCTCCATATCTATACTGTATTAGTTTACTATTGCTGCTGTAATGAATTACTAGAAGCCTAGCAGTTTAAGCAACACAGATGCATTATCTCAGTAGTTCTATAGCATAGAAATAGGGCACTGGTCACACCGGGCTAAAATCAAAGAGTTGCTACAGCCGTGTCCCATTCTGGAGGCTCTGGGGAGAAATCCACTTTCCCACCTTTTCTAGCTGCTAGAAGCCGCCCGTATTCCTCGGCTCCTGGGCCCCTTTGTTTGTCTCCAAGGCCATCAAGCTGCAGCTCTCTGTGCCTTTCTTGGGTAGTCACATTTCCCTCTGCTCTCACCCTCTGCCTCCCTCTTCCACATTTAAGGGCCCTTGGGATTGCAATGGCCTCACCTGGATAGTCCAAAACGATCTCCCTATTTTAACATCAGCTGATCTGCATCCTTGATTCCATCTGCAACCGGAATTTTGCTTTGCCGTGTACCAACCTCTTCACAATTTCTGGGGATTAGGACATGGGCACCTGTGGGAGAGGCATGACTCTATTGACCACATCCGTTCTGGAAGTCTACGGGGAGGTGAGCAGATTGAGGCAGAACAGGGCCTTTCAACAGCTTCCCAGCTCTGGACTCGAGGGCCAGGCTCTCCAGTGACCTGTGCCATTTTGAAACCCATATCGAGTTCATATTAGTCTTGAATGCTCAGACTTGGCATACATTATCTTAGTATATTTCACTCACACACTCACATCCACACAAAACAAAAACGAACAAACCATAAAAACAGTGTGTGGCAGTCCTTCACAGTCAGAGTCCCAATAGGAAAGGAAGGCTGGTTCCAATCAGGAGTGAGTCTTTACCAACGGGCTAAGCTCTGATCTGCTCAGGGGGTGAAGGTTCCAGGTTCTAGAAGCAGCTGGGCTGCCACCACCCAGAAAGGCTGAGGAGAGGACAGATTGTCTCAGTTTTTCAGAAGAGAACGTCCTTTGATGCAGGGGGCCTTGAGAGAACAGTTTCTTTGAAGGGACACATTGAGCCCAAGAACCTTCACAGGGAAGAAGCCAGAAAGTCGAATCCTCAGACGCCACTCTCCTCTGTTACTCTCATCCATTTAATCCAGCTGGAAGCCAGGGCATGGCTTGGCCTGGAAGCAGAGTGGCCGCGGGTGGGGACCTGAGGGCACACAAGAGGCCTTGGGTGCATCTCAGAGATGAGGAAACCCAGGGACAGAGAAGTGAGGTCCATCACTAAGGTTCAATAGTCAGGATGTCTGGAGGCTGGGGTTAGGGGCCCAGCGGTTTAATTCCAGAGCGTTGCTCTCTCTGGGATATCACATCAGCCATAGGAGGAGTCATTTTTTGTGCATCTGTTATAACAATGGGAAGGTGACAGAGTGCGGCAGGAAGCACTCTTCCCCCGGGCAACTGAGAAGGTGCCCAGTGAAAGTCAGAAGCAGAGCGAGAGCTAAGGAGCAGTGAATGTGGGGAAAGGGCACTTCGGGGAGAATCCCTGCATTGGAAATGCATGTGGCAATCAACAGAGGCAAAGGAGCCTGTGGGACTCACATTCCCCTGCAGTGATCGGAGCACACTGCAAACAAGGTGACAAAGGGCGCCAGTTCTTTGGTTCTGCCTGCCAGCTGCAAGGGCAGGGATCGATGAATGCCCTCGGTTGCTCTGAGCCGCAGTGTTCAGGGCGGGGATACCTGGGTGGCCAGGGCTGAGTGGGCCTAGAAGGGACTCCCTTTCTAGCAATGGCCCTGACTTAAATCTTGGATGAGCAACTCTAGGAAGGTACCGAACCCACATGACTTTAATTGGCAGCAACCTAGGAAGTGCTTATGATGACTTGGGGTCCTCATATATTTGCAATTCTTTAAACAGATTTGAAGCTCCCCAGCAAAACTTCTGCAACTGTACACAGTATTAATAAAATTGTATTCCGATCACAAATTAAACATGGGTTTGGATGGAAGAGCTCTAAATAATTCTCCATAATGACCTGATTAATTATGAAATGACCTGTTGTGATATATCTGGATAAATAGCACCTCTAGCTCCTGGAAACTTAACTTTCATCTTGATAAAATTAAAACAATAAAAAAAATCCTGTACTTCTATGATCATGGATGTCAAATAAAAAATTTCAACATTTCGAATATGAAAGGCAACATTTAAAATTTTGTGGAAGGGCCTTCCTCTTCCAGCTCATTTTATGAGTACATATTCCATAATGAAAAGAAAATGTCATGCTCCTATAATAACAATAATCTTTCTGCATATTTTCTTTTTTCTTGAGCCTGTTTGTTTAGATTGAAGGTGTTTCTAATAAGTTATGTTTGATATGAATATCTGGAAAGATCAATGCAGCTTATCTCCTTGCATTAAAATTCTATATATGTGTTCCCCCTTCTACTGAATAAAGCAATTTAGGCTTTTTCCTAGTGTAATCAATAAAATGAAATCTAAAAAAGAGAAAAAAATTACTACGTTGTCCTTGTTCAGCTGCTGAATGCAGATGACTTTTCTTAAAGCAAGAGAACGTTCTTAAAAACGGATTTCATTGATTTCTAAAAGCAAATGTATGTAATTTTTAAGATGGAAAAAATAACATTACCCAGCCAAGTCAATGACACTATAGTGCTATGTTATTTATAAGATCATGTATCCATTTATTCCCATGAGCAAGGCAAAATATAATCTAAGGTGCTACTGCTCCTTAGGTTAAAAAGGGTGCATACACCAGCATGCATGGGGATTGTCTGAGACTATACAATGCCTGACATCTGTTTTCTTTCTTAAAAAATAAATTCAATATATTTTAAGATTTCAGCAGTATTAAATGCAAAAATGGCTCATATTTCAAGGTGAAAGCCCTCTGTTGACTAAAGATGCTTCCATTTTTATTGCAATTGTGGTTCTTGCCTTTTTTTTGGTAAACTTTTTCCATCAGAAGCTGGTGGATGGAAGTATTTATAGTTCAGTTTCATTTAACTATGTTCATTTGTACTGATCTGAGACAGATTTATATGATCATAGATTTCTGGTGTCACTGTTGTATTATTTATATTTCTATAAATTAAGGCCATTATTATCAAAGATGGCCCCTGACAATAGGAGGCGGCTGTTGGAAATAGTGTTTAATATTTTCTTAGCCCTGATGAATTCTCTATGGATTGTATCCTGATGCAGACTAAGAAATCATTGTCTTTGCTGGAAAAAAGGAGGTGTTGAGTAATAATAATAAGTCACTAACGAAAGACAAAAATTTCAGGGCTATTTGTAGACACTGGTTTTTAATCTTCCTAATGATAGCCCCTGACGATAAATAGATGAGCGGGATAATGTATGGCTGAGAACACAGACGAGCGGAGCTTCTCTCCCTCCCCCTGCCTGAGATTAGCCTCTAGGACACATTCACATCATGCATTTTCAATCTTCCTTTTATCTCTGTATTGGAGTGCGACATCTCCACCAAGCAGTTTTAAGCAAGGGCTTTATGACAGATGGGGTACAGGAAAGGCTTTAGCTCTCTGTCACCAATAAAACAATCAAACTTAATTGGTGACTTCAGTATAAAACAGTTTATTTGTGACTTAACGATACTGCAAATTAATAATTAGGTTTAGAGGATGGGTACAGAAGAGACTAAGGAAAAATGGTTCTCTCAGACTGCTTTTAAACATCTCTTGATAGAACCAGTCTGGCTGGAAAAGCTTGAATCCTGGTGCTCTCATGCCCTAGTTGTGTGATATTGGTAAGTTGCATAAACTCAGTGAGCCTCAGCTTTTCTATCTGTGAAATCGGCATGTTAATGTCACAGGGTGAGGAGCTTAGATTCTAAAATAAATTAATATGAATTAAATTAAGATTGCTAAAATACATTCATTTACCAGTTGTCTATCTAGCACATAGTAACACAATGAGCTTTTATGAAAACATGAGAATATTTGTCAGTGAAACAATTAGACTTGTGAGCGTAAAACTTGTACTATGTGTTTGTTAGCTGTCACTAACAGTTATATCCTAAAAAAAAAATTTCTATATTATCCAAATTGGCTTTCTTTCCTATTTAGGTTAAGCTACGTGAGTGATCATTCATAAACATGCAGCAACACTCTCTGGTATAAATGTTGAAAACATCTCAACTCCATAAATAAGAAGAAAACCTAATATATTTAGTGATTATGATTTAGTGTTCGTTAAAGCACCACTTACCGTTACATGAATTGCAAGCAGAATAGAGGTGTGAACCCAGTGAGTCAAACAGCTCTGGGTTGAGAAAGCAAAGACTAATGACGGTACAGGTGCTGTTGCCCAGGGAGACACAGAGGCTAAGGGAAAGGTCTGGGCTTCGGTGTGAGGTGTGACTGCATCCTAATCCCAGCTCTGCCTCTAGCAGCCTTGTGCCCCTGGAGCACATGCCAGGCCTGTGATGGATTCCTGCTCTCCCCGGCCTCTCCTCCCCCACCATCACAACACAGCTCCGGAAGGCTCTTGCAGTCATGTTAGACGCAGAGGAAATTTGAATGTCCTGCAAAGGACGTGCCCAAGAGGTAAGCGGTGAGGGAGATCCCAGGGCCGCCAGAGTGCTGCCTTGCAGACACACCCTCTCCCAGTCCCAGATGTGGCCCCAGACTTTGTCATCTCAGGTGTACCCTAAGCTCAGAGTAAAAAAAAAAATGATAGAAAGGAAAGGGGGCCGTGGGTGACAGTCTGTCTCAAAAGAGACAGGTTTAGATTTTTATGTGAGAATTTGAGAGAAACTAAAATTTGTGTTGAAACATTCTTATTATGGAAAGCTGGACCCACTGCTTGAGGCTGGAAACTCATGGTTTTGAGACAGTAGCAGAAGAGACCCCCAGGTGGCCCTGGACTCCGCCTCTCCTCCGCAGCTGTGCCCCAGAGCTGCCAAAGAGAGGGCAGTCTCTCTCATTCAGTCATACCTTTGTGTGAAGCATACGAATGCCTTGGGAAATATGCTGTATGATGATATCTTTTTGGGTATAATTTATTTTCATCTTAACATTCTTCGCAGTCTAAGACTTTCCTTCCCTATTAGGTTGTAGGTCAAGATCTGCTAGAATTAACTCTCTGGAGGATAAGTTTATATTTAGTCAGAAAAAAATTAGTAGAAAAATGGGTAAAGATATTGTAGGACTTGCATTTAAGGGTGAGTTTTAGAAGGGTAGATATATCAGAAGCTAAAAGATAAATCAAGTAAATATTAGTTTCATAGTCTTATTCTGCTGTATGTGCCTAATCACTGTATAATTTTTTTTGTATAAGAATTCATCTGTAGTAGCAGATGTGGAATTTGCCTTGTAAGAACACTCAGGGCCTCATGGATCTTTGTGGGTTAAGGGGAAATGCAGGGATGTCTAGTTAGTAGGGGCTTGGAGGCAAACCATCTGGTTTTCACCTATCTTGTTTAAAAACATAATCTTGCAAAAAATCTGCAAGATATTCCATATCAGGTTGCTGAGAAAGATGACATGAGATCCAACACATGATGCTAGGATGATCTTATGAAGCAATCTGATCATGACACCCCCACTTCACATTGTATACCTCTATGGCTCAATATTTTTGAGAGAGCCCACGCTTGTTCTCACAAGGCACCCCACTCTCTCCAGAACAGGCTTCAGGTCTCTTTCTGGGGCCACCTGCAGAGAGCACACTGGGACTCTTGTTCTTGTCTTTGCCTTGCTATGCCTCCTGTGTCATCCCTGTCTGATTTAGGACTCTGATTTCTGTAGCTCCTGCCCTTGGACAGGCCCTTGGATCTGTCTCTGTCAGCATTTGACCTTTCCAGTGTTTGAAGCTCCACTTGAGTGCCTTAATCCATTTATGGTGCTATAACAAAATATCTGAGACTGGATAATTTATAGGGAACAGAAACTTACTTTCACACAGGCCTGGAAGCTGGGAAGTCCAAGATCATGGTGCTGGCTGGTTTGTTTGTCAGGTGAGAGCCCAGTCTCTCTGTTTCCAAGATGGTGCCTCGAATGCTGTGTCTTCACGTGGTGGAAGGCAGAGGGCCGAGGAGGGCTGAATGCTATGTAAAGCCTCTGTTATTAATATAAAGGCCCTCATCCCATTGACAAGAGAGGAGCCCTCGTGACCTAATCATCTCCTAAAGGCCCCACCTCTTAATACTACTGCATTGGGGTTTAAGTTTCAATAGGAACTTTGGAGGGGATACAAGCATTCAAACCATAGCATTGGTCAGCTAGGCTCTGGCTTGGTTTTACTCCGGAATTTACTAACATCTCATGTTCCTAACCCCTGACATAAGCCTCCCCCTGCTCCCAAGGAGAGGAACATTAACTGGGAAGTGTATGGAACAGCTGAAGTACAAATGAATTCTCCTTTCTAAGTCCTCCTTTCATGAGGATGGTTGTCATTGCTGTTCATGTTGGCTTCAGAGAATAAGGTCCACAGCTGAGCTCACACAAACTTTCCAGCTACGCTCATGTTGAAGGTTTTCTTTTCTGGTCTGGGGTCCATTTTCATCAAGGAAACTATTTAGGAGGATTGAAAGGAAGATAAACAAAGCCATCTGCAATTTCCCTTCTCTGTTTTCTGATTTTATAAGTTCTTTCACAAGGTCTTATTCTACTAGTTTCTATGATTAGGTTGGAAATTACAGATTGAGAGAAAAACCCTGAAGAATTGTGTGACTTTTATTCAATTATGCATATAGTAATATCAATTGTACAGGTTTTTTTTTTTGACAGTAACTTGTTCTGTAGCCCAGCCTGGAGTACAGTGGCACTATCATGGCTCACTGTAGCCTTGAACTCCTGGGCTCAAGTGATCCTCCTGCCTAACCCCCCTGAGTAGCTGGGACTACCAGTGCACACCACCATGCTCAGCTAATTACTTTTCTCTCTCTCTTTTTTTTTGTTTTTTTTGGCAGAGACAGGGTTTCACTATGTTGCTCAGGCTGGTCTCAAACTCCTGGCCTTCAGCTATTCTCATACCTCATCCTCCCAAAATGCTGGCATTACGGGAGCAAACCATTATGTTCAGCCCAATGATACATTTTTGTACATGTTTTAAGTGCATTATTTTTGCATTTTTAATTTTTATTTAATAGTCTGTTTTCCTCAGGGTAAAATGTCAAATGAAATATAATAAGAGCTTTCTCTTTAGGAGAAATATTCTGCACAGGATCCTGAGATGTGAAGTATGAGAACAGCCTTCGACTTAGTCTAGGGGGCCTCTGGTGGGTAGCACCATACGGAGCTCATGGTGAGCACCAAAAAAGCAGTGAATGCCTGAAAACCATACAGAATGTTTTGTGAATGAGCTTCCTTCACCCAGGGCATATTTCATGGCTTTCATTAGAATTTCAGAGCAATCTGAGACACTCAAAATTTAAAAACTACTAATCGAATACTTTGGATTTGCAGATGAGGGCTCCAGACTCACAAAAGGTTGAGTGATGAGTTAATGTCACAGTGGACGTGGGATTCCGTATTGTCACTAGACTCGTCAATGTGCCGTAGACCTAAGGACGTACCTCTACCAGCAAATGTAGGGGCATTGAGAGTTAGAACAATCTGTGCTATGTCTCCCCATTTTAGCTGGAAAGCGTTGAGCAAGTTCACCTAAAAGCCTCAGTTTTCTTGTTCTGTGAGTGAATATAACAATGATTGCACTCACATCCAAGAGTTGCTGTGACAATAAAAAAATACACGGTGTGTGAAAACAGACATAAGCTTCCAAGTCTCGAGAAAAGATTTATGAATCATCTTGGTAGTTTTCAGACCCATTGAAATATGAGAAAACTGAGGCTCCAAAGGATATGTAACCAAGTCCGTGCATCTTCCAACCCTGAGCCACAATCCTTTGCAGCCAGCGCTAAGCTGTCCCTGTTTATTTAATTCACTTCTATTTCCCCAGGAAATAGTATTGCTCACTTCATTAAAGAGAGCGGAGAAAGGATTCTGGCACACACACACTCTTTAACATGTGTTTTTTGTCCTTATCTTATTGACTCAACATGCAGATATCCCTGCCAGAAATGTCCAATTGTACCTTTGTCTAAAGAAGATTTTATATTGATCTTCATCTAATTAGCTAGTTTGAACTATGGTTTGTGTCATGATTCCTGTCTTGATCTAATTAGCTACTGCAGTTGAAGCAGCATGGATCTGAAATCATAATTGCTGGTGTGCAGAAGGCTTTCTTGTGCAGGTCTATGTGCTAGATGGAGGCATTTCTAAGCATTGCAAACCATCAACAGCTTACACTGTGCCTGCTAAATTGGCTCCAAATTCTAGAAATGCGTTTGAATTTGACACCAGAAATATCCTGGCATTCAAACCTTGGTGCAGTCACATCTAGCTTTGTGACCTTAGGCAACAGCCTTAATCTCTCTAAACCTCATTTTCCTTATCTGCAGAATAGGCAAGGCTCTGAGGATGAAGGATGAGATAGCTGTCTGGGGAGCTACATACAGACACAGCACTAGCTTGGTACCCAGGCAAATGGGAGGTCAAACCTTCTGTTTTCCTTCCCTTCGTGTGCATTCGAAGGGAACGCACACGGCAATTTTGGCTGAGAAAATAGATTTCCTCTTCTCTGTGCCATTTCCCACTAAGACGCAGACGTTCTCTTCTCCACTTCCCATTCTGACATTTTTCCCTCCCTCTCTCCCTTCCTTCCTCCTTACTTTCCTCCCTCCTTTCCTTCCCTCCCTCCCTTCCTTCTTCCCTTTTCTTATTTCCTTCCTTTGGTTTTGAATTTCACATGGAATTCCTTGAAGTGTATTCACCAAACATGACCAAGGAAAGCCAGACAGGGAATGGCATGTGGTCCCACTTTGGAGGAGGGTAGAAGTGAGTTATGTCTGAGGCTTAAGGAGAATGAAAGCAAAACCAGAGAACTATTAAAGCCTGCAATTTGACGAAATGGTAGAAAACCTAAGTCCAGATAGGAGTGTGCCTGTGAACCTCAGTGTGTGGAGTAAGAATGAGCAGGACTCCAGGGGCTGAGGACGGACAGATGGAGCATGGCTGGGTCTCCCCAGCTCCTTCCTCATGGCCATAATTCTCCCTGGGGGGAGTTTTAGTGACTTGTGACTTTCTTGGTTGGACAAAAATTCCTATAGGTTATTCTGTAGTGTGAGCACTTAGCCTGAATTCATTTTCTTTTTTCCTATGCTACTGTTCTGGGGGCCCTGGAGCCTTATAATTAATTAATGGTTAGTGCTGCCTTTGAAATTCAGATTAGCTTTCCTACAGGTTTACACTTTAGAGTCTAGAAAGCTTTCTCTTTCTCTTTCTTTTATTTATTTATTTATTTATTTCTTTTTTTTTTGCCTATGCTGCTTTATCATCAGGTCTTGAAAATAGCAGGTTGGCATTTATTTTCTAGCTTTAAAGATGAGTTTTGAACTGTGGTTTACTTTTCCGTGGGAGCCTGCAGGCTTTGCATATGTGCGAAGCAATCCCATGTGGTTGTAGAACCACAGTTTCAAAGGCTACCGAGCTCTGTTCCCAGAGCTCATAGCTATGAAGTTGTCAGGAAAGCTCTTATAGTGAGGAAGCTGTCCCATCTCCTTCTGTGGTTGTAGGATGAAATTAATTAATTTTGAAGAAATATAAATGTCATAGCTTACCATTATAATCAGGACAAACATTAATATCAGCTTCCTTAATCACCCCTAACCTAACTCTAAAGAAAATCTTTGCAGAGTTGAATTTGTGGGATATGACAAATTTCTAAGAACACAAAAACACATAAGTTGACATTTAAAAATTTTTTTAACCATTTTGATACAACTTCAACTGACTTCCAAAATCTTCAGAGCTAAGAATGTAGTGGAACCAAATTAAAAGCACAGATATTGCAGCTTGCAGATAAGTCTTCTTTTCAGTAATGTGCTATTTTTGTCTCCTTAAAAAATCACACAGTCTATAAATTTAGAGAGTAGAGTTTATTTCTTGTAAAGGGTTATAGCCTGCAAGGTTGCATCCCGCATGCTGGGAAGTGTAGCTTCTAGGAAAGATCAGAGACAGGCACTTCAGAGGAGAAGAGGTTGGGACAGGAGCTGGAAGCTGAACTGATTGGCTAACATACATATTCAACAGGTTAAAGGAAGGGCCATGGATATTCATGAAGGTAGTCCTAATGCATTCACACCAAATAAACATGCATGTTACGTACAAGCCACGTTTACCTTGGGGAGTAGACTTAATATTTAAATGTATTTTAATTAGACCTCATATGTTGAAAGGTCATTTGAGGACGCAAAGGCATTTAAGTGGGCAGCCTCTGTAAACCAGCCAGAACTAGCCCATGGTTGGTGGTCTTCTTATCAGGAGAAAGTGATTTAAATCAGTCTCCTGTCCAACCAAAGCCGTAGTTACAGCAGGTGGAACAGGGGTCTCAGTGTCTCATGGCCGGGGAGGTGCAGCTGCTTCAACATGGCTTATCTCGAGGCCAGTGCTTGTTTAGCTGTTAGAGAAAAAGAAAAAAACCTGTGGCAATTGGAACAGACTTTATGCCTTACGTCTGTGTGCCTGACTTAACCCTTGCCTGGCATGGCTTGTTTATAATTTGGTATCTTACAGTCTCAAAGAGTTTGTTCTTTCAGTCTTTTGGTCTCTATTTTGAAATTAACACTGATCAGTTTGGGGTTCAAACTGCAAAATGGAGGGGGTATAATGAGGTGTGTCCAGCTTCCTGTCTAGTCATGGATGTGAATTCACTTTCAAGGTTTCTCTGGGGTCCCCTTGGCAAATAGGGGATCCGTTCAGTCAGTTGTGGGGGGTTAGGATTATATTTTTATATATACTTTATATATATAATATCATACATATTTTATATTAGATTTCTATTATCTCTCCAAGCTGCCATATGGCTCACATGGCATCTTCTGAAAAGCCTTCTTATTGCAAAGTTAGTAAGGAGTGGAATTTGGGGCAAGTGAGGCACAGCTCACTTGCCCCAAATACCTTTACACACTGGAAATTACCACCACGAATTTCCTTCATTGTGCTAATTTTGTGTCTCCAGGAGGAACAGGCATATCAGCACATTAGAACCCATGGGCCGTCAAATTCATAGGGATGAGGGATCAAGACGGCAGAAAGAGTTTAATGGCCAAACTGTCTCCCACCCCAAACTTTGTGAAATGACAAAAGTGTGGTATTTAAAAAGAACATATTAATTCTGGGAAATAAGAAAAAATGGTCTTTAATTGTAGATTGTGTGAAAGTTTGAAAAACTCTAGAAACTAGAGAAAAGAAGGGACTGTATAAATAAGAGGCAGAAAACCACAGTCAAACACACACAGCCCCTGGCTCCTGGTATGCCTTTGATTACACACGTTCCTGCACTTCACTGCAGGCTCTTGGGGTGGGATGTGTACTCTCCTCACACTTGTGTCTTCATTTGTTAGCCCTTCACCTCCACAGCACTCCACAGTGCTTGGAAGTTAAAGTGAATAAACACTTTCTCAAAATTTGTCCAAAGCTCTCCTGAATACTTACCTCAATCCTTTCTCCCTGGAAACTGTGTAGTGGGGTTTCCCCTAAATTCAGCTTAGATTTAAAAAAGTCTAGTCATGAGTCTGTACTTTCTTAAGAATTTTCTTTTCTCTTTTCTTTCTTTCTTTTTCTTTCTTTCTTTTTTTTGAGACAGGGTCTCCCTCTGTCGCCCAGGCTGGAGTGCAGTGGCGTGATCTTGGGTCACTGCAACCTCCCCCTGCCAGGTTCAAGTGATTCTCCTGCTTCAGCCTCCTGAGTAGCTGGGATTGCAGGAACGCGCCATCACAGCCTGGCTAATTTTTGTATGTTTAGTAGAGATGGTGTTTCACCATATTGGTCAGGCTGGTCTCAAACTCCCAACCTCAGGTGATCCATCCTCCTTGGCCTCCCAAAGTGTTGGGATTAAAGGTGTGAGTCACCATGCCAGCCTACTTTCCTAAGAATTTCCTAAAGCTCTTTTTTCTTGTATTGGCGGTTGGAACTTTGGGTGCGATAAGTTATTTAGAATCCGAAAGCTAATACAGAGGGCTAGTAGTAATGGATGTGAAGCTTACTTTGAAACAGATATCAATAATCTCTATTTTGCAAAATAATCTGACATGGTTCCTTGATTTCATGATCTATGTAAGTTTTGCAAAATGCATCCCTGGTGTTCAAGAGGCAACCAAATTACCTGCATTAGTTGCACACTTACTGCATGATTGATAATGTGCTACTTGGAGAAACAAAACTTAACTACTGGTAAATGAAGATGAGTCTGCTCTAACTGCAGACTAGAAGTTCCACAGAACATTTCAATATCAAAGTATCTTCAAATCATCTTGGCCATCTCCCAAGTTCAAGTGCTGCCCTGGATCACAGGGTGCACCTGCGCTGCCACCAGCCTATTCCTTCTCTCTGGTTCCATGGCATAGCTCAGTATTCAGGGTGGCATCACCCACCTGACCATCTGTGAATTCTTCTAGATTATGCCCTCTGCCCATTCTTCTCTCCCAGCCATCACCAGCTAATGCTCCTTCCTTTAAAAAACCTTCCCATTTTCATGTCTACCACTGTTGTACATCAGACCACATCACTTGCTCAGACCATTTTGAGAACCAGTTAACGTGTTTCCCTATCTTTCTTCTGGCCCCTTAAATTAATCCCCCAAACTGCATCCTGTATAATCCTTCTAAGATGCAAATGTGATTTAAAATTATGCAGTGGCCAGTCATTGCTCTGAGGGTTAAGTCTCTGACTTGGTCCCATCACCTGCTGTAACCCATCTTGATTTTCACACTTCAGTTAACACTAAATTGTATTCCCCCTCCCCCACCACACACACACACATGCACACACAATTTTATGCCCCAGTGCCTAGCTCTTGCTCCCTTTATCTAGAATTCGTAGCCTTCCCCTGTGTTTTGTTTTCTGTTTGAGTAGGGGTTTCATTCTGTCTTCCAAGCTGGAGTGCAGTGACACAATCATGGCTCACTCCAGCCTTAAACTCTTGGCCTCAAGCGATCCTCCCACTTCAGCCTCCTGAGTTATTGGGACCACAGATGTAAGCCACAACAGCCAGCCCCTTTTGTTAATATTTACAAATTCGATTTCCTCCTTAGAGACTCAGATTTCATGTTCTCTCTTCCAAGAAGCCTTCTGTGAACCAAGATAGGACAACAGCCCCTTGTCTGAGTTTTCATAGTGCCTGGCTTAATTGGTTACTTAACATTTGTCATTGTATTATTGAATTATTTCTTTCTTCTTTTGTGTCCTGCAGTTCACTGTGAACTCCTCATGGAGCCTGGCTGATTTTTGCTTATTTGGGAATTTCCAGAACCTATCGTACTGCTTGGATGAAAGATACTCTAAATATTTTGCTGAACTAAAGTAAATTGATTTTTTTGAACAAGTGTCATACCTGGATGCACCTCGTTTTGTAATGATGGAAGTAAACTCGAATGCAGGCATCATTTCACTTGCTCTTCGCACAGTGCTGTGAAATGGAAAGATGGTTTCTTGGTTTGAGGGAAGAGGGCTCTGAGAATTCAGAAGCAAATGTAGGATTTTAGCATCAACTTGTCAGACTATAGGCCAGGCGCTTATCTCACACCAATAAGAATGGCTCTTATTAAAAACAAAAAACCAAAAAACCAGCAGATGCTGACAAGGTTGCAGAGAAAAGAGAACGATTATACACTGCCAATGGGAGTATAAATTAGTTCAACCATTGTAAAATGTAGTGTGGCAGTTCCTTAAAGAAATAAAAACAGAAGTACCATTCAACTCAGCAATCCCATTACTGGTTATACACCCAAAGGAATATAAATCATTCTACCATAAAGACACACGCACATGTATGTTCACTGCAGCACTATTCACAATAGCAAAGATATGGAATCAACCCAGGTGCCCATCAATGGTAGCTTGATAACAAAAATGTGATACATACATATACCATGAAATACTACACAGCCATAAAAAAGAATAAGATCAAGTCCTTTGCAGGAACGTGGATGGAGCTGGAGACCATTATCCTTAGCATACTAATGCAGGAACAGAAAACCAAATACCACATGTTCTTATTTCTAAGTGGGAGCTAAATGATGAGAACCAATGAACACAAAGAGAAGAACAACAGACACTGGGACCTACTTGAGGAAGGAGGATGAGAGGAGGGAGAGGAGCAGAAAAAATAACTATCAGGTACTATGCTTAGTACCTGGGTGATGAGATAATCTTTACACCAAACCCCCATGACATGAGTTTACCTATATAACAAACCTACACTTGTAACCCTGAACTTAAAATAAAAGTTAAAAAATATAAAAATAAAAAATTTCAAAAAGTAAATAATTTACGTTAAAAATAATAACCCCATGAGGTCGTTTCCCATTACACAGGTGAGGAGACTGAGGTGCAATCTTGCCCAAGGCCACCAAACCCATGTATGCCAAAGCTGGACACAAACCACAGCTCTATGCATTTCATTTCACCAACACACATCTTTCATACACTTCTCTCCCACAGAGTGTATTGCACATTTAGCGAATAAGTTTAACAACTTCATCCACACTATCAAAGCCAAGAAGTTTGACTGGCTTGTGTTCCTTTGTGATAAATTTAATAAATTATATATATATGTATACAAATAGAAAGCTGACCAGCACGAGAAAAAAATGCAACTTTCAAATCACTCCACACAGGGCTATTTCCCAGCGACTGTGGAAGCCATCCCTCCAACATGCCCTTCCTACTGATGATTTCCTCCCACAGGCAATAAGTAATCATTCCAGGACATCCTGATGGTATCTGAAGCATGTGACATGTCATTATGCATATCGCCGTTAGCCTCCAAATGCTGGGATAGAAAGTGATGTGTAATTTCATTAATCAGGGTTTTGCTGGTGTCTGTGGTTTGGTGCCATTTATTATTTGGATACAGTTAGAATTGCAAAAAAGAAATCTTTCTCATAATCAAAAAACATGAATTGAGGGCCAAGCTGTGCCTAGAACTGTAACAGGAGCGGAATAGAACAGTCAAATGAAAGAGTGTCTAGGATCTTTAGTTTAGTAATTGGTCAGAGTGGAAACTACTAATCTGGGTGACTATATAGAGACTTTAACAATAACAAAACACATTTCCCAAATAATCAATGCATTACATAGTAATCACAGGTTCATTCCAGTATGGAGTCTGCCCTCTGTATCCATGGGTTTCACATTTGTAGATTCAACCAACTGTGGATTGAAAATATTAGGGGAAAATTACATTTGTATGGAAAGTGTATATTCTTTTCCTTGTCATTATTCCCTAAACACAGCAGTTTAGCAACTGTTTACATAGCATTTACATTGTATTAGGTATTATAACTAATCTAGAGATGATTGAAGGATATGAGAGGATGTGCAAATGCTATACCACTTTATGTCAGGGTCTTGAACATCTGTGAATGTTGATATGGGGGTTTGTCCTGGAAGCAATCCCCCACTGATACCAAGGGTTGACTCTATTTACAAGTGGTCTGTATTGGGGAGACTGAAGAAAATTGCTTGAATTTTTAGGGGGCTGAGCGGGGTTGTATACATCATAGTTCCCTCTGGTCCCATCCGTGCATCTTAGTCATGCAAGTGCGTCTGTATTTATTCGCTCACTGGGCCCTCAGAACAGTCTTAAGATAGAGACAAAGCATAGATTACTATTCCCTCTGTTCAGATGAGGAAAAGAAAGACCTAGCAGGGGTTAAGCTATTTGCCCAGACCATGGAAAAGTGTGTGCAGAGCCACATTGAGAAACCGTGGCTTGTGACTTCTCTGAGTACATTCTCTGCATCCACATGCTGGCTTCAGCTCCCAATGAAATGCTCACGGGTGACAGGTCACAAGGAAGTTTCTAAATTACAGAGGAAATGCAGGGCACATCTCTGAAAAATCAGAGAGGACCTTCATCCGGCTCCACAGGGAGCCAACCCTTCCGTCACATGGCCAGCGATGGCCATGCTGGAAGCTGGAGAGATACCTCCTTTCTCATGAAAGATCAGTGAAGAGCATCGCTAATGTCCGCTGTGGAGAGGGTGCGCCTCCTTCAAGGAGTCCTGGGAGCCCCAGACAACAATTTAAGATCACTGGGGTTGAAAGAAATAACACGTAGACATATGTGGGGTACCACTGTGAAGAAAAGGCCGCAGCCTCTAAACGTTAGATTATGACTACTGCTGTTTTCTCTAAAGTCTAATTCAGGAAAAAGATGTGGACGGTGCCACTGGCCAGAGCGCGGTGACCACTATGTTTGACTCCTAAACCTGTCAGTCCCGTCTCTGTCACAGATGAGAATTGCACAAACACTCCCTGCTCACCCTTTCCAGTGCTTGCTCTATGGTCCGGAGGGAAGGAACACAACAAGCTTTGAAAAAGCAACTTGAAGGGAAAATGGATGGTATGAATAGGAAAATCGATGAAACACGCATTTGAAAACAAGGAAACTTACGATATTTGTTTAGAAGAACTGAGGAAAATATAAACATCGAAGTTCTTATTTGTTCAAGGAAAAAACTATTAATTTTTTTGCTATGTTTTGTTTTTACTTTTTAAAGTATGTCATACAAAATCTATTCATTTTGAAATTTTGATTTTTGCATTGGTAGTTACTGACAACAGACTAGGATTTTTGTTTGTTTTGTTTTATACACCTTTATAAGACTCCATTAAGTTGAAAGTCCTTCTAGAAAACTTTGTAGGAGACAGATATCCTACGAGTGCCTAACAGGCAACAACATCAACTTTGCCTAATCATTGTTAATGAGATTTCATTTATACCAATATGATAATAATGTTTTAAATAAGCATGTGTGTTTGCATATATACATACAGATTATATATAGTATCTTATAGATAGATGATATACCTAGGCACACACATATATCTACACACACCGATATTTGCATATCTATATGTGTCTGTGTTTATATATCTTTCTATCCAGTTTTATTTTAGAAATATTAATATTATGCTTATTACATTTAGTATTTCCAATAAATATTTTCCAAATATTATTAAAATTTGCCAAAACATTTTAAAAACTTCATAATATTACATAACAGAATTATTTGTTGTTTTTCATGTCATCTTATCTCATGCTGATATTTATGCCTTGTTTTTTTTTTCTATTTTGTCTTTTGCTTTATGGGTTATGTTTTGATTGCTGTTTCTTATTCTGTGATTGAGAAGATTTAAATACTATCTGAAATGCTACTAGTAGTTATATTTAAGTATCTCAAACAAATTTTAAAACTATATTCCTGTTGTTAGTATTTCACAATTATATTTTTTCTTGAGTTTTCTAACAATAAGGCAGGAGTTGGGTGCCTTAGTTCATTCAGGTATCACCGCAAAATATCATGGCCTGGGTGGCTTGTAAATAGGAGGAATTAATTTCTCATAGTTCTGGAAGCTAGAAGTGTCTGATCAAGGTGCCAGCAGATGTGGTGTCTGGTGAGGAGCCATTGATTGGGTCATAGATGTCTCCTTCTTGCTATGTGCTCACAGGGTGGAAGAGATGAGCTAGCTTTCTGGGGCCTCTATAATAAGGGTGCTAACTGCATTCCTGAGGATTCCACCCTCATGACCTCATCACCTCCCAAAGTCCCCGCCTCCTAATACCATTACCTTGAGGGATAGGGTTTCAACACAGAAATTTTAGAGGACAAACACATTCAGAACATAGCACTCCCTTTTTACTTCCTGTTACAATTTCTATTAATACAGTCTGGTGTTTTGAACTCAGGTTAATACTATTAATTTTTATTTCTATATATTTTTATCAAGAATAAGTTTGGGACAATTGTAGTTGCTTTTATAACCAGATGCATGAACTCTAAGATTTATGTTGAACTATTTTAAATGCTCAGGGGAATTCTTATCATTTTACTTTTCCATTCTTGAGTCTTTAATTTGCGTATTTATCTTGCAATTGAAGCATACCTTCAAATACTTTTAACAAATGATTTATTGTTGTTATTTGCTTGAGCTCTTGAATAGTACAGCATGGTTTCCTGTTGTCTGTGTATGTGATTTTCATTTTTCATAATTAGCCTGGATTTTAAATGGTGGGAGGTTTCTTAGGTGAAAAGGTTAGGTAGACCATCTAGGCAGAGGGACAAAATCTATAAAGGTTAAGAGGTAGAAAAGAAGCTTTGTATTGTGGAAAATGGCAAGGATCTGGGGTGAGTTGCACCGGGGCACTCAGAAAGGCATGGTGTGAAATGAAAATGGAAAGTTGTTTGTGGTGGTCTTTTGCTCATGGTTACAGGATTTGAATTTCAGCCTTTTAATTTCTTTTCCCTTTAATTTCTGAGGGTTTTTTTTTTTGGTTGTGCTTTAATAAAAATATACGTATATAGTAGCAGTAAATGTCTAATTGATACAAAGATATGTATGCATGTATGGAGTATGTACACTCAAAATATTTTTAACAATAATATTACATTTTAAAAACAATAGTGATACCAAATTTTAAAAACTATAGTTGTATTAGTTCATTTTCACACTGCTATAAAGAACTACCCGAGACTGGGTAATTTACAAAGAAGAGGGGTTTACGTGACTCTCAATTCAGCATGGGTTGGGAGGCCTTAGGAAATGTACAATCATTGCGGAAGGCAAAGGAGAAGCAAACACCTTCTTCATAAGCCGTCAGGGGAGAGAGACAGAGAGAGCACAGGGGAAACTGCCACTTTTAAATTATGAGATCTCATGAGAACTCCCTCACTATCAGGAGAATAGCATGGGGGAAGCTGCTCCCATGATCCAATCACCTCCCACCAGATCCCTCCCTTGACACATGGGTATTACAATTCAAGATGAGATTTGGAAGGGGGCACAGAGTCAAACCATATCAATAGTGATGGCAAATTTTGCAAAGTTGTTAGTGATGGAATTCAGGAACAGGAGTACCAGGACAAAGCCTGTGTGTAGAAAGCACACTCTATGGAGGAGGAAGTCTTTGGGAAGAAGACCAGAGGCAGCGAGACACCGGGAAACCTTTAGAGGGGGAAGGTTACGGACTCGTGCCATTTCATTAGCAAGAACTCACTTACAGCTGGGTCAGCCCCGTGGCAGCATTTCAAGGAGAGTTAAGCATGTAACCATTAAAAATAACACAAAAGGGGGCCTTGAGGGCCCACATGGCACCTCCAGAAGCCTGTTCCTCCCAGCAGCTGTCACCCAGCTAAAGTGCATTTTCCTCTCCTCTTTGCAGGGTGACCTTGTGGAGGTCACCGCCAGAGGAGTTTCCGGAAGCCCAGCGGAAAGCATTGTAAGGGAAGTGAGCAGCAGTGATGAATTATATAAACAGTTTGAGGGAAGACAGGTAAAGGCTACATCAGGCACAAATCAGCTTGGACTGCCAGTGGGGATTTGCTGGGCGCTAGCACTTGCTGCAGCCTTTAAGGTGAGGCCGACAGTGGACCGTGGCTTCAACCTTTCTTTCAGTGGCCTCTGCAGCTGTATTTAGTTACCCGCAATGCCTTCTGCCTGGTGCCTGCAGGAATCTCACTGCAAGAAGCTTATCCTGCCCCTCTGAGCTCCCATGTGGCTGTGCTGTGCCTTGTCCAGCTGCTCTGGTGACAGTGACTGCACCTGCGGTCACCTGCCTTGAGATGAGGATAGTACAGGTTTTTTTCCTTAGAACCAAGCTGAGCACAATTCTCCTACTCTGCTGGTGGAGGCATAAATTGGTCTAAAGCTTTTGAAAACATAGAAGAGACTGTGTTAGTTGGCTTGGGTTACCCTAACAAAATACCATGGACTAGGTGGCTTAAACAAAATAAGTTTATTTTATGTTTTAGTTCTGGAGGTTAAAAGTAAAAGATCAAGGTGTTAGCAGCATTGATTTCTTCTGAGGCCTCTCTCCTTGGCTGGTAGGTGTCTATGTTCCCTCTGTGCCCTCCTGTGATCTTCTGTGTGTGTGCGTCCTAACTTCCTCTTCTTACAATGACACCAGCCATATTGATTAGAGTCCCACTCTCATGACCTCATTTTACTTTAATTGCATTTTTAAAGTCCCTATCATCAAATACAGTCACATTTTGAGGTGCTAGGAGTTAGGGCTTTAGTATATGAACTTTGGAGAGGACACAATCTAGCCCTTCACAGTAGCTATTTAAAGCTCTGAAGATATTCATTCTTTTTGTCCAAGCAGGCTTACTTCTGAGAATTCATTGTATTGAAAAAATCTAAAATCTAGAAAAACTTTAGGCACAAAGATATTAATAAAAGCGTTGTTTATGTACTATAATGGAGGGTTCACTAGCATTTTGGTTGGCTGCCCCTCTCAAGAAAGTAGTCAGTGTCAGGAGTTCCCTTCTTTGGAAGAGGAAGATGAGGAGACAAGATGGATTAAGTAAAGGAGACAACAATGTAAGCTGGAGATCAGTACTGGAAAAACAAAATGGAGTTTGAGCAGCTCTGTGAGTATAAATTTTGAGTGAACAGAGAACATTCTAGAGAAGTTGTTTTCTTGAAGTCATACTGTGCAATGTCCTCTATAAACCTGTTGCTATACTCCTAAAGGAAATCTTCAGTAAAGATCCATGTTTTCATTGAGACTTGGTCAGTGGACTGAATCCTTGGTGTATGACCATGGCTGAAAAATCATAAAGTGATTAAGCCTCTAAAGTTTATTCTTGCAGTTTAGAAAGACGAAACCCAACATAAGTGCCCAATTTATAACGCCATTAGGAAAAATGGTTCATTATAGTATGTGTGTTTCAAACACTGACTTAAAAAGCATGTAAAATTTAGTCCTTTCAAGAGGTTGACAAATAAGGAAAGAGATCAGGTTTGTAGAAATTGCCACTTTTGTAGCTAAATGTCTCACAAGCTTTCGGGATGAGGTAAGATGCCATAAAAATAATTTAATAAAAATATTAATGTTTAAAAAGAATTTAACATGACCAGAATCATTTCATTAAACTAATATGTATAATAGGAGAAAAGTACTTGGGAAATTATTACTATAATGAAAAATAATATGCACAAAACTTGGAAGAAAATAAATTCAACCACCACCAGCTATTTCCTTTCAATAATGAGATGCTCATCATTTCCTTTACTCTCATTTTACGCATGTGTTGGCTTTTTAAATACTTTATTTTGTTCTTCAACAACAAAAATTCTATTAAGTGCCAACTATAGACAGTTCTGAATCTGAGTTCAAACAATACAACATGACACATCTAATTTAATTCAATTAACTTTCATTACTGCTAAGCACTGTTTGAGCTAGAGCTCAGAGATAAGACGTGCTCTGATGCTGTAGGGAAAATCAGGCATGAAAACATTTAAGTAAAGTGCAAGGTTGCTTGGAAAAAACATGTTAAATAGTGAGAAGAAAACTGTGCTGCAGACGTATTGAGCTAGTAATTCAGACAAAGGGAAAGTCATGGACAGGGTAAGGGGGGCATGTGACTGGGCATTAAAATATAAGAGGTATTAGGTGCAAGAAAATTTATGAGAGGACATTCTAAGCAAAAACATCCTGCATAGGCAAAGGTCTGAAATAATATGTTATGCTTACTAAAGGGTGGTAGGTTTTTGTTTAAAATGGGTGGCAGGCTGGCCAGTGTGGGGCTTGATGGTGAGGACCCAGTGGCCACATTGAAGACTTAGTACTTTCTTGGGAAGCAGATGAGACAACTGTAGAGTTTTGAAGATGTCAGTGCCTCCCTGTATTTTAGGAAGACTACTCTAACTTGAGTGTAGGGAGAGAGAAAAATAAATAGACACACCAAGAAAGGGTTAGATTTCTTCTTCCTACATTCAGCAACAGCAAAGACATACATACCCTACTGAGATGTGTCCAGGTAGGAAATCTGAATATTTGGAGTGATTCTCTCTGTCTCTGTGTCTGTCTCTTTCTCTCTTCATCCTCTCTTCTCTCTCTGGGAGTATGTTGCTGATATTTTTGGTAAATTAATTTATAAAATGTTGGTTTTTAGTGGGGAAATCAAGTTGCTGATATCAAGTGTGCAGGCCAAGTGAGGAGGTGGTGGCATTTTCTTGACCTCTAGAAATTAATTAGTCTTCAAAGAGGTGAGGTTCTCATTTCGGCAATCTGCCTAACACCATTGATGTTTATCTTGCAGAATTCCAAAAGACATATTTTCCAAAAACCTAGGAGTACACTGAGCTCACTACTGTGGAGGGCCACCTCATTTTAGGCCACACATGGCAGTTTTGCGCTCAGTCACTTCTTTCATTCAACTTTCTTTGCCCCGACACTTTGTCCATCTCCAGAAATAAAGTTCACTCTGAAAGGACTGATGTTTCTCCACAGGCAGAGGAGCCTGGCAACCATGTCCCAAGTTGGAAGGAAGCTCTGAGAACCCTGCTCCCCAGAAATCCTGAGCAAAGGCTGGCTGGCCTACAGGTAGGGGGCACTGGGAAAGACCTGCATGCCTTTGAACAAATCGGGTTTTATATATTTGTTGAAAAATAAGAGACATTTAATTTATAGAGAGTAGATGGGTAAAGTCTGTTGGGTTCCAGAAGAGTTGATGGGTTTAAGAAAAAACAAAACCATCCTATATTTACTATGTGTGAATAGAAATTTAAAAAGTCTTCAGAAGGAAGAAACCCCAGGTAAGGATAATACAGAGACACCAAAAGCCCCAACACCCCCCACCCCGGATGAGATAATAAGTTCCCCTGGAAGCTTTCTCTAGCCTCTTCCAGAATATGAATTTTGCTCTTTTGTAGCATTTATTGCATAGTATGGCAACTTACTGGGTAACACATTTGTCTGCCTAAGAAATTATGAACTTAAAGAGTGGGACAATGAATCTTGTCTCTTTGCAAAGAGGCTGAACTATCTGGCATGTATTAGTTTCATTTAATAAATAAATGAACACAACCAAAGAATGTTTAATTATGGCTTGTGATATATTGCCTTTGTGAATTTGGAAATCCTCAGAACACTCCTAAATTCCACTCTTTTCATCTGTACAACAGAGAGAATAGAAGTACCTTCAAATACTGTTATTTTGAATATAGTTAATTGTTCTTTTCAAGAACACTTTCTAAATGATGTTAGTCATCATGCAAACACATTTTTAATGTTTCTCTTTCTCAGCTTGGTCTTTATAAAAATGCTCCCAGAGCCTAATGATTTTTGTTTTAAGTGCAGACAATATATATGAGAACATGTCAATAGGACTGAAAGTCATTTTATACCCTTGGAAATATTAATAATATATTCCTTATGAAGAAGCATTTTCTTAGATAAAGTGGTAAGTGGTGTTTGAAAACAGAAAGATCAAGAAAATGTCAGGACCAACCAGCAATTATGGTGCTTCTGCCCCCATGTGAGTAGACAAACCCTGAGGTCTGCCAATCTAAAAGCTGAGAGCTCTGTCCCTGAATTTAAAGACCTTTGCTCTTTGAAAACAATAAATGCATGAAAAAAGCAAAACTGTCAAAAAAGGGTACTGGAAATCACTAGAATGGCATGTAAAAGCATATAATTCTTGTGCTCTCACATTCTTGGCCAACAGGGTAAACAATTTAGAACCTCTAACCTTTCTGAAAGGTCTCATGATAAAGTGGTCTTCTTATTTGTACAGAAGTCACAATTCAAATAGTTTAGGACATATGTGTACCTTTCAATGGTATAAGTAATCATGTCAGAAAGAGGAATCTGAAAAATGTGTCTAAGTTAAATTTGGTGACAGAGTTCTCAAATGTGAGAGGTATATTTTATTTGCTGAATGTTGAAAATATAGCCTTGAACTAGCTAATGAAAGGGTTTTATTTAGAACAGCTCAGAGTTTGGTATCACACATTTGTCCAGGAAAATGTGCTTGAAAATTATCCCTATATTTACCTCAAACTATATATTAGATTAAAAGACAGTCATTACTAAAAGGTTTTAGATACATAGAATTTTCCAATATGAATTTCTCAATATAAAAAGTTTTATATTGTATTTCTGATTACCATCCGAGAACACTATTTGGCCAATCTGAAAAGACAATCTCTGCCTCACAGACACTACATCAGTAGGGTTTTGGATGCTGGAAGAAGATAATTCCAGTATTAGAAATAAAGCATGGAAAACATACTGTCTCCTGAGCCCCAGATCTAGTGTCTAGGATTGGGTGTGAATCTCGGATCTAAATTGCCATGACAACCTCGTTTCTTATGCATTATCTTGAGGTAACTGGGATTCAAACTTAATGGGATTTATAGGTTGAAACTATCACCTTATATTAACCCAGAAATAAATTGCTAGGTAGTGTGGAAAGAGCTTTGCTATTTAATATTGAATGCTTATGGAGTCTAAGGCTCTCAACTCAATGTAGGCGTGGCAACCACTGTCCTGAAGAAGGCTGTGTTTCAAACATAGGGTATCTGAAAGTAAACTCTCCATTTTTGCCTCGTTGAGTTGCCATTAGCTGCAGTTGGTATGGGGCATGCATTTCTGCAGACACCTGGCAATGGCACTGTTTACTAAATATGTCCAACCACCTTACAAATATCATCTCTGTCTCTCACAGCAACTTCACAAGTGCTTATAATTGATGAAATTGAGTCCTTAATTTAATCTACTTACTCAGTACACACAGGCTAAAGCCAACTTTTGTTTTTCACTACATCCTGCATCTTATTACCTTGTCTATGCAACAGGACTTCCACCTGTGAGGATTTGAAAAGTGCCTCTGGGTTTGCTGGACATCAGCATCTCATGATAGACTCATGTTCAGTAGAACATCTGAACTGTGCATGCAGCTGCAGAAATTCTCTGCTTTTATTGGGCTCTCTTCCCTTGATTTGCTGAGAATACTGAGGTTTTGGGAACCTGCGGGTTACACCTTCCACAGATACATTTTGTTGGGTTTCCCTCCAGACGTAAGCTCCAGGCTTCACTGATGCCTCACTCTTGCTTGTCTCTAATTGCTGTGGTCTTTTCCAGGGTCCTCAAGGGTGTCTGGCAGGAAGGAAAGATGTGTTTTCCCACTACCCCATCTCTAGCATGGACACAAGTCACTCCCTCATTCTGCTTGACAAAACTGAGGAACTGTAATAGTTAACAAAGCTCTTTAGTAAAAGAATTAGAAACAACCCCCCTCCCACACCCGAACTTAATATCTGTTGACCATTAAAAACAAAATCCAAAAAACCTTGTTAACTGTTGACCATGCCTTTTTTCTGGGAGTTCCCCAATGGCTACTTCTGCTTTGACCCTATACCCCATTGATTGGATTTCTTTCTCCTTGGAACAGAGCCCTCTTCTCCTGGTTTTACTCATTCCCTAGTCCCAGGTCCCTCATACCCCATTTTTGCATCTACCAGGGGAAGAAAGAAAAAAAAAAAAAAACATTTAAGACCAAAATAAAATCTCTACAGTGATGTGTCCTCCCCACCCCAGGGAAAACTTGCTCTGTAAAGTAATTCCTCAGTGTTGTCTCTCTCTCCCTCTTTCTCTCTCTCTCTCTCTCTCTCTCTCATTTCCTTTAAGTTCCTTGTACACTTGGTTTGGGTTTGGTTACTTAAGATCTTTACATAACCTAAAGGCCATGAAAGTATTTTCATAAATGAGACATACTCCCACTAATATAAATTATGTTGTCACCTTCAAAAGCAGACAGTGAAGTTTAAAAAAATAGTTATAATATAATATTCCAACTGTTCTGTAACATATATATCCACCTATGAAAATTGTATTCAAGTATAACAGTATGTGCTTAAGGTAACCACCATCAGCTTTAGGGAAGGTTCTGGAGATGGTGTGTGAAAGCCTGCCTTGTGTAACAGATGACATGTAGCGCTAGTTTTACTAGTCCCTCTAACCCATAAGTAGTCTGTGGAAGCAAGGGTCAAACTTCCAGTTTACACACTGGGAATCTGAAGTTCAACAAAGTTAAATACTATTTCCAAGTCATATGGTTAATAATGTGGTGAATTTAAGCTCTGGACCCAAGTTCCCCAGACTCTGATTATATTGTTCTTTCCGCTGCACAAAGTTCTTAACTCAGAATAACTAGCTGCCAAAAAAATTCTAGACATTAAAGAAGAAGATGGATGTAAATTATAATTGTGGGGATCTCTTGCTTCTCCAAATTTTAGTAGGTAGATGGCTTCCTATTAAGCCAACACAGTGACCCTGGGTGTTACAGATGTTTGGAGGTAAAATAACTGGTGTCTTAGAGATCTGTAAATCTTATTTGAACACTATTTTTTCTGATGCAGGAGCAGTCTAGAGTAAGAGCTGTTTCCTGGCAGAGGATCAAGTATCCAGGTCACATTGAAGAGACATGTGAGGACTCCAATGGAGAACAATTTGAGAGTGAGAAACCAGGTGAGGTGTTTCTCACTCTAGGAAAGTTAGTGAATCTACCATAGCTGGGAGACAAGGGGAATTGTAATTAAGAAAGCCAATATCATGACTGGAATGTTGCAAGACATAGGAAAACTCAGAATATTTTAGGTAATGGAGTTTGTTGGAATATTTTTGGTAATGGGGTTTGTTGAAATATTTTTGGTAATAGGGTTTGTTGGATATTTAGGTGATAGGGTTTGTTTCCCTATTTATATGGGAAAATAGGTAAGAGAAAATTGGCTACATATCTGGGACACAAACTTGAGGACGATTCAGGATGTACTCTCTTGTTGTCCACTGTCAAGGAGGTGACTATGCTTTCTTAGGGCCCTTATTATTTTGTAATGTTAGTCCATTTGTGCTGTTATTAAAAAATGAGTAATTTATAACAAACATGAATTTATTTTCTTCCAGTTCTGGAGGCCAGGAAGTTCAAGATCAAGGTGTTGGCAAGTTCAGTGTCTGCTGAGGACCTGATCTCTCTTCTTTCAAGATGGCATCTTGTTGCTCTTCCCTCCAGAGAGTAGAAATGCTGGAACCTCACATGGAGGAAAAAATGAAAAGGACCAATGCTAGTTCCCTTCAGCCTTTTTATGAACTCACTAATTCCCATTGAGGGCTCCACATACATGACTTAATCACCTCCTAAATGCCTGACTTCCTAATACTCTCATTTTGAAGATTAAGTTTCAACATATGAATTTGGGGGTCATATTCAGAACATAGCACTTATGATACTATCTCAAATCATAGACTGCTTTCTCGGTGGGCATCTATCTCAGTTTCTTTTCTGTTGTTATTACAGAGTACCTGAGCCTGAGTAATTTATAAAGAAAATACATTTATTTTGGCTCATGGCTCTATAGGCTGGGAAGTCCAAGATTGGGCGGTTACATCTGGTTGGCTCCTGGTGCGGGCCTCCTGCCGCATCATAACAAGGTAGAGAAGTGAAAGGGAAGGTGGGCTTGTAGGAAGGGGGCAAAGCATGAAGGGCAGGCTTGCTTTATAGAAACTGGGACACAGCACCCCACAGGATGAGTGTATAAAGGCTAGACAGACAAGGGGATTGTTGTGTTGAACCTGAAAAGTCCCCTCACCTGGCAATGCTCTCTGTTCCCTGTGAGAAGAAGGGGTTTCTTTTCTTCTGGGATGATTCATCCCTTCACCTGTGGCCTTCCCTAGAGCCCATCCTTGTGCCATTCTGCTCTCCAGGCACATCTCTCTCAGATGAATTCCCTCTTCCCTCTTCCTCTGGCCCCTCCTGTTTATTTATCTGTTTCCTCACCACTGTGTAATCAGGTAGGCCCCACTGCTGTGACCTCTGGAATAATGATTGAATCTGCCCTATCCTCTCCACAGTGATGCCTGGGACCCAGCTGAGATCTCCATCATCTCTCAAAACAACTGTGCACTGACCTCCTGACCTAAGCCCAGCCTCTGCCCACTCAGACTGACCTTCACGCAGCTGCACAATGCTGCATTTGGAAGCCGGACCTGACCACATTCGTTTCCCTCTGTTGGTCTGATTGCCTAAAAAATGAAGCTCTGGGATAGGTTGCTTGTCTGACACTGTGTTCCTCTCCTGCTCCTCTTGCCACCTCCCTGGGACTCTGCCCTGCAAGAGCATGCTGCAGCTCTCTGCACATGCCATCAGTCCTGTGCCTTCTCATTTCCGTTAACATTGCCACCTCCTTCCAGAATGCTTTTCTGCTCACATTAACCTGTCTGACTCCCACTTAGACTTTGCTCACAGGGCATCAATTCCAAAATAAATCGTATGCCCTGCCTACCTCTTTCACCTTTCCTGACAAACTAGCTCTAGCTGCTGACTGTAGGAAGCCTGAAAATCAATAACTAGCTGTCTCAGCTGCAAGAAGGGGGATAAGGGTTGGGCCAGGGTATGAGTTATATCAATGGCTTTTTTCTTTCAGAGATTCATGTTCTGGAGAAATGAAAATGCTGTCTCAGTGGAATGTTGATTAGCTGGAGTGGAGACCCAAGATCTCTGTCCAGGCAGGGCCATCAAGTGAGTTTGGGATGAATTTCTTTAATTGCTTCTCTAAGATTGACGCTTGCTGATACGACATTAAAATTTTGACCAAGTGAAGCTTCTCAATTTGTGCACCTGATTCAGGCATGTACAACAAGAAGTCATGATAGGAAAGTGCCCTTGATTCATTTTACAAATAAAAATTCCAAGGGCTGTGATGAGAGTCATTATATGTGCAGACACTTATAAAAAGATATTAAGAAAGTCTCACTTTTCAGTTTATTAAAAATGGAATTGAAATGCTTCTTGGTGAGACATTGGAATCTGAAACCTCAAAATGACCTGCAGAATGCCAAGTACGTAATTCTAGTTTTCAATTCCTCAGGCAGGTGAGTCAGAAAGTCAGAAAATAAACCCATGCTCCCAGAAGTCCAAGGCAGTTCTTTTTTCTGTATTATGTTACCTTTGAGGGTGGTACAGCTGGCTATGTACTGATGAATTAGCCCATTAAAAACTGAGTCATACAGCATAAAATATGGCACAACGTGAGAGTTAGATCATGTTTAGCTTGTCATATACTGACATGCCACTTAATTCCCTGTTTTATAATAAAGATGGAGGGGAACTGACATTTTTTGATTAACTGATGTCCTTCTGTGAACCAGGACTTCTACATAAATCTTCTCTTTTAATCCTGATTTACTTATGGCCCATTTTACAGTTAAGAAAACTGAGGGTTCCCTAATATTTAATGAATAGTGGAACAAAACCAGATTGATTTTGCTCTACAGCCTACACTTATTCTACTGGAAAGCAACACTTCCTTTTAAAGCGGGTAAAGCGGTATTGAAGCAGCTATTTTAAAGGCAATGCTAGCATATTGGTTTTTATTTGACTAAAAAAAGCAGCTATATTTGGCACATTCTCTAAGATATTCCTTAGTAAATAAAATATCTGCTGAGGGAACAATCACTGCTTATCTATTTCATCTTTTTTTTTTATCTTTCTTCCTCTGGCAATAGAACATAGAAGTGCTCTTGGCTTTCCAAAATCTGCACATCTCCAACTTTTCTTTTAGCTAGAGGTGGCCCTGTGATTGATGAGTGACCAGCCATGTGTGGAGAAAAGCAATGTGAACAACTTCTGACTTCGCTGTTAAAGAAAATTGGTCTGTCCCCCATTTCCTTGCATTCCCATTCTTACTGGCTGAAATTCAAAGCTGATAAATGGAGCTAGAGCAGATAGCTGGGAAAATGAGTTGAGGGTCTTACATTAAGACTTGCCAGCAAGAAGAAGAATTTTTCCAGGGTTCCTGACACCGCCAAATTGTTCGATCAGCTCTGAACTCTATACTGAGATTCTTTAAGTATGAGAGACATGAACTTTGACTGGCTTAAGTGAGCTATTGAGGTCTCTTTGCTATTGTGACCTAACTCAGGGGTCAGCAAATAACACTCTGTGCGCAAAATCTGACTACGATCTGTTTTTGTAACTAAATAAAATTTCACTGAAACACACCCATGCTCATTTATTTAGGTATGGCTGCTTTCATGATACCATGGCACATTTGACTACCTATAGACAGTGATATGATGTGGATCTGTGTCCCCACCCAAATCTCATGTTGAAATGTAATCCCCCTGTGCTGGAGGTGGGATCTGGTGGGAGGTGAAATGGGGGCGGTTTCTCAAGAATGGTTTAGCTCCATTTCTCTGCTGCTGTATTCATGATAGTAAGTGAGTGAGTTGTCACAAGATCTGATTGTGTAAAAGTGTGTGGCACCTCCCCCTTCTCTCTTGCTCCTTCTCGGCCATGTAAGACCTGCCTGCTTCCCCTTCACCTTCCACCATGATTGTAAATTTCATGAGGCTTCTCAGAAGCAGATGCTGACATGATTCCTGTACATTCCTGCAGAACTGTGAACCAATTAACTTCTTTTTTTAAAACTAAATTATCCAGTCTCAGGTATTTCTTTATAGCAGTGCAAAAATGGACTAATGCAGACAGTATGGCTGCAAAGCTTAAAGTATATTCTATTGGTTCCTTTGCTGAAAAAAATTGCTGTTTCTTGTTCTAATTAATACCAAAAAACCCCCTAAATTTAATGTGAGGGATGAACTATAAGTGAGTAGAAGGTGTCCTTATTTTGAATGTCACAGATCTGAATTCTAGGCCTAGCCCTGTTTCCAACTAGGTGTGTAATATTGGGCAAATTAGTTCGTCTCTCTGAATTGGTTCATAAGCATGATAAGAGGACAGATAGATTGCCCTTTGACATGTATGCAATAATCGGGCTGTAGCCTGACTTACTCAGCTAGTGATGGTGATGCAAGTCACGTGATTCCCTTTAGCCATCTTTGTGCACCAATACAGCCAAACCTGAGTGATTTCCATCTCCTTCCCTCTCTTCCACTTACTCTTCTTTAATAACACTTAGGATGGTGCCTTTAGAGATTCTGATGAAACGACTCAAATGCTCAACGATATGGAGAAGGACCAAAGGTAATTTTCTTTTTTTAAGCTAACAACCCATTGGGGGATTCTGCTGGCATTTAAACAGTAGTTTTTTCTGGCTTGCCATTTGTCAGCTGGTGCCAAACACAGTAAAAGGTACTGATTAGCTGAAACAAAGCAGATACTCATTAAACACTGCGAGGATGCGCCCTGATGTTGTGGACCAGGGAGGTTTCTGTCTTTTAGAGGGAGATATTGAACAGATCATAGAAAATAATTATGTTTAAGAAAACCAATAATAAAATCTATTCTTACACAATCTCTCTAGAGTAGGAGTGCTTGACTCAGAAATAATTTTAAGGCACCATTTCTATTAGATCACTTAGGAGGGAGTTGAATAGCTAATGCATAAAATAATCTACCATGCACTTTGGGAGGCCAAGGCAAGAGGATCACTTGAGCCCAGGAGTTTAAGACCAGCCTGTGCAACATGACAAAACCTTGTCTCTGCAAAAAATATAAAAAATTAGCTGAACACAGTGGCATGACTATAGTCCCAGCTACTGGGGAGACTGAGGTGGGAGGATGGCTTGCAGTGAGCTGAGATCAGCCACTGCGCTTCAGCCTGGGTGACAGAGCAAGATCCTATCTAAAAAAAAAAAAAAAGAGTATACTATGGAAGAAGAAGGGCAAGTTAACAAATTCAGTTGTTCTTTTATTCTTGTGTGATGTTCAGCACACTAGGTCAGTTAAATTCCCCAGGAGGGTGTAGCCACAGAGGCAGCCCTTTCTGACCCCAGTGGCGGCGCCTTCCTTTCTTTATAGTTACAGCCTTGTTGATGCTCGGGCTTACTCAGGCCTCCTGAGTCTCGCCTTACCAAGTGCAAGGGCAGCTACTACATCAGGTCAGAGAGTTGCCTCCAGATTATGAGAATTTTCTGCTAGAGGCCTGCAAAGTTTCCATCAGCCATAAGGGGAGAAATATACCTTCTGGTCTCTCTCAGTCATGGTATTCTCAGGAAAACGGGAATGATGCCAGCTATTTTAACAGAGAGAATTGTAATAGAAGGAAGTGGCTGAACAGGTATTGAAGGACAACAAAGGCAGAAGGGGATATGGAGTCAACACAGAGCATATTAACCACTGCAGGGAGCAGCTGGCACCTTTAGGGCTGCAGAGGTTGAAGGAAGCCTGGGCTAGATGTCACGTGCAGGTGGGCCCCCAACTGCTGGGAGGGAACACTGACCGACCCAGTAGGTGGTGCATTGCGGCTGATTTTTGGGGTGTTGGAAAAGCAAAAATTGAAATGAGCCCTCGTGCTGCCTGGGGAAGAAGGCTTCCCGGGGTGATGCGGAGAAGGGCATGAAGCAGAAAGAAAAGAGCAGGTCCCTGCTCCTCCGCCACCCCTCCTCTTAGCCCCACATTGACAGAAGCTCACAGAGAAGAGTTCCCAATGGCAGTGGGATATCCTAGGTCCAGACCCAGCATCTGGGTTTTAGGGCTGGGGTTGAGTCTGAGAGACAGAGGCATAAGAACCCACAAGTCCTCCTTCCAGTCCCTTGGCATGTTCATGGCATGTTCAAGCTCCCCAGTAACTACTGTCATTGTTTGCATAATGCTTTGCTCTAGGACAGAACAATCAGGAATGAATAAAAAACTCAAGGGAAAGATATCCACACATAATGACATGACATTCTATAGCACTGGTGTCACCAGCTTTATGCCTAAAGTTTATTATATCCCAAATCACAAACTTTCATTTCATACCTACTATGTACGAGGCACTTAAAGGGTAACAGAGGACATTTGAAATAGATAGGATCCAGATCTTTTCCTTTAAAACTTTGGATTCTATTGAGGAGAATGGAACTGAATTCCATTGAGGAGAGGCAGAAGAAAGGAAGGATCAATCCAGAATGCCCAGCCTTTACGACTTTGTAGAACCACAGGTCTGAGTGAGGCAGGGATTTATTTATTGCTCTTTCTGTCATTTAATAATTATATGATTTGGGAGAATTGCATAACTTTTCTAAGCCTTAATTTTCTTCTCTTAAAATGCAAACCTTAATAGTGCCTTCTTCCTTAGGGTTATTGTATAGATAAAATAATTCATGCAAAGGGGTTAGCATGAAGTCTGACACCAGTGAGCACTGGATACTGTAAGTGTTTCAGTCCCATTTATTCCCCCATTCTTGTATCAATTAATATTTTTTTTACACTCAGATTTACACCCAGATCTCCTAGGTGTCCCTCTTTCCACTTCCCCCATGTGTCGTTAGTTGTTAAGTATGTCACTTCTCATTTAGAAATCCCTGGCCCCTTCTTCACTCCATTGGCCAGAGTCTCAATCATATCTTCCTTCTCCACCCTGATGGAGGACTGCTAGCCCCACGCCCACTCCTTACCCTTCCTCAATCCATGCTTTCCCCTGCCATCACACTGACCTTTACAATTGAAACCTGAACCTTTCCTTCCTGTGCTTTGAAACATTCTGCAGTTCTCCACCACAATACATCAAGTTGTGCCCTTTAAAATCTGGTAAACTTGACAGCAATCCTGTCAGTACCTACTTTTCCAGCAGACATTCTGCAACTTTTGTCCACACATCTGATAAATATGCAGAGTCCTTGCAGGTTGATGAACACTTGGCCTTGCCTGACAGCTGAGCGTGCAGAGCTTTCTATGGGTCTTCACCCAGCAGAACTGGTGGCTTCCTCTTTGGTGATGTTGTAACTCTTGAACATTTTTCTGCCCAACCACTATGTGGAAAGAATACCTTCTGCACCTCACCATTTTGATTCTAAGCTCCTTGAGGGTGGAGAAGAGGCTTACTTGCTGGTGATTCTTCAGTATCTAATACATGCTTGGGACCCATTAGATGCTCAGTGAGTGTTGAATAAATGGAAAAAGGAACAAATGAATTATGTATCAAATGATAACATTCAAATTTTCAGATCATCATCACACTAGCACACTTAGCCAAATAATCTAATTTCATACCAAGAAACACATTGGCTACTCTCCCTGATTCACGTTTTTCTTGGTTATAGAAACATCTTTATAGTTGCCTGCTTTTTCATAAAGTTTTCGAAGTATATGAGCTCTTCAACCTGATACCAAATTTGTTTTTTTCTGAAATCTTGACCCATAAGCAATATATTACACGTGTCCATGACAACCCACCTAGTAGGATTTCCAGGCCTCCGTTGTAGACATTATATTATGAAGAGGTATATGTGCTATTTGACTCACCCTTTTCAAGGACTTCCCTCTACTGGAAACAATATCACTAACTCAGAATCTGTTCTAACTTTGACCTCTTTTAAGATTCTTGTCATATCTCTTTAAGGAGCTGAAAAGAAAAGTGGGCAGAGTGAAGGACGAAATTCTAGGAGATGACAAATAGCCTGAACATTAAAACGTCATTGCCAGGAAAAATGTCCCAGCTCTGCTGGCCAGCCTCCTCCTTGGAGGACAGAGAAGGTAACCAGGCAATAGGGTGGAGTTTTAAGAGCAATCAAGAAAAAATAAATCAGATTTCCTAACAATAGTTTCATAAAGCAAATTCTTACCCATTATCTAAAAATGTTAAGAAGGGGAATGTTCTTTGCTTAAGCATCAATTGCCTAAGGGCAATTTTTGATGACTTGGCAGTAAAATCATGGCCTAATTTTTCAAATATCCCAGGGATTCAGCGCCTAAAGAGCCACGGTGGCCATGTTCCAAGAGTGTCTTCATGCAGGGACCAGGTCTCAGTCATTCCTGTGATTAATGTCCTTAGCAGGCTTTCGGGAACACCGGATCCTCTGTAATCCTTTTAATTTGATAAAGTATTTTTAATTGAATCCATTCCTAACATGACAACAAGCTCCTCAGTTCGGTGTTTGTCATCTTGTCATCTCAGTTATGTCAACAGACACTCAGGCGCTGGCGGCTTTTCATTATAACTCACTGAAATTACCTGTTAAGGCCCAGCCATTTTTAGCTTGTCTCTGACACTGAGCCAGCTCTCTTTCCAAGCAAAGAGCTTGCTGAAACTAAGAGCTTTCAGTCAAAGGATCAGGACCACTGAAAGCTCAGGAGTCCTTTTGGAGTCCGTGGTTCATGTCTTCCATCATTTTCAGAAAGATGATTGTGACTGACAGAATTACACCCATCAATGTCACTTGTCTAGACCAGTCATCAGATGTAGGCACATGTTTTGAAGGATAATTACAATAGAGCATTTAGCCTGTATAACAAGTAAATGGAGCTACTGCAAAATGATTATTCCCTTTTGAGCACACTGATAGTCAAGACAATATAGTAAATCTTCTTTTATCTAGCAGTCACTCACCTGGCAGTCTTACCTGTCTATAACACTAGGAAGAACCTTAAAGCAAGCCAAATAACCTTGTGAAAATATAAGCAATCTGAATCTGTGCATGAAAGCGTGTGCAACTCATGAGAATGTGAACTACTTGAATATGAGAATATGAGCTATCTGAATTTATGCACGAAAGTGTATGCAACTCACCTATAAAAGAACCCCTTAGGCCCTACTCTATACTTATTTACTGTTACAATCAACACCGAATTCTGAGCTGCTCATTAGATTTCTCAGTATCGCTGTCATAAGAAGGCCTGGATGGGCATGCATGTCTGAGAGAAGCGAGCACATTAACAAAGCAAGAATCGATAGCTTATGACATAATTTTAAGAGAAAACCAAAGAACATGTGAAAGAGGATCAATGACTATTTCCCCAAATATTTTTTACAAACCCCCCCAAAGCAAATGACAAAAGACTGAAAAGCTGCATGTCTACTTAAGATAAGAATGGTTGTGCACTTCTTGGCAGGCTTGGCAACATTCTGTGTTGTTGCATAACTCAGCATACATGACTAGCTTCATCTCTCAAGAATGGGTTAAACAATTAGCAATAATGTCCCAATCTGTGAAAAGATCATTTATAATACAGACCACTAAATTTTCTGCAGAAAAAGTTTTTATTTTAAAAATAAGGACTGGGCATGGTAGCTCACACCTGCAATTCCAGTACTTTGGGAGGCCGAGGTGGGAGGATCGCTTGATGCCAGAAGTTTGAGAGCAGACTGGCCAACATAGCAAGACCTCGTCTCTACAACAACAACAAAAATAGTGACACATGGAGCAAGTGTAGTCCCAGCTACTCAGCAGGCTGAGGTAGGAAGACCACCTGTGTCAGGAGTTCAAGGCTGAAGTCAACTCTGATTGTACCACTGCACTCCAGCATGGGCAATGGAGCAGTATGTTGTCTCTAAAAAATATAAAAATAATAAACATAAAAATAAGTTTGGGCATGTAAGACAAAATTTTCTGTTATTTGTAGTTATATCATCAGAGTATTTCAGGATTCAAAAATATGAAATAAATGAGGCAGTCTACTAAGAAGTAAATGAATTCTCTTGACCTATGTAGCTAAAACACCAGTTTTGCTGCATTGGCGATATTGATGAATGAAATTCTGATCTTGGATAAAAGGGTACAGAAATAATTGTAGCTGGGCCCAACATTTGAAATAAAATTTAAAAATGATTCTGTAATATTTTTGGATATCTTGCCTTTGTGGAACATCACATATGATATTTTTACATTGTTTTAGAAATGTAGAATCTTCCGTCCAATTTCTAATGAACTATCAGATGACGATATCAGGGAGAAGTTGGAGAGAAGGAAGCACCGATCTCTGGTGAATGCTTCATAGGTACAAGGCACGTTTCCTCGTGGAGAGAGAACAGAGAAGCTGAGAGTGTGGGGTTTGGACTCTCACTGCCTCAATTTGATCCTTGAGTCAACCACTCAGTAGGCATAAGCTGGGCAATTTTCCCAAGTTCCCTGCACCTGAGTCTCCGCATCTATGAAATGGAGTGATAATGATAGTACCTAATCCCTAAAGTTATTGGAAACTTAAATGAGCTAATGCATTTATAACACTTACACAAGGGCTTGAAACATAGCAAACACTCTAAGTGTTAGTTCTCTAATTCTCAAGATAACTGCATGAGGCATCTTGACATTACACCTACTTGACAAATGCAGAAACCAAGATTCAATAGAGGTTCAAAAACTTTGCACAGGTCACAATATAAATGGTTAATTTTCAAAGAAAGAATCTGAATGGAGTGTCTATATTGTGTTTATGTGGAGAAGATGTATTCCCATCTTTGCCAATGCTTATTTTAAAAATTCATTTTAATCCAAGAGAAAATAAGGTGTGAAAAACAAGGAACATGTGAAAGAGGACCAATGACTGTTTCCCCAATTATTTTTTAGAAGTCTCAGAATCATGGAGACTCAAAATCACTTCTTACAATCTGGTAACCAAATTTCATATCTTGGCAGTTGGATGCGGTAAGAGCCACAGAGAAACCACCTGATTTTTGTTTCAGAACCATATTGTATTTGCTTAAACGTGTTTTAAAAGCCTCCAAATAAATAAATTGTCAGTCCAAACCATTAGCAGACAGATGTTTAATCTATTTTTTTTCCCTTGGTATTGATATCTTTCTAGATCTAGGGTTATAAACTCAAATGGTTTCAGAGGCAGGGCTGGTAACCTACCATCAGTGTGGTGGCAAGGCAGCACAATAGGGCTGGGTGGAGCTTGTGGTTACCTGCACAACACTGCTGGGGTGTGGCCAAACCCAAAGCTGCTCTGGGCTGGACTTGTCTTTCAGGCCGTCATTTTGCAACCACTGGTCTAAATGAACAACGCACAACTCTCCCTGTGTATCTATTTCTTGGACTCCTCCTCCACTGCTCATTCCCCTGAGGTTGGGGAAAAAATAGTGAGAGAGAGAGACAGCCCAGTTGGCAGGGGTCTTACGGGAGTTCCTGGATGAACATTGCTCTGCGCCTTGCTTCTCCCTGATTCTGTTTAGCAGTGGGTCAGACTCGGCAATCATTTATTTAGGGTCTATGAGACATGAGGCCCTGGACTAAATTCAGAGGGAATTGCGAAGACTAATTAAACAGCAACAACAAAAATAGAAAAATAAAAATAGCCCCTACCCTTGTAGTTTAGGTCTGCATTCAGATGTGCTCACAGATAATTGGAACGCCATGTGATAAGTACTGTGATACCAGTAAATGGTGGTGAGGGAATTTATGCAGCACACAAGTGCACTTTGAACCAAGAGCACTCAGAATTAGGATCTGCAGTTAATCGACTTCAAGCTACGTTAACTGAAGAGGACTATTATGATTCAGAGAAGTGTTGGAGTGAAGATGCCACGATTGAAATTTCTGTTGCATTACGAATTACCAAATGCTTCTCAAGCCTCTTCTTCTGGGTTACTTTAGCATCCAAATCCTTTTCATCTGCAGTAAGCAGCCCAGGCCCCACATAGAATATGAAATCTGCTCACCCCAAATGGTTGATTTTAGCCCTGGAGGGGTCTTTGGAGATGTTAAGCAAGGCCCTCCTGTCCCATCTGAGTGCAGCCAGACCCAGGATTCACCATGGGGTAAAGCAAAGAAGTAAAGATTTGGACCCCATTTCCCACTGAAGGGTTCCCTTTCCTTGTGTCCACCATTTCATGTCCTAAAACTTTCATTATTTGACTTATTCTCTGTGCTACTATACATGTCATTCCATTTTGCTGTTTCACAGTTAATGGTTTTTTTTTTTTTTCCTCAGCAAGTGAACTCTCTGCTTATTGAGTAAGGAGGCTGTGTTATGTTTTAGTTGTTCTATGCCTGACCATTCTGCAGGACCATCTGCTTAGTAGGCTCTCCCAAGTCACTTTTAGAACTTGAGGATAACTTTGAATCTTCAATAATTTGAGAGCAGTGATTCAAGGGTAAGCAATCTCCAAATCAATGTGTGTATGTGAAATATTAAAATTATTTTGGTTTCCCTATGTATAAACTTTTAAAAAATGATGCAGAAGCTATTATAATATGGTGATGTATGTAAATATATTCTGGACATTGTAGCTCATTGGATGAGTGTAAATAGATATGATGAGGTTATGTTATTTTAAAATGAGATGACAATTTTTTGTTTATCTTTTGGTTTCCTTATAATCTCAAGTGGAGAAGGGGAGTGCTAGGGTCATTCAGCAGATAATACTACGAGAACTCTTCCAAAACAAAAGGAAATCCTCTTCTCAGAATTAGCAGTCTTTGAATGAGAGTTTAGAAGGAGAAAAGTATAGAGATTAATATCTGACACTGATTCAGTGATGTCTGTGTTTGGTGCCACTGAAACTGCCCTCTTACCACCCCATCTGCACCTGGAAAATTTGAATTGATACATTGAACATTCTCTTCTATGGGTTTGAACACGTTAACTGAACTTGACTTTTATAAGGCTCTGGAACTCATAAAACCCTATTTAAGGCAAATTTTAATTTTTAAGGCTGTACTCATACATGTACCTAAATATTAGGAAAAATTTAGGTGTAAATGAAATATTTACTTGGTTCTTTTCTGTCTCTCTAAATAACAAAAAATCACTAATGGTCTACAATTAGAGACAGAATTATACTTAAGTATTAGCTTAATTACTCCACATGTAAAAAAAATGAAAAAAAATGTCTTATCCCTGGGTGAAATTGAAGAGACAGACTCCAACTGAATTACCTTCCACAGTGACAGGTACTGCTCATAGCTGCGTGCAGGCTTATAGGAGGCAATTTGTCTTACTTTCATTACGGGCAAAGCCACAGTCTGTTCTTATACACAAGAAGAAATGAAGGAGCTGGCCCAAGTATACACAAGGTGTCAGAGCCAGAAGTCCATCCTCTACCAGTGCACGCGGGGCTTGTCCCCACACACAGGTACTAAAGAGGCACAATGAACTCCGTTTTCGAATTTGTGGAAGAAGGTCTTTGCTGGCTTGCCTACATAATGTAGGGAAAATCCTTCTCCTTTGTAACATAAACATAAATTACAGGACAAAAATAGCTATTTGTTGAAAAAGACCAGTGGGATGGGGCTCCACCTGTAAAGTCTGATAGGATTGCTCTGGGTGGGAAACTGGAATTAGCACTTTGAGGAATACCTCAGGTGATGCTAATGTGTAGTCGAGGTAAAGAATTGCTGTCATCAGACTTCTTAAAATTCTCTACCCATGCAGATGGCCTGGGGAGTTTGTTATCATGCCGATTCTGATTCAATAGGTCTGAGTGGACCTGCATTTCTAACAAGCTCCCAGTTGATGCCGGTGCTGCTGGTTTGCAGTAGACACTTGCAGGAGCAAGGATCTAAGCTTAGCTCTTTGGATTTAGACTTCCATTGCATATATTTAACTCGAGAGGTTGATGGCTTTGACATCCCATTCTTCCCTGGAACATATACACTTTTGAATAACAAGAATCCAATCTCATCCTTTAATGATTATGAAAGCATTAATTATCCTTTAAGTAATTATTTCTGATGCATGTAAATAGGTCTGCTTCTATGGTTAGGGTGTTCTAATTTGGTATTTCTCATGCTTTGCTGATCATGAGAACCACCTGGGAAGCTTTACACCTGGGCGTGGGGATGCTCCTCTATAGATGTTGTGCAAGAGAGAAGGAAAGTTAAGCCTGCTGGTGATTCCGATGTCCAGACTGGTTTAGAAGCTGCTGCTCTGAATAAGAATTGAGATGTAGTATTTCAATCTGGAAGTTTATAAGCATTTTCAAATGATAATGGAAGAAATAAGATTATTTCACTTTCAGCATATATTAAAATGTAACAACCTGAAACTTAGGTACTAAAACCTGTGGGTATACTATTTTGTCATAAATTATAAAGCAATTCAATTAAAACAGCAACTATGAACACATCTGTGGCACTGCCAAAATTCCATTGTTGAAAAATGTCCCCAGTTTTTGATATACTGTCTGAAAAGTAAAAATGAGAATTGGAATAGCAGGAAAAGTCAGCCCACCAATATTCCTCTATGCAAGTGTCCACATATCTCTGCCTTGTTAAAGAGAATATTCCGGCCATAAGACATCACATCAACTGGCCGCCATCTTGCCTAGGGAGGAATTGAATCTCTTCAGCTAATTAATCAACCAATCCACAACCATGACTTCCTGCAATTCTAAGTTTTGAAGAAATTCATGAAAATAAACAACATGGCATATTTATTTCTTATTTGGAAAGCCAAATATCATCTTGTTCCTACTTTAATATTCTTAATAAACCTTCACAATTCCTTAGTTCTCCCTCCCCACTTCCCGTTTTGCCGCACAGCATGGGGAAAACCTCAGCTCAGAATCCCGAGCCTGGGTGTAAGTTCAGTCCTATCGCTTATTCAATGTGGGAACTAGTTTGGCAATACATTAATTCTTTTAAACTCTCAGAGTCTCCATTATTGGTTCTATTGTGAGGATTCAGTGGGCTGATGGATTTGGAACTTCCGAAGTGAAGGATTGCTATTATTTTCTCCTTCTGTCGGGCTCCTTGTACCATGTGCTCTCTCCTTGGTGTTTGCATGTGCACACACATGTCCACTGTCTTCCCCCTTTGTAAATCATTCACCACTTTCTGTCTGCATACACGGTAAAACTGCAACTAGCTTAGAGGATAATTTTATTAAGGCCTGACTCTTGCTTTTCTTAATTATTCCTTGATCATATTCTCCCACTCCAACCCAAAGGAATTTCTCTCTGCTTTATTTCCAATAAGCATTACCTACATCTCAGATATTTCATTAGAGCCTATTTTAATGTACTTTGTATTTATCCACAAGTTTATGAGCATGTTGATATCAGGAATGAAGTCTTAGTCAGTTTTCTGCCCCCAAAGTCCCTGGTGCATAGTAATCACTCTATGTAGGCACATTCATTTGAATTAATCTTCAAACTATGTCAAGAGATCCTGTTAGTTTAGAATTTGGAGTAAGCAGGAAGAGGGTTCATTGAATACTCTTCTTGATATAGATATGACATGAGTTTTTCAGTTCAATGTGGCAAATCATCTTAAAGTCATTTGTGGAAAGATGTATAAAATTTAACATAACAAAAAATAAAGATTAAAAAATTACAGTGCCACTTTTTGAAACCTCAGGCTTTTCACATTTAGAATGTATTATATCCTATTCTAAACTGATCTCAACAATGAATATAAACTCTAAAAAACTAAACTAATAATTGAATTCAACAATGCTCTTTGGGGGCTTAATACAAACTTACCTTTACCATCCATTATCTTAGCCCCTTAAGAACAAAATCTCATGCCCATGAAGAAAGGATTTTAAAGTGTTCTTTTGAGATTCAATGTGCTATTCTTTGGACTACTTTTTTGAAGAATAAACTTAAAGCTTCAAGAGAATGTGTTGCATGCTGAAAGAAACTCAGAGAGGAATTTGGAGGATCTGTTTATGTTTAAAATGCAAACTTCAGACAAACACTTTTGTTTAGTCCTCTGTCTAATAATCAGAATTTTTATGCCATTAATTTTATTCTTCCTTTTTTTGTGTGTGTTGGTAACATTGCATTTCAGGATTAGCATTGTTTAGGTGGAGTGATTCTAATGTGAGTATAGCATGAGGTATCTTAGGGATGAAGTAAGTCTGTGGATCCACATCCTATAAGGGAAACAGCTCGGATGGTTTTGGCCAAGGCTCAGAATCTGAATTAAAATAATAACGCAGGATCACACAGTTCAAATCTCTGTCTCTAATTGTGGGAATAGTGGACTCCTTAAATTTGAAATTTAGAAATGCAATAACAAGATTAGATATGAATGGCTGACCTTACTTTACAGAATTACAAGGTTCACGTAGCTGTCGTATACTCCAATTCATTGGTTTAGGATACAGAATGGGGTAATTTTTCTCTTAGCCTCCAGGATACCTGACTTATTTTGTAATCTGCAAATGGAGAACCTTGCTTTTCTACTTTTCTCTGGGTTTTCTCCTTCCTGTGTAAAGACAAGTTCTAATTCAATCTTGAAGTTCAGGCCTGGGTATTAGCACCTCCAAAAGAAAAAGAAAAACCAAAGCAATAGGGGACACTGAGCTCTGAACTCCTGCTCAGGGATGGTGTATTAGTTCTTTCTCACACTCCTATGAAGAGCTGCCTGAGACTGGGTAATTTAGAAACAAAAGAGCTTTAATTGACTCACAGTTCCACAGGGCTGGGGAGGCCTCAGAAAACTTACAATCATGCTGGAAGGGGAAGCAAACATGTCCTTCACATGGTGGCAGGAGGAGAAGACTGAGAGCCGAATGAAGGGGGAAGCCCCTTATAGAACCATTAGCTCTCATGAGAACTTACTCAACCTAATGAGAATACCTTGAGGAAAACTGCCCCCATGATTAAATTACCTCCCACTAGGTCCCTCCCACTACACGTGGGGATTATGGGAACTACAATTCAAGATGAGATTTGGGTGGGGACACAGCCAAACCATATTAGATGGTCTCAATCTTGTTGCTGCCAAACTCAGTCAAGCTGAATGCTTGGGCAGTCCTTGCCTGAAGGAAGACAGAAGCTACGGGAGACACCACCTTGACCCCAGGTGGGCAGGGAGCCTGAAGATTCCTGCCTATGGCAGGATGGGCCATGGAGTCCCATGCCCATTGATTTAGTGGTATTTTCTTGGGAAGGAGAAAGCTCCTCCTACTCGAGTTGGTCTGACTCCCATTGGGCAGCTCTTTGAGTCTACCCTTAGACATCCACCCTCCCTCAAGCCACATCCCCACATCAGGACCACTGGGTAGTGGAATACCAATAAGGGGCAGATGTGGGCTCTGCGATTGGCCATATGCTATGTCCAGAACCAGCTGTCACCAACCCTGAGCGGTCACCCTAGGGTGCCAGTGGAGGCTGCCTTCTTTAGGGTAAATTTGCCTCTGGTGTCCTTTATTGACTATTGAATTTCTTTGAAGCCACTTCAGTCCATCAGAAATATTGTAATCATTCCTACCTTTAGAGGAAAGGGTTAGGATCTCAAGCCCCTTCCTTTCAGAGTTCTCTGCCCCCTTTGCAATTTTTAAATATTATCCCCAGGAACTTGCTGACATTTTATAAAGAGAGGCTAATGGTAGAGATGTGGAACTATTTTGCCTTCCCACGGAGTCAGAATCCCAGAATTTGGTGAGGAGGAGGAAAATCGATGTGTTTGCCTTCAAAGGAGGCAAACAAAAATGGTTGTTACCACTACAGAAAAGTTCGGCTTCATGAAGGATATTTTTTGTTCCTGCTGCTATAAATGGAAAAAAAAAGTTGGAAGCAACTAACTGGAAGTTTGCTAAACCTCAAAATAAAAAAAAAAATAATAAACAAAACCCCCTCATGTTTGGCCTCACCAGGTACCTACTGTTAAAATAATTAAGTACAAATAAGTTTCAGCCTCAAATTTATATACAATAATCTGTAAATTTTATATGCTGAAAATTTCTTAAAAATGCGTCTCTGCTTATTTATTACCCTATGATAAGGTTCTTTATCTGCTATCACAACTGAACCACCACTGTGCGTACTTCAAAAAATACCCTTTCTTCTTCATTTGTGAATTGGTGGGGGGTCCCTTCTTGCCTAGACAAAGGGTTAAATTTCATACCTTAAGTCCAGATTTGAAAAGTTACTAACTGATTGTGAAATTAACTCAAAATTAGATTTCTAGGTTGGAAAGAAACATTGTTCTTTCTACGTAATGCTGCTAAATGTTCTCCCTGAATATGCAATTTATGGCATTTCTTTTTAAACATTTTGTGCCCAGTAATTTGAGCAATGTAAGGATCAAATATCTTGTTATGCTAAATTGAAATTGAAGCCATCTCTAAATGTAAATGCATAGCGACCTTTAGCAGAAAATTGTAAAAAAGCAGAAAACAATAAGAAATACTATGACTTTAAAATGAACTCTCCCTCTCTCTCTCTCTCTCTGTGTGTGTGTGTGTGTGTGTGTGTGTGAGAGAGAGAGAGAGAGAGAGAGAAATTAAAAGTAGTTGTGAGAAAGTGACCTCATTATACCAAAATCTTTGGACAACAATATCGCTCAAGTTTTTTTCAGCATGATGATTCTACAAAATGAAAATCCTCAAATTTTCATTTTGTTTTGGTTTCTTGATGGTTTTTGTTTGTTTGACCATAAGAATCCTTCCTCTGCCAATCATTAGTTTTTATTTTTCTTGCCTAAATTTAAGGCTTTATTGCCTCCAGCTTCCTGTGGGTATAAATGGATGTAACATTAACCTCCTGAGTGCTCAAGTGGATGAAGAACATCTTTGGGTGAGCAGAAAGAGAGAGCTACTGATAGGCAGACACAAGGGCTGCTTTTCTCCACTTCAGATCATGCTCCCTTCACCCTCCCCCTATTTCTGATACCCAGACTGAAAGAACAATGGCTGAAAGAGGAATTTTCCCTAAAACAACTGGTCAACCAGACAAATTACCCATGACATAGAAGCAAAAAAGATCTGCATTAGAGCTCTGAGTTCTGAGTTCCAACATGTTCTGGCACTAAGTGAATTGTGTTTTGCAGAATGTGTCCTTTGACTTCTTCAGACATTGATTTTACATGAGGCAGGAAGATTCTTTTCAGTTATAAAATCCTGCACAACTATTTACTTGCTCATAGCTGAGAAAGTCTTACTTTATACCATACAGATTGAGAAAGTCATATTCAGTCAAATCTCCACTATCATCAAATAATTTTGCTTGAATAAATAACTCCCTGGCCAAGGTGAGCATTGTTTCCTAAGAAAACAATGCTTGCAAACTTGATAGGCATTCACCCTAACTTCGCTAAATATAGAAAAGACTCTCTCCAGCAGAATAACTCCCAGACAAGAGGGATGCTGGACAAGCTAAGCCCCAGCTGGGAAACCACCTTCCAAGGCCTTTTCCTGGAGTCGCTGCCTCTGGGCCGTCTGCTCAGGAAGGAGCTGAAAGTAGCTCACTGTGGTCATCAGTGTGAACTGAATGGACCAGGGACCAGGGGATAGTGGTCTTTACTCATGGAGGACTGTGCTTACTGTTGGACCAAGGAGATGTTCTCTCTTGATAGATCAGAACATGAGACAGAGTTAGGAATTTGGTAGCAGGAATAAGGGGGAAATGCACAGAGAACAACTAAATCATTTTAATAATGCAGCACCACAAGGCTCTGCAAAGGTTCCGTGAGATAACAGAGTCCTGATACTGCCTTCGTTCCCAAGCAGCCTTTCCAGTAACCATGAGCCTGGGCCCTACTCTCGTAAATTGCTGCCATCCATTCCTTTCTTCCTTGTTTTCATCTTCACAACTATCAATCAAAAGAGTAGGGCAAAGGACAGTGGCTGTTTAGGTCTAGTGCCCATCTCTTTTTCCTGTATGGTCTCAATTTATCCTATTTCCAGTGACAATATTATGAATTTTCTCTGGGGAATGACTCTCAGTCTTCATGTATTTTGGAATTGTCTCATGGAGAGCACAGGACCAAGACCAATCATCACATCTTATTCCTGTGTCCACCGAAAATGTTTCAGGGGCAGGGAGGCAGTTTAGTTCAGTCCAATGGCACTTATGCTCAGCGCCTTTATTTGAACCTGTGTGTGTGTGTGTGTGTGTGTCTTGGGGTAAGGGAACGTACATCTAGAATTGTTATTAACCGTCTTGTCATCAAATGGACTTTGAGAAAAAATACAACGAGAGGGGAATAGAAACTCAGCTATGCGACCATCTTTATCCTGAGTCAAGCGACTTCTATGGCCAGCAAAACCAGTGCTATCCCTGAACTTTTTGGTCACATTATGAAATCATGCTATAGCAAGTATGGCAGACTGCTGTAAGGTTATGAAAAGCCTCTGCCTCCTCTTTGTGGTGTAAAGGCCAGGCTACTTTGGCAGCTTCTTTTGTAGTTAGGTGTGACCACAGGAATGCATGGAAGACATGTGTTCCTCCATTCTTGTTCATAAAACCTTCTTGTGACCCTCCTCTCTCTTTTTCTTTGTCTGCCACCAGAAGACTCTGAAGCCTCTCAGAATGGTGGTTTTGGAAAATGGAAGGTACCTGGATCTACGAATGACTGTGTCAAAGGTGACCTGCTTGCCAATCCACACTGGGCTTAGTATGAGTAAGAAAGAAATGTTGGTTGTGTTGAGCAACTGAAAATGTAGGGTTGGTTTATTATAGCATCCACTTAATAGAGTCAGTTCTTCTTTTTCTTTCTGTCCTTCTCAACCCAAATGTAATGAACTGATCATTTTGTACTTTCCCTCCATTCTTACGTTGCAGCCCCAAAGAGCAAATGTGCATTAATTGCGTGCCCCCTCCACTGCAGTGTGTGAAGTTTGCACATAAACTTTAATGTGATTTGTATACCATAAAGAACAGTTAAAATGAACAATGATGAAATATTACTTTCTGGCTTCAAAGAAAGCATTTCACATGCAAACATTATTTACTTAATTCATTTGTATCATGAAGACTCCAAAGTTAGCCCTGGCTTTCCTCTATGTACTTTGGAACCACTACTCTTTTTTTTTTTTAATATGAATTAACAAATAAAGAAACAAAAAAAACCAAGGCAAGTGTTGTTTCCCAAGAGATCAGATTTATTATGTACTGCATTACTTTCTTACCTAACTTTTTTATTTGATTTCATTTTCATAATAACAGCTCTGTAATGTAGAAGCAGAGTATTATCCTTATTTTGTAAATCTGTAAATTAAGCTCTAAGGACAAGAAATTTATCCATGGTTACCTAGAATGCACATTCATCTTTAAATTCTATGGTTTTTCATTTTTTTCACTTATTTCCTAATGTTTTTAAATGATATGACAATGATAGCTCTTACATTTCTGTGAGTGAGACGTGAGAGAGTTGTTTGAGAGGCAAACATTAATGAATACAAAGTGAAGGCTCGAGATAAGTATATAAAGAATCTGACATTTCATTTCAGGCATTTCATTCAGCATTTCAAAAATTGCTGTATATTAAACCCTGGAGGGGCATCTTTGGTGAAAAAGCCAGTAGTCAATTCTTCTCATTGGAACTTGAAACTTTTTTTCCACAGATCATGCTAGAATTGCAAAGGCTCAGAAATACCCCCATACATATTTAAAATATTTTTATTAAAACATTCCCACAGTCATTCCTGCTGTAAGAATATATTGTATACTTAGACCAAAACATTTTTTCCACACTACCCACCCAGTGATATTTCTGGATTTACGGTAGTATACTATTTAAATTTACCATCTGTTTTTAAGTATTAGTTTATTCACACATGAGTTTTTAGATACATTTTTTTACTACAGCATATATACAGCAAGTGTTTGCTTTACCCAATTTACTTGCCTTATCCAGCCTCATGTCTTCCTGAAAGCTCTTTCATGATTATATGGAAATTATGATTAATATTACTAAAATGCATAGAAATTTTCAGTTATGTTTTCTTTTCCCTGTGTGTTATCACAAAATGTAATTTACTAATAATTTATTTTATACTTTTTAAAGTACAAGGGGCATTGAGAAAATTTTTAGCGATTGCTAGATAACACTATTTTCAACTTCTATGCTTGTCTTAGTCTGTTTAGTGTTGCTATCAAGGAATACCTGAGGCAGTGTCATTTATAAAGAAAAAAGGTTTATTTGGCTCACAGCTCTGCAGACTGGAAGACTGAGCACCTGGTGAAAGCCTCAGGCTGCTTCCACTCACAGATCAATGTGAAGGGAGAGCCAGTGTGTGCAGAGACCACATGGTGAGAGGGGAAGCAAGAGAGATGGGGGAGTGGCAGGCTCCGTTTAACAACCAACTCTTGTAAGAACTAATAGTGAGAGCCCACTCCCACCCAAGAGGAAACATTAATCTATTCATGAAGGGTTCACTCCCATGACTCAATCACCTCCCACTAGGCCTCACCTTCCCAAATCGCCACACTGGGAATGAAATTTCCACAGGAGTTTTACAGGGAACAAATATCCTAACTATAAAAGTATTCCATCCAGAATGGTACTGGACACAAGCCACTTCTCAGTGCACACCTGCTAAATGGCTATTCCTCACTATGCTTTAAGAGATCAACATGGCCATTATATTTTTGAAGAAGTGCAAAATCTCTGGAGAGTCAACCACCTTTTGGCCACACAGTAAGCTCTTGGAAAAATGCCAGTTTAACTTGCTAATTTGTAGGTTGACAGTAAAATCTGAAATTCTATCAACGTTTTACAAGGTTTTAATTTATATAAAATTCATATACTATACAATTAACTCATTTAAAGTATAAAATCTCATGGTTTGTAGTATATTCACAGATATATGAAAACATCAATTGCAGCACTATTTACAATAGCAAAAACTTGGAACCGACCCAAATGCCCATCAATGATAGACTGGATAAAGGAAATGTGACACATATACACCATGGAATACTATGCAGCCATAAAAAAGAATGAGTTTATATCCTTTGCAGGGACATGGATGAAACTGGAAGCCATCGTTCTCAGCAAACTAACACAGGAACAGAAAACCAAACACTGCATGTTCGTACTCATAAGTGGGAGTTGAACAATGAAAACACATGGACACAGGGAGGGGAACACCACACACTGGAGCCTGTTGTGGGGTGGGGGGCAAGGGATGGTAGAGCATTAGGACAAATACCTAATGCATGCAGGGCTTAAAACCTAGATGATGGGCTGACAGGTGCAGCAAACCACCATGGCACATGTATACCTATGTAACAAACTTGCACATTCTGCACATGTATCCTAGAACTTAAAGTTAAAAAAAAAGGATATTTTCATCCCCTCAGAAAGAAACCCTGTACACTTTAGCTATAATCCACTGATGCTTTTACCCCATCACCCCTTGCCTTAAGCAACCATTAATCTACTTTCAGTATCTATAGATTTGTCTATTCTAGACATTTCATAAAAATATCATAAAATATGTGGTCTTTTTTGACTGACTTCTTTCACTTAGCATGATGTTTTGAAGGTTCATTCATATTGAAGCATCTGTCAGTACTTCATTCTTTTAAGGGCAAAGCAATAACCCTTCACAAGGATATGCCCCATTTTGTTTATCCATTTGTCAGTTGGAAGACATGTAGGTTGCTTCTACATTTTGGCTGTTATAAATATTTGTTTACAAGTTATTGCGTGGACATATGTTTTAATTTCTCCTTAGTATGTAACTAGGAATAAAGTTTCCATTTGTTATGGTAAATCTACATATGACTATTGGAGGAAGGAACTGCTAGACTATTTTACTATTTTTCAAAGTGACTGCATTTCCTACCAGCAGTACATGAGGATTGTGATCTCTCTATAACCTCATTATCACATGTTATCATCTGACTTTTAGATTCCAGCTGTTCTAGTGAGCGTACAATTACATTTCACTGTAGACCTGATTTGTATTTCCCTGATGGCTAATGATGTTGGGCATATTTTCATGTGCTTATTGGCCATTTGTATAACTTATGTGGGGAAACATCTATTGAGATCATTTGTCTACTTTTAAATTGGGTTGTTTTGTTATTTCTGAGTGTTAAGTTTTTGTATATTCTATATACAAGATATTCCCTTCTTATATATATGATTTGCAAATATTTTTTCTTGTTCTGTTGATTGTCTTTTCACTTTTTTGATGTGTCCTTTAAAGCACAAATTTTGATAAAGTTCAAGTTATCATTTTTTTAATTGCCCATGCTTTTGGTGTCTTATCTAAAAATATATTGTCAGATCCAAGGTCATGAGGCTTTCTCTCATGTTTTCTTCTAAGACTTTTATAATTTTAGCTCTTTCATTTATGTATTGATGCATTTTGAGTTAACTTTTTTATATGATGTAATGTAAGCGTCCAACTTCATTCTTGTGTTGGTGACTATACAGTTGTCCCAGCACATTTGTTAAAGATACTATTCTTTTTCTGTTGAATGGTACTGGCACCCTTGTCAAAAAGTCGGTTAACCATAGATGTGTGAGTTCATTTTTTGGACTCTCAAGTCTATTCTATTGCTATATACATCTGTCTTTATGTCAGTACCGCGCTGTCTTGATTACTGTTGCCTTGTAGTAAGTTTCCAAATGAGAAAGTGTGAGTCCTACTTGCCCTTTTTCAAGATTGTGTGTGTCAATGTGTGTTTGTGTGTGTGTGTGTGTGTGAGAGAGAGAGAGAGAGAGAGAGAGACTATTTTGGCTCTCTTGCAATTCTATCTGCATTTAGCATCCTCTCGTAAATTTTTACAGATAAGTCATCTGGAAATCTGACAGGGAATGTGTTAAACCTATAGATCAATTTGGGGAGTACTGCCATCCTAACAATGTTAGGTCTTCCAGCCCATTAATATGAGATATTTTCATTTATTTAGATTTCTACTTTTTTTAATCTGTGTTTTAGAGTTTTAAGTTTTCCACTGACTGTTAATTTATTCCTAAGTATTTTATTCTTTTTGATTCTATTGTAAATTGAATTGTTTTCTTAATTTCATTTTTTTGAATTTTCCTTGCAAGTGGATAGAAATATAGTTTGTTTTATATATTGATAATATGTCCTGCAACCTTGCTGTCCTTGTTTAGTAGTTCTAATATTTTTTTACACAGTCATGTCATCTGTGAAGAAAGGCAGTGGCACTTCTTTTTTTCCAATATTTATTTATTTGATTTATTTTATTTCTTTTATTTGTCTAATTACCCTAGCCAAAAAGTTAAGTAAAACAATGTTGAATAGAAGTGCCATGAGTATTATTGCCTTATTTCTGCTCTCAGGGAAAAAGGATCAGCTTTCTAGCAATAAGTATAATGTTAGTTCTGGAGTTCACAGATGTGTTTTATCTTATTGAGAAAGTTTTCTTCTAGGCCTAGTTTGCCTAATTTATTTTATTAGATTTTGTTGTGTTTTGTTTTATCATAAAAGGATATTAAATGGTGTTAATTTTTTAAGTTAATTAAATAATAATGTGGTTATTTTCTTTTTTTGACATGTTATATTGTGTTAATTGATTTTGAGGTGTTAAAGGCATCTTGCTTCCCTTGGTCATGGTGTTTAGTTATTTTCACATGTTGTTGGATTTGGTTTGCTACTACTTTGTGGAGGATGTTTGCCTTCATAAGATAGTAGTCTGTAGCTGTCTTACCTTGGGATATCTTTGTCTAGTTGGGAAATGTTCTCTTCTCTGTTTTTTAGTAGAGTTTGTGAAGAATTGGTATTAGTGTTTCTTTAAATGTTTGGTAGAGTGAAGTGCTGAAGCCATCTGGGCTTAGGTTTTTCTTCGTGTGTAGTTCTGAAATCACTAATTCAATCTGTTCACTTATGATAAGTCTATCCAGATGGTCTATTTTTTTTTTTTGAGCCAGTTTTGGTAGTTTGTGCGTGTACGGGAATTTGTCCATTCGATCTAAATTATCTTATTTATTTGCATACAAGTGCCCAATAGTATTTCTATTTTTTTTTAAATTTCTGTAATATTCCCTCTTTCACTTGTGGTTTTAGTAGTATTAATCTTCTCTTTCTTTTTTGCTAAATATAGCTAAAAGTTTGCCAATTTTGTTGATGTTTAAAAAACTGTTTTGGTTTTATAGATTTGTTTAAATTTTTATTTTTAAACTATAAATTGACAATTTGGAATTGTATATATGGAGTACAAAGTGATGTTATAATTTATAAATACAATGTTGAATTAAATCAAGGTATTAAATATATCTATCACCTCAAGTACTTAGCATTTTTATGAGAACACTTGAAATATACTCTCATAGCAATTTTGAAATGTGCAATATTCTATTATTAGCTATATTCACCTTGCTGTGCAATAGATTTCAAAAGCAAATTCTTGTGTCTAATTGAGATTTTGTACTCATTGTCCATCATCTCCTCATTCTCACTACCCCTCTTGTCCATTGATTTTTCTATAATGTTTATATATTCTCTATTTCATTGTTTTCAACTTTAATCTTTATAATTTCCTTTCAACTGCTTGCTTTGGTTTATTTTGCCTTCTTTTTCTAGTGTCTTAAAGTAGAAGTTTGGATTATTGATTTGAGATTTTTTTCTTTCTTATTATAAGCATTTGCAGATATAAGTTTCCTTCTAATCAATGCTTTAGTTGCATCTCAAAAGTTTTGGTATATTGTGTCTTTATTTTAATTCATCTGAAAATATTTTCTAATTCCCCTCTTTGACACATCAGTTATTTAGAAGTTTTTTTGTTTACTTATTCCGTTGTGGTCAGAGTACAAACTCTGTATTATTGCTATCCTTTTTTTTTTTGTTGAAGTTTGTTTTATGGCTTAACATATGGTCTAAACTGGATAGTATCCACATGCCTTTGAGAACAATGTGGATTCTGACGTTTTGGGAAGAGTGTTTTATAGACGTCTGTTAGGTTGGATTGGTTTATAGTGTTGATAAAACTTTTTCTTTGCTCATTGATCTTCTTCCTAGAAGACCTATCCATATTAGAAAGGTATTAAGATCTCCACCTATTATTGTTGAATTATCTATTTATCCCTTCATTTCTATCAGTTTTTGCTTTATATATTTTGATGCAGTGATTTTAGGTGCATATATGTTTTTCATTTCTATATCTGCCCCATGTTTTGACCCTTTCATCATTATACAATGGTATATTATTTCTGGTAACATTTTAAAAAAAATGTTTATTTCTGGTAACACTTGTAAAAATACGTTTCTGTCTGATATTAGTAGAGCTGCTGCAATCCTCTTGTGGTTGCTGTTTGCCTGACAAGTATTTCTATACTTTTGCTTTTAATCTATTTGTATTTTTGAATCTGAACTGTATGTATTATATACTACAAATATATATGTATATATATATATATATATATGTATATATATATAGATCTTGTTTTATTTTTTAAAATCCCATCTGACATTTCTGCCTTTGGCTTGAGTTGTTTAATCCATTTATATTTAATTCTGGTATTGATATAGTTGAATTTATGTCTCCCAGCTTACTTTTCTTTTCTGTTTGTCTCATGACTTTTTTGTTCTTCCATTCTTCCTTTATTTCTTCTTTTACATTCAGTGAGTGTTTTCTAATATAGGATTTTAATTCCATTAATTGTTTTTTTTTTCCACCATATTTTTTAGTCATTTTCTTTGTGGTTGCACCTGTTCCTGCCATAGACCTCTTAACTTATCAGAAACCCCTTCAGATTTATATGATCTTAATTTCAGTATGGTATAGAACTATTACACTTAAATAACTTTATTCTATTTCAACTCCTTTTCAACATTATTCTCATACATAATACAGCTGTAGCTGTTACATACCCAATATTACATTATAATTTTTACTTTATACAAGTTTCCATCTTTTAAATAAGGTGAGATTAGAAATGAGAGTAAGTAGATATCTGTAGCTTTCATTACATAAACCTACTGATTTATAATTTCTGTTTATTCCTATAAATTACAGTTATCATCTTCAGTAACCTCTTAGCCCAATACAACTTTGACTTGACAAGCAAATAATAACCACATACTAGAAAATAAAAAAGAAAAACAAACAGCCTCTGAGTATGACAAGATATCAGATTTAAAAGACAGAAACTACAAAGTTGCCATTACCAACATTACACCCATCTTGTTTGTGCTGTCATTGAAAAACATATTACATTTCTACGTGTTATGAGTCAAACAATGTGTGTGTACATATATCTATATCTATCTGTATCTATATATATGTGTGTTTGATACAATTGCTTTTTAAATAATTTAAAAGAAACAAACAGAAGAATGCGATTTATGCAATTTGTAATATAATTACATAATTATCTTTACAGATGCTCTCTTTTTAAATCAGTGGATTCACATTATTTTCTGAGGTCATTTGTTTTCAGCCTCAAGAACTTCCTCTCATATTTCTTGTAAAGCAAGTCTGCTAATTACAAATGTTCTTTATTTTTTGTTATCTAAGAATGTTTGTATTGCGCCTCCATTTTTGGAAGCCAGCTTTGCTGGATATAGGATTCTTGGTTATCTTTTTTTGTGGACACTTTGATGATGTTATTCCACTTTCTTTTGGCTTTCACTGTTCCTGATGAGAAGTCAGTTGTTCATCTTTGGGGGAATTATTTATAATCAATGACTGCATTTTTCTTTGATGCTTTGAAATTTTCTTCCTGTTTTTGGCTTTCAGCATTTTTACTATAATTTGTCTTTTTGTGTAACTCTTCACATTTATTCTACTTGAAATTTATTGAGTTTCATGTGCATGTAGGTTAATGTTTTCAATACATTTGGAAAGTTTTTAGCCATTTTTTTGGTATATTTTTTCTGCTGCTGTGTCTTTTCTACTTTTGGTAATAAAATAACATGTAAGTTGTTGCATTTAATTATGCCCCACATTTTTCTAAGGCTTTCTGTATTTCTTTATTCTTTTTTCTTTCTGTTATTTGGATTACACAATCTCTGCTAATCTTATTTCAAGTTTGCTAACAGTTTCTTCTGCCAGTTCAAATCTACTCTTCAGACCCTCTAGTGAATTTTAAAAAATATTTCAGTGACTGAAACTTTTAATTCTACTTTCTCCATTTAAAAAAAAAAATTCTACCTCTTTACTGATATCCTCCATTCTGTGGCATTGTCATGATACCTTTCTTTACTTTTTAAATGGTTTATTTAGTCTACCAAACATGTTTGTAATGACTACTTTGAAGCGTCTGTCTTTTAATCCGATATCTAGTAACTCTAATATGCTATCTTTTTCCCCTACTTTTTAGCTTCCTTGTATCTGGGTCACACCTTTCTATTTGTTTCCATGTTATATGATTTAAATAATGTTAGGGGATCAGGTTTTTTTTTTTACTTGTTTGTTTATGACTGGCTGTGTTATTTTGATGAAGTCTGTTTTCCTCTTGGCCTGTGAATCCTCTGATGCTGCTTCCCAGGGGCCACTGGCTTGGATATGCCCACAGTTACCCTAAGATGACAGTAGTGTGGACAAGATTTTCTTTTATTGTCTCTTTCCCTGACCACAACAAGCTGTTTAACTGGACTAATTGCTGGCTGAATGCTTTATTGTTTTCAGCCATCCTGGGGCATATACTGTGATCCAATCAAATGTGTTCTCCTTTGAGAAGGTAGTTCCCAAAGTCAGAGTTTGAGATTCATTTTGTCCTCAGAAGGGCTCCTCTGAGCCATCTCTTTCCCCTGTTATTTTCATAAAATTAGCCAGTATATAGTTTAGCTTAAATCTCTAGTGAATCTACTAGTCTCATCTTAATTGTCTTTCATTACAAGCCCATTGGTTTTGAGAACAATTTTAGGCTTGAACTTCTCCATCCTCTCTTAATTCTTTTGGGAAGAGATTTGAAGATGTTGTTTTATGTGTACTTCTCCTCCCAAGGAAACATCTTCAATCCACAGCTCTGGAGCTGTGGGTAGGGAAAATGGCAAGTGAACCGCTCAGTACTGAGCACTTGGTGTAGTTACTACCAGTTGCCTCAGATATTATCAGCTTGCGTCTACCAGCATTTGACCTCTACCTTATAAAATAGGACAAGAGACATCAGAGCCCCAGTATTCTAGGCAACACCATACTGATCACAGACCTTCTATTCCGCAGTGTAGGTTGAACAGAAGAATGGAGTCCTCATCTCTTGGCTTCACTTGCCTGGAAGGTACTCTTATCAATAGATAGGTGAAGGCAGGATAAGAACTGTTGGTCCCTACATTTCTGGGAAGACAGACCTCTGACTGAAGTGAAAGGGAGCCCTGTGTTCTTGGCTACAGCTATCTGGAGTAAAGTTTCCATTCCAGTGAGCTATGAGGGTGGAGAGAGGGAGCAGAGTCTTGATGTTACCCTACACAGACTTTTGCTGTTCTTACTGACTTTATTTTTTAAATAAATATTTCTTAGCCATGCATGGTGGCTTACACCTATAATCCCAGCACTTTGGGAGGCTGAGGTGGGCAGATCACTTGAGGCCAGGAGTTTGAGACCAGCCTGGCCAATGGGGTGAAACCCTGTCTCTACTAAAAATACAAAAATTAGCCAGGCATAGTGGTGCATGCCTGTAATCCTAGCTACTCATGAAGCTGAGGCAGGAGAATTGCTTGAACCTGGGAGGCAAAGATTGCATCGCACTCCAGGCTGGGCAACAGAGCAAGACTCTGTCTAAATAAAAAAAGTAAATAAAATAAACAAATAAGTAACTATTTCTTAATTTTATGTATATCTTTGGGTTTCTTAAAAATAATTAATTTTTACCAGTTTTACTGGGGAGCCGGTCCAAGACTTCCTTATATTATCATGCAAAAGTGGAACCGTTTAACAAATTTTAAAATTATTTCTCTTGCTTATGAGCTCCAGGATTTCTGGAACATGTTAAATGTACTGCATTTCAGGTTTTTTACTTGTTGTTAGGATTAAATAAGAAAATGCATGAAAAATTTGCAAATTATAAAGTATAATGCACGCTAGTTCAGTTTTACCCCTTACTGCTTATAGCAAACTAAATGTTGTATAATTTCTAAGCTAATGGACCTGCTATTAGCTTTGGAAATAATCTGGCACTGGGGACCACTCCTCAGGGTTGTGGACAGAGGATGGCATCAACCTGGCAGGAGTATTTGGCTTCCTTGTCTTGGTGACGCCTGGTTCAGTTTGCAGGTCAGACTTTATTAAATTTTGTCCATATACCTTCCTGTTCAGTCACTAAGAGAAAATAGGTAAAGGTGGTGCCCTCTCATCTGGGACCTGCTCTGAATGGAAATTGGGGTGGGGATAATGGGAAAACGTGTGAGACTGCCGGAACACTGATTGCATTTGTTGTAGTTTCCTTCCCCAGGGTGAATGCCCTTTTTACTCTTTTAATTATTTCAATGTTTACTATTTTCCAGGAGTTACGCTAATTTTAGGAGGGGCTAAAGGTGTTTTCAAGATTTTATTCTGAGCTTCAAACAATTAACAATCGTCATAGAAAGGCAGACATGTATGCAATAAATAGGGTTTGGGGCTGGGTACAATGGGAGGTAAAGCTTAATCAAGCAGAGGAAAGGAATGAGTACCAGTGTTCAGAGAATTATAACTCAGCTGTGGCTTCCATAATGGGCACTTCATAAAGTGAGAAGAGCAGCTGGTGATAAGAATGTGGACTGGGGGAGATGGTGTAGGATTTGAATAATTATGCCAGGGAGTCTATATATTTTTGCATGGAAAACAGGTAATTATCAAAGGCTTTTAAGCAACTTAGGGCCATCATGTTCCCTTTATAACTCAGCTAAACATGGGAACTGTGTAGTTAATGAAATGACCATGGAGAGGGTAGATGAAGCATATATTTTTTTTTAATGTAATTTTCTTTGTTACTCATTGGCTGATGGTCCCCTGCCCCTGTTTGGAGCATAATTTCTTAACCTTTAAGACGAAAGTACTAAAGTAGATGATGCCCAAGGTTTTTTTCATTGACAAATATTCACAATAATTCTACTGCTTTTTGAGCTGCTCAGATTCACTGGCATGATGTAATAGCCTTCTTCATTGTAACTGTGAGGTTAAACATATTCATCCCAGCTGTTAGATTTTTAAAATACTATGTTCAGTGATATGCACAACACATCTTCTTATGTTTAAGAGGTATTTGATACACTCAGAATGTTGACATTATATGGTGAATATTTAAATTTAATTCTTTTTTTAAAGTTACTCTGTCGCGTTAGCCATTACCATAATTCATTAAGCTCCATGAAGGGGCCAGCTATGCCCGTAGTGAGACAATAGTTGGGATTTACAATCTGTTGGAATTGCAGATGAGAGACAGATTAGAGAATGGAAATGAGGATCTGGGTCACACAAATATGGCAGCTGACACATGATGAGAACTTAGCCGGGAGGCTTATCAGAGGCTGCCAGCCCTGTAGTCTCACACATGCTCCAGAGACAACACGGAGAGCTTGAAGAATAGGGATTCGTAATCAGGAAGAAGCCAGAAATGTTATTCTAAGCAAAAGTTAGTTATGAGCCTGGCAGTTTTGAAAAGAGTGAGGGATTTTAAAATGGGCAAACTGAATAACAACCGTAATCATAACAAGATGTATAGCTTGGGGAGGTCACTTAACAAGCTGAGTCTTCTTGCCCTGAAATGTAAATGGGCATGATATATTATCAGGTAATTATGAAGATGAATGCGATAAATGAAGAATGTCTGCCAAAGATAAATTTATTATGATTTTAATACCTGTGGCGAATCTAAGTTTTAGAGTTTACGGGATCATTTTCATTCCCAATATTCTTCTGTATAATCCTCCTAACCGAATTCAAACAATGCTCAATTTTCTGTTTAAACAACATGGCATGCAGGATAGTTTAGGTGTGTAAGTGTTAGGCATGAAATAATTGAAACTGATGGGAGCACAAAGTCAGGATAAAGGCAGTGAATGAAGGCCTTTAGATAATCAAATAATGTTAAAATCAGAATGTAAAGCTTCGTTTACAAGTCTGAAAACATCTGATACTTATATTATAAAGAAGGTATGTAGTGATGGTTGGTGATTCTAATATGGTAAATTGTTTCTATCACATACACACACATACACAGGCACACACACGTACACAGGCACACACACATACACAGACACACCCTTTACATTCATAATAAATCAATCAATCAATCTGATTAAGCAGCAAATATGGAGTCAGAGCATGCAGATAAAAGTGCCTAAAACATCGCAGGGGTCCCATGAATATTTAAGGCTTATAAGCTTTATCTCTGCTCCTTGGTCTTCTCTAGCTAAAGGTAATTTCAATATCCATCCAAAATCATGGCCTCTTAAGGTACAATATGGGTCACACTTTATTATTTCTTTGCAAGTCTAATGTTTTTGAGAACTAGACATTTTACTATATATGTGTGTATGTGTGTGTGTGTGTGTATATATATATACATACATATATAGGTTTTTTTTTGAGATGGAGTCTCACTCTGTTGCCAGGCTGGAGTGTAGTGGCGTGATCTCGGCTCACTGCAACCTCCCCCTCCCGGGTTCAAGCGATTTTTCTGCCTCAGCCTCTCAAGTAGCTGGGACTACAGGCTCGCGCCACCATGCTCAGCTAATTTTTGTATTTGTAGTAAAGATGGGATTTCACCATGTTGGCAAGGCTGGTCTCGATCCCTTGACTTTGTGATCTGCCCACCTTGGCCTCCCAAAGTGTTGGGATTACAGGCATGAGCCACCGTGTCTGGCCATAAAATATATTTTAAAGTTGCTGAGTACTGATTCCTGCCCCAGTCTCCTCTGGAGTTTGTAGTTTGCTTGTTTATTTGTCTGGTGACCTCAGTAGACCATTTCAGTGAAGTTTATTTTTTACACGATGTGAAGCCTCTGATGTTGCTTCTCAACAGGCTCAGCCTTGGGCATATGTACAGTTACCTTGAGATGATGATGACATGACTCTCTTTGACTGTCTCTTTCCTTGGTCTTTCTATTAGCTGTCTACCTGTTTTGGTATCACACTCAGTTCCAGTCAATTGTAGACTGACTGATTATTGTTTTCAACAATGTCCTGGAGCATAAATTGCTCTGCAGTCCAATCCATTTAAACCTGGGCCCCTCTATAAGGCTATGTTTGAGGCCAGTACTTGAGGAGCATTCTGACATCAAGAGAGTCCTTCCTAGCTGTCTCCTTACTTGATTCTCTCTAATACACGAGCTGGTTTATTCATGGGAATTGCTGGCCTCTTCTTAGTTGCTTACCACGAAAATCTCCATTGCTTTTAGGAGGGCCCTTAAAAGTTTGAGTCTCATACTCTGTCCTGAATAAAAGCATTTCCTCTGGGGAGAGCTTTTCAGTTTCCTGTTCTGTTGGCCTGCCTCTCCCCTGGACAAAATCTTTGAGTCACTACTCCAGAGCTGGTAGTTGGGGCACTGGCCTGCTTCTTTTGAAGATACCCCAGCTTTGTGAGCCAGCTCTGGGTAAAGGCAATTGTCTCTGGTCTTCTTGACTTGCCTCTCCACCTTATGATGAAATGGAACAATGGAAATTGATACTACAGTATTCTCAGCTTGATGTACCAGTGGTGGGGCCTCTACCTTATGAGTGGGGACTGGGTGAAGGAAGGGAGTCCCCAACCTTATATTCCCCATCACGTGGAGCTGCAGGAAAGTAGAAATGCTGGTTTGCTGCACCTCCAAGGGGTTCCTTGATTGGGAACTGGGGGGAACTGGGGGGAACAGGGAGATTCATTTTCTTGGTTACACCCACCCAGAGTGGAGCTTCCATCTTGCTGACCTGATGAGCGTGGAGGGAGCACATATGTGTTTTTGCACATAGAATTATTTTGTGTGTGTGCATTTTGATCAGTTCTGAAAACATTTTTGCTTATTTGAAGTATTTGATTCACTTATATTAAAATGTAAGTACTGATATCGTTGGGTGTAAGTCTGACACCTTGCTAATTACTTCCTCTTGGTTTCATTTATATATTTTCTTTGTTCCTTACTTCATGTTTTCTTTGAAATTTATCATGTTTTAAAAATAATTAATAATCACTTTGGTTGTATATTAGATTTATTGTAATAACTCTCAGTATAATTTTTTAGTAATTGTCTTTAAAATTACAAAATGTTCCAGTTTACCTTATATCAGTATTTTACTGCTTCATAAAATATATAAGAATATCTTACTAGTTTAGCTCCATTGTCCTCTCTCACAGCTTTTTGTTGTTATTGTCAAAAGTTTTACTTTTGCATGTTATATATCCCATAAAACATTGATTTTATTGTTGCTTAAAATAACTGATAATCTTTATTTTATTATTATTATTATTTTTTGAGATGGAGTCTGGCTCTATTGCCCAGGCTGGAGTGCAGTGGCACAATCTCGGCTCACTGCAACCTCTGACTCCTGGGTTCAAGTGATCCTTCTGCCTCATCCTTCCGAGTAGCTGGGATTACAGGCACCCACCACCGCACCTGGCTAATTTTTGCATTTTTAGTAGAGACAGGGTTTTGCCACGTTGGCTAGGCTGGTCTCAAACTCTTGAGCTCAAGTGATCCACCTGCCTTGGCCTCCCAAAGTTCTGGGATTACAGGCATGAGCCATCGGGCCCAGCCTAAGTAACATAATCTTTTACATTGACCCGCATATTTACTCTCTCTTGAGTTGTTCATTTCTTCTTGCATTGCTGTGCTTCCAGAGGGATTCACTTTTTTTAATTTTGAAAACTTCCTTTAATATTTCTTGTTGTTCTGGTTTTCTGTCACCAAATATTTCAGCTTTTGTTTTTCTAAAAACTTTTTTTTTAATTCAAGTTTTTATTGGTAGGTAATTATAGATTCACATGTAGTTGTAAGACATAAGACAGAGAAATCCCGTGTATTATTTCTCCAGTTTCCATTAAGGCCATATTTTGCAAAACTAAAGTGTAAACTCACAACCAGGATATTGTTATTGATAAAGTTGAGATATAGAATATTTACCTCATCTTAATGAGAATATTTTAATTTTGCCTTCATTTTTGAAATTGTTTTACTGGTTGCATGCCCCCACCTCCCTATACATGCTTTAAAAATGTTATTCCGTGTCTTTGGACTTTCATAGTTTCTGTTGTAAAATTAGCCCTAATTAGCCCAAATTCTTAGTGTTTTTTACCTGATGAACTGATGGCAATGCCTAGGTCTCTGTCTCTCTCTCACGCACACACAGACATACACACATGCAATCTCCTTCTGGGTGTGTGTGTGTGTTATACAGTGCGTGCCTGTGTGTGTGTGTATGGGTTAAGCATCCCTAATCAAAAAATCCAAAATCCAAAATGAAATGCTCCAAAATATAAAATTTTTTGAGCACTAATATGTGGAAAATGTCACATTTTAGTCAAAATGCAAGTGCACAACACAATTTATTCAGAATGCCTTTTCATTCCTTACTGGACCCCACTTCCTGGTCCCTCAACTGTTTCTGATGTTTCTTTTCCCTAAAAAAATAAAACACAGTAGCCTTTTAATGAAAACACAACATCAAAGGTGGAGACTGCAAGTCTGCTGTAGTCTGTTGTTTAACAGCTGATGCAGGTGTTCTGGTGATGCCACCATCACCCTCAACACAGGATCTTTTTCACTGTATTAATTGTCGTATCCTTTACTGTTAAGCACTTACATATGAATAAGTGTGATAAAATGATTGATTATTGGTACTATACAAATTCAGAGTCAGGAGTGATGGTGAGGCCAAACAAGGCTGGATTATTCACATGAGTGGCTGTGATAGTGACACCTTTGCTTTCAGATGGTTCAGTGTATACAAACCTTGATGCACAAAGTTATTTAAAATATTGTATAAAATTACATTCAGGCTATGTGTATAAGGTGTATATGAAACAAAAATAAGTGTTGTGTTTCGATTGAATCGTATCCCCCAAGATACCTCATTATGTATATGCAAATATTCTAAAATTCAAAAAAAATCAAAATCCAAAACACTTCCGGTCCCAAGCATATAGAATAAGGAATACTCCATCTGTATGTATCGATATGATCTCCTGCTGTGTGTTGATGTCTTTTCAAATATTGTTTCTGTCCCATTCTCTCTCCTCTTTTTTTATTCTAGGACTTTCATCACATACATGTTAATCATTTTGGCTGTGCCTCATATTTCTGATGACTTGCTCTGTTTCTTACTGCCTCTTTTCTCCCCTCTGGTGTTTCAGGCCACACATTTTCTATTGGCCTGCCTTTAAGTTTACAAATGTTAGATTCTTCCTAATCCCATCTATTGTTAAATCGCTCTAATGAGATCTTAATTTCAGAAATTACATTTTTCAGTTCGAGAATGTCCATTTAATTTTGTAGTTTCATATTATCTATTGAATATTCCATCATTTAATCTATTCCGTCCATGTTTTGCTGTTATTTTTAATATATTATTTTTGCTAATGTGCTTACATGCCAGCTCCAATAACTGGATCTTTTTTTTTTTCTTTTTTTTGAGACAGAGTTTCACTTTGTTGCCCAGGCTGGAGTGCAGTTGCACAATCTCGGCTCACTGCAACCTCCACCTCCTAGGTTCAAGCAATTCTTGTGCCTCAGCCTCCTGAGTAGCTGGGATTACAGGTGCCTGCCACCATACCCGGCTGATTATTTGCATTTTAGTAGAGACAGGTTTCACCATGTTGTCCAGGCTGGTCTCAAACTCCTGAGCTCAGGCAATCCACCTGTCTTGGCCTCCCAAAATTTTAGGATTACAGGCATGAGCCACTGCATCCGGCCTGGATCATTTCTTTGTACACTTCCATTAATAATCTTATCATCTGATTATCAATCATTTTTCCTGTCTCTGCATATGTGTATTATTTCTCAATTATAGGTTAGACATTATGCATGACATATTGTAGAGTTTCTGAATTATGTTATCTTCTTCTAAAAAATGTCACTTTTTTTTTGTCAGACAGGCAGTTCAGTTAGCGGCAGACTACTTTGCTCTTGTCAGACCTTTGTTTTAGGCTTTCATGGTGTAGGGTTACCTCGATGACTCCCTTTGTACCAGAACGTAGTTCCTATTCTTAGCATGTAATCATTACTGCTGGGGCATTGTCTTGTTTTCTGTTGTCATTGGTCACAATCCAATGCTTATGTTGTTGCCAAAGATAGGGTTTGGCTGGGCCCCAACCCCAGCACCGCTCCGGAGCTGTGTGATCTTAAAATCTCCGTTCAGGACTTAGCCTCCCAGGAGCTCCTGTCTTCTAGGCCTCCTGGAACCTTGCTCTGTAGAAGTTGTCTAAGGACCAGAGGTGCATTTTGTGGAGAATTTTTTTGGATCATTTTCTGTGGCTTACTTTTCTCTTTTAACCCAGCTCCAAAATCTCTGATACATTATTACTCCAAAGGTTTTATCTCTGTTTCTACCACCAAACTACTGTACTCTGTCAGGCTCTACTTCCCCACATAGCTATTTGGAAAATGCTACAGAGAAAGGAGAAGTGAATACAGTGCTCACCTCATTTAATCTCTTCTCTCAAGAAGCGTGGCTCAACATGACTGCTGTTCAGTGTTTACTAACAGTTGTTTTATGTGTTTTGTTCAGATATTTTTGTTGTGTATAGTGGAGGGATAAATCTGATACCAGATGTTCTGTCAAGGCTCTACAATTGATATTTAAAGACATAGGGTTGGAGATTCCCAACAGAGTTAGTTGAAATAAAGAGTAGAAGAAAACTGAGGACCAAGACTTGGGCCATTGCCATTAAAGAGTTCAAGGATAGGAGCAGGACATATCCAAAGAGACTGAGAATACATAATCAGAGGAATCAAATATAAACAGAGTGATGTTCTAGGAGCCAAGTGAAGAAAGTCTATCAAGGAGAGGATGTGATCTATTATTCCAAGTGCTGCTGCTAGGTCAGTAAACAATGAGAACTGAGCATTAACAATTTGATGTACCAACTAAACCTATGTCATTACACATCAGCTTTTGGTTCCAAGATAATAAGCAGCAAACCACATTCTTTTCAATCCTTGTCCTATTCAACTTGAAGTGTAGAAAGATGACCAAATGCTAGAAAATGCCCATAGATGACTAAATGGATTTGAGGTGCAGAGTTACTAGAATAGATTGGGGATTCAGGTACCCACTGTCTAATTTGGAAATTAGTGTGGACAACCTTTTCTTTCCCTTTTCTCTATAGTTCATCTATAGCCTCAAAACAATTCTATGACAAGCAGGGGTGATTTTGGGAGACAGTTTTTTATTAGGCAGACTCCATGAAAGCTATTTTGACTTTTCCCTGTTTTGTTCACTGGTGTATCTCCGTCATCGAAAACAGCACCTGGCCGTAGAAGACACTCAACAAGTGTTAACTGAAATTTGTTATTATAATTGCATTGTTATTATTGTGGGGCTCTTTTTCAAGTAGGCCAATTTAGCTAGACTGTTGAATCCATCAGATGGGTTAGTAGTGATCTGTCTTTCTTATTTCCTCAAGGTTAACAAGCCACATATTCCTGGGGACATAGATCTGAGTTAGATCTTTACCACCAAAGAATGCTGGCTAGCACAAATGGAAGAAGAAATAGTACCCATTTTGTCCTTTAATACTGTGAGTCATTTTTCTTCTTCTCTTCTAAAAATTAAATTATTTTCTGTATGAGACAATACATTATTGCTATCTGTCAGGCAGGTGAACAAAAATATCAGCTATAATTATGTTCATAGCTTCAGCTTTGGCATTCAAGTTAATCTGAAAAGCACTCATTTTCCTATGCCATGTTATGTAACCAGGACTTACAGTCTGCCGTGGTTCACTGTCAGGTTTTGTCCTACTTAAATTTCAGCAAGGAGTGTTACTTGACAACTGTGAACATATTGCTTTGCCCTGTGTCTACAAGAGGGAGGCTTTAAAGAGCCTAACATTTGTCAGATGAAGCTATTACCAGAGGAAACTATTTTTAGCTTCCTGTTCATAACTCCATACTTCAGTTTTCAGGTGCTGGTGTTAATATTATGCCCTCTGTTTCAACAGAGAAGAGTTTAAGGATTGTTTCCCCAAACTGAGAAAATCAACGTGTCCTATGGATATAAGTGATACGGAGAAAATGAACCACAATGTGCTCATTCGTTCATTTTACAAATTTCAATTGAATCTTTAATACAAGAAGGCCCACATGCTAGGAACTGGGGATACAGTGGTTTGCAAAATCTAGACGTGACAAATTCCCTGATGCACACAATAGTCTAGTGGACAAAACAGACATTAATAAATTAAAAAAACACACAAAATAGTTAATCTTTCGGGAAACATATAAACTATGAGAGTTAAATGATTTGAAGCTTCATGGAAGATTTTTAAGCTCCATCTGTATCTTCTGTAATAGTGTAAAATGATTTCAAATTACCACTCTTGTTTGCTGTTTCTAAATTACACAATTATATTAAGTTGCATCTGGTGATATATGTAATATATGTACCAAATGCGTGGCATTTAGGAGGTGAGCAACAGATGTCAGTTTTCTTACTAGTCTCTCTCCTTTGCCCCAGGAAAAAAAGCAAACAAATAAAAAGCTGATGTTCTATCTAAGAGACTGCAAATCTCCGGCTGTTTCTAAAATTTTGGGCGATGTCCAACTTTTACACTTGACTGTTTTAGCTTTGTCATGAAGAGGCCACTGTGTAGTTTATGTTACTCATGGGGTTGAAAATGCCTGTAAACGGGGTTGAAAATGCCTATAGCCTGTTTGCTTCATCGTAATGGAATTGAGACACAGGTCTTCTTTTTTTATGCCTTAAAAAAAGATTTCCTGTTGAGTGTTCCCCAAACTGGAATTGACTTCTGAGGATCAATGGAGATATTTTGTGTGAAGTCAAAATTCTTTAAAAGATTTTAAAAATCGATGTTGATATTTTATCTGTCTATTGTCTGTTTGTCTATGTATATGTGTACATATGTGAATGTCTTTATCAGCTTGTATATCTGTCTGTCTTTATATCCTGGATCATTCAGGGAACCAGCATTTGTGTTCGTAGTCACACTAATGCCAAAGGATCAATTAAATGGCACAGCTTTAATTTGTAAAATGCATTTTCTCAACCCAAGCTCTATGCTCTTTTATCTTCTCCACCTCTTTCTCCTTTTACCTATCTTCTTCTTTTCTTGGGTCCTGTTAATTATACATTTGGATATCTTAGCAGAGGAGTTAGCTACAGTTAGAGGAGTTAATTTTTTTCTGAAATCTGGATTTAGATTTTTCCGTATTGGAATATTATTGCTTTTTTTTTGGAAGATTGTGTGTGTGTGTGTATGTGTGTGTGTGTGCTCATACACACATACATTTTTCAGAAAACATTTTGTGTGGGGTTGTTCTTCAGCAAACATTTGTTTACCAGAGAGATATGGATGATTTACTTTTCTTATATAGTGTGCTGGAGAAGCATGGCTTGGTGTACCGTTCCATAGGATCTGTTTTCTTTAAGACTAAACAACTTAGGCTCTGGGACATAAATTATTGAGATTGTCTGATTCGGCTTATAGAGTACATCACACATCGGTTCTTCTTCCCTTGCAAGGAATCAGTGTTCTGTCCTATTCTGGCCTATCAAAGGTGGAGGGATGTTACTCTTGAAGCTGTTCTTGAGCAGAGGAGGGGATAAGGGTGAGAGAGGGAATGTGGGCTGGAGAGGAGGGATTTTCACTTACTTTTGGGCTGGTGGATTACTAGGCAGGATGCTAAGCCACAGAGATCCAAGAGGGCACTTCTGAGAGCAAGAAGTCGTCTTCCTCTGGATAGATGTTTGGATGAAACCAAGAAGCCAATACAAAAGGGACATCATAACCTCTGGGAGGATTTACTTTCAATAGCATTTCTAAGTTGTTCTCTAGTTTGACTTTCATTATACATGCGCCTGACAATAAATCATGGAGTAAGGGGGAAAGACTGAAGGACTTATGCTGGAGCACATACAAGGAGTGTGCAGAATTCTTTAGGAACAATAGAGATGCATTTTTTTTTCCCCTGAGACAGAGTCTTGCTCTGTGAGCCAGGCTGGAGTGCAGTGGTGCAATCTCAGCTCACTACAACCTACCACCTCTGCCTCCTGGGTTCAAGCAATTCTCTTGCCTCAGCCTCCCGGGTAGCTGGGATTACAGGCATGTGCCACCATGGCCGGCAGATTTTTGTGTGTATATATATATATATATACACATTTTTGTGTGTATATATATATATATATGTGTGTGTATATATATATATATATATTTTTTTTTTAGTAGAGATATGGTTTCTCCATCTTGGCGAGGCTGGTCTCGAACTCCTGACCTCATGTGTTCCGCTCACCTTGACCTCCCAAAATGCTGGGATTACAAGCGTGAGCCACCGCACCTGGCCTAGAGATGCATTTTAAAAAGTTTTAAAGCTATAATTTATCGTCAGATTTACCCAATTTACATGAACAATTCAATGATGGACAAATACACATATACACTCATGTAACCAGCATCACAATTGACATATTTCATCATCCCCACAAGTTATTTACTCCCCTTTATGGTCAAACTGCTCCCTCCCTTAATTCTGGCAATCATTGATCTGCTTTTTGTTATAGCGTATTAATTTTGGTTTTCTTAGAAGTTCACATAAATGAAATTATACTGTTTGAACTATTTTGTATCTTTTTTCTTTTGCTTATTATAATGTTTTTAATATTTGTTCATGTTGTTACAGACATTAGTATCTCATTCATTTTTATTACTGAGTAGTGTTCTATTGTGTAAAAATACAGTAATATTTTCAACTCTTGATGAATGTCAATTTTTTGCTATTATGAGAAAAGTTGGTGTGATTATTCACATACAAGTCCTTTGTGAATATGGTTTCCTTTAAATTTTATTTATTTACTTATTTCATTAGGTTTTTGGGGAAAAGGTGGTGTTGGTTACATGAGTAAGTGCTTTAGTGATGATTCCTGAGATTTTGGTGCACCCATCACCCAATCAGTGTACACTGCACCCAATGTGTATTCTTTTATCCATCACCCCCCTCCCACCCTTTTACCTGAGTCCCCAAAGTCCATTGTATCATTCTTATGCCTTTGAATCCTCATAGCTTAGCTCCCACTTATGAGTGAGAACATATGATGATATTTGGTTTTCTATTCCTGCGTTACTTCACTTAGGATAATGGTCTCCAATTCCATCCAGGTTGCTGCAAATGCCATTATTTCATTCCTTTTTGTGGCTGAGTATTCCATGGTGTATATATATATATATGTAAACATACATATAAAACATGTAATATGTTATATATGTTTTATATAGTTTATATATATAAACTATATAAAATACTTTATATACTATATTATATATTTTATATATGTTTATATATAATATATATTTATATATTATATATAATATTTATATGTAATATGTTTATATATAAAATATATGTTATATAATATATATAATATTTATATGTAATATGTTTATATATAAAATATGTTATATAATATATTATATATGTTTATATATGTGTTTTATATATTTTTTATATATATACTCACACACACACACACACACACACCATGGAATATTCAGCCACAAAAAGGAACGAAATAATGGCATTTGCAGCAACCTGCAATATTGCCTTTATTGCACATATATAATACGTAATATTATACATATATCACATATATAATATATAAATGTTATATGTGGCATTTATATATGTTATATATAACACATATATGTTATAACATATGTGATATATAAATATATATAAACTTTATATGTATATATATATAAAAAACATTTTCTTTATCCACTTGTTTGATGGGCATTTGGGCTGGTTTCATATTTTTTCAATTGCAAATTGTGCATCTATAAACATGTGTGTGCAACTATCTTTTTTGTGTAATGACTTCCTTTCTTCTGAATAGATACCTGGGAGTGGGATTCCTGGATCAAACGGGAGATCTACTTTTAGTTCTTTAAGGAATCTCTGTGCTGTTTTTCATAGTGGTTGTACTAGTTTACATTCCCACCAACAGTGTAGAAGTGTTCCCTTTTCACCAAATCCACACCAACAGCTTTTAAAAAAAATTTTTTTTGATTATGGCCATTCTTGAAGGAGTAAGATGCATCTCCCTGATAAATAGTGATGTTAAGCATTTTTTCATGTTTGTTGGCCATTTGTATATCTTCTTTTGAGAATTATCTATTTATGTCTATAGCCCACTTTTTGATAGGGGTGTTTGGATTTTTCTTGCTGATTTGTTTGAGTTCCTTGTAGATTCTGGATATTAGTCCTTTGTCCAATATATAGATTGTGAAGATTTTCTCCCACTCTGTGGGTTGTCTGTTTACTCTGCTGATTATTTCTTTTGCTGGGAAGAAGCTTTTCAGTTTCAGTAAGTCCCATCTATGTATCTGTGTTTTTGCTGTGCTTGCTTTAGGGTTCTTGGTCATGAAGTCTTTGACTAATCCAATGTCTAGAAGGGTTTTTCCAATCTTATCTTCTAGAATCTTTATGATTTCAGGTCTTAGATTTAAGTCTTTGATCCATCTCGAGTTGATTTTTGTATAAAGTGAGAGACGAAGATTCAGTTTCATTTTTCTACATGTGGCTTGCCAATTATCTCAGCTCCATTTGTTGAATAGGGTGTTCTTTCCCCACTTTATGTTTTTGTCTGCTTTGTCGAAGATCAGTTAACTGTAAATATTTGGCTTTATTTCTGAGTTTTCTATTCTGTTCCATTGGTCTATATGCCTGTTTTTATATCAGGAGGGGTGTTTTAGTGACTATGGCCTTATAGTATAGTTTGAAGTCAGGTAACGTAATGCCTCCAGATTTGTTCTTCTTGCTTAGTCTTGCTTTGGTTATGTGGGCTCTTTTTTGATCCCATATGAATTTGGGGATTGTTTTTTCTAGTTCTGTGAAGAATGATGGCAAGTATTTTGATGGGAATTGCATTTAATTTGTAGATTGATTTTGGCAGTATGATCAGTTTTACAATATTGATTCTATCCATCCATGAGCATGGGTTGTGTTTCCATGTTTTTGTGTCATCTATGATTTCTTTCAGCAGTGTTTCATAGTTTTCCCTGTAGAGGTCTTTCACCTCCTTGGTTAAGTACATTCCTAAGTATGTTATTTTATTTTTTTGCAGTGATTGTGAAAAGGTTTGAATTCTTGATTTGATTCTCAGCTTGGTCATTTTTGATGTACAACAGTGCTACTGATTTGTGTACATTGATTTTGCATCCAGAAACTTTGCTGAATTAATTTACCAGCTCTAGGAGCTTTTTGTGTGAGTCTTTAGGGTTTTCTATGTATACAACCATGTCATCAGCAAACAGCAACAGTTTGATTTCCTCTTTACCAATTTGGATGCCCTTTATTTCTTTCTCTTGTCTGATTGCTCTGGCTAGCGATATGGACAGGAGGCAGGGAAATACTGGGTAGAAGAGGGCAGTCCCTGGTGAGGGCCACACCCTCAAGCCTGGACCCACAGCCCAAAGTGAGAACATGCATTTTTCCACTCAAATGTTGCCTTTTCCAAAACCACCCTGGCCTGCCCCACCTCCCATCCTGTACCCATTAAAAACCCTAGGCCCCACTGGAAGAGAGGCAGAGTGGCAGGGAAGGAGAGAAGAGAAGAAGCAGTTAGACATTGGAGAGAAGCAACCTGACTTCAGAGAGATGGCTTAACTGTGGGACCTCGGAGAAGAGTTTGGCTGGGGTTGTCTGAACTCCAGGGGAAGACCACCTTTCCACCCCATCTCCTTTCCAGCTCCCCATCCCACTAAGAGCCACTTCCACCCCTCAATAAAATCCTCCACATTCACCACCCTTCAACTTGTTTGGGTGACCTGATTCTCCTTGGACGCTGGAAAAGGACCCAGGCGTGGGTGCAAGAGGCTGTCACACTGACCCTCCACTGAGCTGTTTAACACTTATGCTGTCCAGGGACAACAAAGCTAAAAGAACAAACTGTAACACATGCCCTCTGGGGCTCCAGGGGTCGCAGGCAACCCCTAGATACTGCTGCGGCCCTGCACAAAGTTCTGTTCCTGCTAGTTTCCTAAAAGTGCCCGTCCCGGCCTTTGTACCGGCTCACCTGTGTGCTCCCCTCCCACAAGCAGTTGAGAGCTGCGAGCTGAGTAAATGAGCCAACCCCTTTGCAAATTCCACAAAGGGGTCAAGGGAACTATCCCATTTCATCTGGGTGCTTGTCCGGGATCTGTCAGATGGGTAGGTACAAACACAGAACTGTTGGATCTGTCTGTTTTGCAAGGCACTGCCACCTCTCTTTCTTCTGGGTGAAAGGAATGTTGGCTCAGTCTCCCTTCACAGAGGTCTAGCTGTCATGTGGGACCATGACAATGTCCTTGGTAACTGAAGGCATCGGCCAAGACCCCCAGATTTTCCTATGTATCTTTCCTTCCTTCTTTCAGTTTGAAGTGGCTCCTATGTCTCCTTTTATAAAGTTAAGGGTTTTGCTACAGACTGCAGAAGTGTTAAATAGAATGAGTGTTTGGCCCAGCAATCAGATATGCAATTCAGAAAAAATTGTGACTTTCATCTGTTCTTAGAGCTGCCGTCCCCACCCCAACAGCCACAGGTTTCCCACCTCACCCCCTCCACTACCAGCTTAGGTGCCTGGGTGTGTTTGCCACACGTGTAAACTGTGCCCAATGGCTCAGCAGGGCAGGAGTAAGCTGTGCATGCCACCCAGGCCCCAGGTGATCATGCAGGCCAGGGCCCCCAGATAGGGGACTGTGTTTACTGCTCGCCATCCCCTCCGGCTCGTTGTCCCCTCTGGCTCGCTGTCCCCTCTGGCTAGTTGCCATCTCCCGCCACACTCCCAAAGAGACTTTCCTTTCATGGCTGAGGAGTTCAACTCGGTCTGAACCGGCGGATAGGATACAGTGATTAAAGGAACCCATTTGCACAGAGCAAGAGGTTTTCCTCCCAGGACCCCACTCCTTTTTTTTTTTTTCTTTCACTTGAAGCTGTTTTTTCCCCCCTTTTATATATGAGAGGGTTTTTTTCCTACCCCAGCACTCTGCTTATGATAGGAAAACAACAGAGGAGAGACCTGCACTGGCTAATAACTGCAAATTTGGCAAGGCCTGTCTGGGACTTAATCTAACTGAATCCATGCATACCCTCAGGCACCTTTTTGTCCCAAACTGAAATTCTAATCTTTGGGTTGCAGCCCTAGAAAGGAAAACCAGATCCAAGGGGTCCAAAGCCAGGGAACATGCACAGTGTAAATGGACAGGACTACTTCCTGCCAATTAACCCCCGCTTCATGGAAGGGGGACATGCTCCATGGTGTAGATAAGGCCCAGGGAACTCAAAGGTTGTCAACAGTAGGGGAGGTAGAGGCATAGGTGAGTGTGGATAATTCCTATTCTGTAAGCCCTCCCTCCTTCATGGGTGCCAGCCACATTGGCACCCATGGGTGGCACCTGCGAAGGTCACAGGGACTCTGAGATAAAAAGATGGAAGAGAAAGTGGGACACCCACTTTCTCTCTCCCTCACACCCTGAGTTTTCACTGAAAGAAACAAGGGAAATGAGGGACACCTATTTCCCTGTCTTTGCGAATGGGCAACCAGTGATCTTCACCACACCCAGTTTATACTCCTCTGGAGTGTATCCTGAGTCACTGGGACTGCTTTGACCTTCAGACTCTGGAGCAAAAACACATTATAACCCTTTGCACAAAAGTTTGAGACTCTGGAGCAAAAACACGTTATATCCCTTTGCACAAAGGTTTGGCCAAATTATGAAGTACTGGCTTGGCCTCAGAAAGGAACCATTCATTTTGATGCCATCCGGTAGTTGGCCCTTTTCTACAAACGCAAGGTCAAATGGTCTGACGCCCCATATGTGCAGGCTTTCTTTACCTTTCGGGGGAATCCAGACCTTTGCCAAAAGTGTGGAATTGATCCAGCCCTGCTATTTGAAATCTCAGGAGAAGCTGCAAGGGTCAATCCCAGGGAACTAAAGAAATGAATTCTAAAGGCAGCCCCAGGCAGGGGAGCCAGCTCCCTCCAGGCCTGCTCCTCCAGATCCACCCCCTCCTCCCTCTCCAGCTTCCCTGTTTCACTTGCCCTCTGTTAGAAATCCTCACCCTAGACAAGACCCATTCTCACTCTTGCCCCTCCAACAGATGCCTGGTGAATTTGGCCCCAGTAAGGTCCAGGTCCCATTTTCTCTGCAGGATTTAAGGCAAATTAAGGGGGATCATGGTAAGATTTCAGATGACCTGACAGATATATAGAGGCTTTCCAGAATTTAATCCAAGTATTTTAACTCTCCCAGAAAGACGTTATGTTTCTTTTGAATCAAACCCTATATAACACTGAGAAACAGGCTGCTCTACAAGTGCAGAGATTTGGGGATGAGCTTTGTATCACATATAGCATCAGGGAAGGGACCAAACTTTACCCAAATGGGAGAGAAGGAGTACCAGTGGATGACCCTAAATGGAATCCCGAAGATGAGATGGGAAAATAGAAGAGGAGACACTTTCAGGTGTGAATAATAGAGGGCTTATGTAGGACTAGAACTAAGCCTCTCAACTATACCAAGTTATCCGTTATAGACCAGGAATTTAATGAATATCCCACTGCCTTATTGGAGATGCTAAGAAGGGCCATTGGTAAAGCACACCTCTCTATCTCCTGATTCTGTCAAGGGACAACTAATCCTAAAGGATAAATTTATTACTCAGGCACCCCCTGATATCAGGAGGAACAAGATAGTACTTTAGAGAACTCCCTGAAAGTGGCTGCCTTCGTCTTTTACAATAAAGATAGGGAGACACAAGAAAGGGGCAGAAGCTTTAATGGCCAGCGTGCAAGCCCACAAACCCCAGAATTTGCAAGGTGCACATGTTAACTGCTACAGATGTGGCAAGAACAGTTATCTCTCTTCTAAATTTTAATGGTTCCCATACAAGGCTTAATATCTTTCCAGGGTGAAACAGCTGGGGTACATTGTTATTAGTATATTTCACTTTCTTATTTCTGAAATCTTTGGCACTAGATTCTTTCCTTGTATAATACGTATGTTTGGCCCTTGCATGCTTAGCCTTGTAAAACTTTTTTTTTTTTTCTCTCTTGCCTAGAGGCCATCAAACTCCAAATGATCAGCAACTGGAGCCAGCCTTGCACAATGTCTCTCTTTCACCAGGCAACCCCCTGGGAGGAATCTGACTGCGATTCTTTCCAAAACAATGCTCTCTATCATCAGGAAGTAGCTAAGACTGGTCGTGGTCCATATTCTAATGGCAGTTAGATGTCCCTCTTCAGAGGGGAGAAATTATACAGACAGCAGGCAGGGAAATAGTGGGTAGAAGAGGGTGGTCCCCAGTGAGGGCCACATCCTCAAGCTTATACCCACAGTCCAAAGTGAGAACATGTATTCCTGTTTTCCCACTTGAATGTTGCCTTTTCCAAAACCAACCTGTCCCGCCCCACCCCCCATCCTGTACCCATAAAAACCCCAGACCCCTTTGCCTTAAATTTATGGGAGTCCTTCTGTGTCAGGCTAGTCTGTTGAAGAGAGCAGATATTTGGTTGGTGAATTCTCATCCTTCTGCCATTCTGTATCTTTTAAGTGGACCATTTAGGCCATTTACATTCAATATTAGTATTGAAATGTGAGATACTATTCTATTCATTGTGCTGTTTCTTGCCTGAATACCTTGATTTTCTTTCATTGTGGTGTTGTTTTATAGGTCCTGTGGGATTTATGCTTTAACAGGATTCTGTTTTGGTGCATTTCAAGGATTTGTTTCGAGATTTAGAGCTCCTTTTAGCAGTTCTTGTAGTGCTGGCTTGGTATTGGAGAATTCTCTTGGCATTTGTCTGAAAAAGACTTCATCTTTCCTTCATTTATGAAGCTTAGTTTCACTGTATACAAAATTATTGGCTGATAATTGTTTAAGGAAGCTAAAGATAGGACCCCAATCCCTTCTAGCTTGTAGGGAGGGCTTCTGCTGAGAAATCTGCAGTTAATCTGATATGTTTTCCTTTATAGGTTACCTGATGCTTTTGCCTCATAGCTCTTAAGATTCTTTTCTTCATCTTGACTTTAGATAACCTGATGGCTGTGTGCCTAGGTGATGATCTTTTTGTGATGAATTTCACAGGTCTTTGAGAGTCATATATTTGGATGTCTAGGGCTCTAGCAAGGCCAGGGAAGTTTTCCTTGATTATTCCCTCAAATGTGCTTTCCAAACTTTTAGATTTCTCTTATTCCTCAGGAACACCAGTGATTATTAGGTTAAGTCATTTAACATAATCCCAAACTTCTTGGAGGCTTTTTTCATTTTTTAAATGCTTTTTTTCTTTGTCTTTGTTAGATTGGGTTAATTAGAAAGCCTTTACTTTGAGCTCTGAAGTTTTTTATTCTACTTGTTTGATTATATTCCTGAGACTTTCCAGTGCATTTTGCAGTCCTTTAAGTGTGTCCTTCATTTCCAGAAGTTATGATTGTTTTTTAAATATGCTATTTCACTAGAGATTTTTCCATTCATATTCTGTATCTTTTTAAAAAATTTCTTTAAGTTGGATTTCGCCTTTCTCTTTTGTCTCCTTGTTTGGCTTAATAGTGGACCTCATGAATTCTTTTTCTGGCAATTCAGAGATTTTGTCTTAGTTTTGATGCATTGCTGGTGAGCTAGTGTGATCTTTTGAGGGTGTTAAAAACCCTGTTTTTCTCATATTACCAGAATTGTTCTTCTGGTTCCTTCTCTTTTGGGGAGACCATGTCAGAGGGAAGATCTGGGATTGAAGCGCTGCTGCTCAGATTCTTCTGTCCCATGGGGTGCTCTCTTGATGTAGTGTTCTCCCCTTTCCTCTAGAGATGGAGCTTCCTTACAGCCAAACTGCGGTGAGTGTCATTTCTCTTCTGGGTCTAGCCACCCAGCAGAGCTACTGGGCTCTGGGCTGGTACTGAGGAGTGCCTGCAAAGAGTCCTGTGATGTGATCCACCTTCAGGTTTCTCAGCCATGAATACCAGTACCTGCTCTGGTGGAGGTAGCAGGGAGTGAAGTGGACTCTGTGAACTTCCTTGCTTGTATTTTTGTTAAATGCACTTGCTTTGTGTTGGTTGGCCACAAATTCATGCTGGCCCTTTCAAGAGTGCATCAGTTGCAGTAGTATAGGGAGAATCAGGTGGTGGGCAGGGCCCTTGAGCTCCCAAGAGATTATGTCCTTTGTTTTCGGCTACCAGAGCCAGTAGAGAAAGACCATCAGGTGGGGGCAGGGCTAGGTATGTCTGAGCTCTGTCTCTCTTTGGGTGGGGTTTGCTGCGGCTGTTGTGGGAGATGGGAGTGTGGTTCACAGGCCAGTGCAGTTATGTTTCCAGAGGGATTATGGTTGCTTCTGCTATGTCATGCAGGTCCAGGGAAGTAGGGGAAAGCAGCAGCCACAGGACTCACCCTGCTCCTACGCAGCCTACAGCCCAAAAGGTTGGTCTCACTCCCACTGTGCTCCCCCAAAAGCACCAAGTTTATTTCTAGGCAGCCCATGAGCAGGGCGGAGAACTTGCCCCAGGCTACAAGCCTCCCATCTGAGAAATCAAGCCAATTCGCAGTTCCTCGGCTGTCCCACAGAGCCTGCAGCCCAGCAATCCACCTCCTTCAAAGGGTCTGTGGATTCTCTTGGCTTTCCTGTTAAGTTCCTGTGGTAGTTCTTGGAGCAAAAGATCACGATGTGGGTCTCCACACACTGCTATGTCTATCTGAGAGGGAGCTGTGAGTTAGTCCTGCCTCCTGTCTGCCATTTTTCCCTCCTTTGTTGAACATGTTTTTATTTTTCTTATGTAAATACCCAAATGTGGGAATTTTGGGTCATATAGAAAGTATGCATGAAACTGTATAAAAAGTTTCCAACTGTTTTCCAAAGAGGTTGTAACATTTTGAAGTCTTACCAACAACATATGAGAATTCTAGTTGCTTTATATCCTTGTCAACACTTGGTATTGTTTGGTATTTTGTTTCTTTTTGGAAAAAACATTTTTTAAAAAAATTAATTTATTTTTTCTAGTAGAGATATAGGGGTTCTTTAAATTTGAATAAATTTCAACCTATTCACCAGAGGACCCCAGATCATGATAATTTCAGTATAAACAAAGGGCTGTTATCATGTTTTGTAATTACAGGATATCAAAATATGTGACATAATGAAATATATGAAACAATATTTTTTCTCTTAAAAATAAATCTCAACCAGCAATATGGTGTGGAACAGAGACCAAAGTGTCCACTCCTTCCCATCTCTCCTCCTTACCACCTCACACAGAGTTTAGAAGAAATGGGATCCTTTTTGTCAGGAAACAGTGATTGTGCATATTGTATGACTGACTTCACTCTTCCTGGCAGTGGGATTTTGGCACTGGAGTCAGAGAAATTGCTAGTCCTCTTGGTTGTTTCTGTCATGGTGGAGTCATTCTGTGAGATGTTTCTTGACTGTGGTTTCCAGGGTACTGATGTGACAGAGATGCAAGTTCTCTTACTGCACTCCTTATTAAGCAACAACTTGATAGCATAGAGAGAGTTGAATGGGTTTCCAGCTCCTTCAACAGAGAAGACATTTCTTGCCAGTATTTTGGGGAGGGGAAGAAACTTCTCAGAGAATTGTTAAACAATGCTGACAGTGCTTGGATGCATTATTATTATTATTATTATTTTATAGGATTTCAGCTTAAATGAAAACCAGATTCTGTCACCTCGTTGTGGCTTTAGTTGGGGTAAAATACAACCATACTGGGCTCATCAAATCTTTCTTCTTTTTTTTAATCCAAGGCTAGTGGGAGCTAAATCCATAGAAAACAATGTTTGGTTTAGCCTCACATGTCTGGCTGGTTTTCATGCACTATAAGAAAACATTGTTGAAAATAAGAATCCTCAGTAAGGATGACTTCATGGGGTTTTGCAAGCCAGTTTAGATGGAATCAGATTATGCTGTATCTTGTTCTTCTAATCTATATTCATGTGATCTGAGGCTTACCCCTCAATAGGTTTATATAATCACCTACTGTGGGGTATTGAGAGATGGTTGCAGGCAAACAGCATCACTTGCAGTCAGCTTGGTCCCTATCCTAATGAAATCTCACAGTTGAAAAATGAGCTGGCTGTCACTGAAACAGGATCCCCATTCTCCAGCACAGGCTCACATTTCTGCAGCCTGGCTAGGTCAAGGCTGGCAACCTGGGAGATCTAGGGTACAATAGTAGAGATTAGAATGACTAGGACAAGTGAATGTACTGAATGAATAGAACAGAGGCATGAAAAAGCTCCTGAATTTCCTACTGTGTTTTGAATAATCCCTTTGGTTTAAACCGTTGAGAGGCCCAGATCAGAAATAACAACAGAGATCGAGAAACCAGGTAGATTTACAAAGAGGAATCAATACATCTAAGGAGCCCCAGGGAAATATTCCCTAACATTTTTTCTGTCACCCTTTCTTCCCAGTCTTGATTTCCAAAGGCACAGCTCCTGTGAAGCCTAAGACCCCAAAACCCTACTCTGTAAGAGAAAAGGGTGGGATTTGAGATCCTAGAGACCTACAATATAGCACCAATCCATCCCTTATTAGCTCTTGATCTAAATTCTCTGAAGATTGCTTTCCTCATCAATAAAACAGAGACTATAATCTTTAGTTGTTATGAAGATTGAATAAGAATAAATGTAAAAGTGCTTTTTAAAACATGGAACAAGGAACAAATATTTGTTATAGAAAGACACTGGAAATGAGCCTTCACAGACACCTCACCACCTGCTCACCTTACAAAGGAGGAGACTGAAACTCCAGAAATAAAATAATTTCTCCATGAAGATTTGCATTCAATCCTTGCAACTCTGGGTTCTCTTTGTAGTTCTATAATTAAATGACTTATCCCCTCCCGTGATTTGATGTGTGGCTGCTTTACTGGTAATGACAGAGTCTACTTTCAACATGCCCTCTCTCCCTCTCCTCTTCCTTGTTAGCAAGTATCTTGTCAGGATTAACAGAAATGGGTGATGAACGAGGACTAGCTAGGCAGAAAGCTGCCCAGGTCATAATACCTGCAGCCCCCGCCGGCACCCACGAGGGCTATCACTATAACTCAGAGGCTGTGGCTATAGAAAGGTCCTTCTGTCTAAATTCTGTGAGTGCTGTGAATGTGGAGTTCTCATCCACAGTTGAGAACAGGACTCTCAAATTAAGGAGCACAGATCCTCTGGAATCTGTAGATGTAAAATCAAGAGATGACGCCTTTCCTTGGAATACACACCACACACACACACACACACACACACACACACACACACACACTTTAATAATCTTAACAAAAGTTTTGGCAGTTAGAAAGATAATAGATCCTTCTTGTCATAATTCTTAGTGAGGAAGTATGTTCCTGTAATTGGACTGGTTTCATGAGACCATGAACTCCAGGGTTCCATGAATGTATTCTGCAGGGTGTAGAGAATTTCTTTCCTTTATAAGGGATCTTTCTATTATTCAAATTTTAGAAACACTGTGACACATCTGGGATGGTTTATTGCAGAGCTTAAAAATACAAACATAACTTGAAATTTGTTTTTTGTTTTTAATCTTATACTGTAGTCCAAGACTGTTCTAGAGCATCAGTTATAGATTATAACCCTCCCCTGCGAAACCTCGGAACACCTCTTCCTATAACACGTGGTACTTCCTTTGTAAACTGTAAAGTACCCCCATAAATATTTTCTATGGGCATAAAAAATTTGTTATTGCAGTTATGGGCCTCTACTGCAAATCTAATATTTTACTGAATTACAGCAGGAATTAATCTTGATTTATCACATAGGTTGTGCAAGAAATGTCTTGTTACTATATATATATATATATATATATATATATATATATATATACACACATATATATATTTCAAATGTCTTGTTACTATATATAAATATATATATATATATATTTCAAATCGAATTAAATCAGACTCCAAGTCTCCATGATAGGAAGATGATGGACACATGAAACAGCTTGACTGGGCTCCACCCCCAATAGTGCAGAGGTCTCAGGGACCACATGATGCCCATGATTCTGGAAGTCCTCTACGGACCTCATCTCCAGGCACCACTGAGATGCTTTTGGTCCAAGAGTCCATGACCCCTTGAGCTTGGAAGCACCAACATATTTATACCACTTAAGGCACCTGAGTCTTCGCTGAGACCTTGAGCCCCTAGGCCTGGGTCTGACCTGCCTGATTATGCCGAGCTGTCCTTTCCTTGGAGGCCCAGCCCCCTTTTCAGGAGGGATGAGGGAGCTGGCCATGAGTTCTTTTCACCACTGTGGAAGTCAGGGAAAAGCAATGCTTCTGAGCCAACACTGTACATTGTTCCTCTTCCCATTACATGTTTAGTCCTCAAAGGCCCTCCTCTTTCACCTTCCTTTCTGAGATACCAAGTTGATTCCCCATAATACATTTAAGCATGGTGAAATTGAATCTTTGAAATTCAGAGCCGTCATTTTACTATATTTACTTTCCTCAAGTTTGTTGTAACTCTGAGACCCAGTGCTTCTGGATTGAATCTTAGGGGTTATGGGGGTTCTTCTTCTTTCTTTGGATTGCACAAGAACAGAGGAAGCTTACATGGAAACCATACAATGTTGGAGGGACCTCTGATCTGTGGTCCACTATGGTTACCATTAACCACTTGAGGGTCCAAAGCTGTGGTTGGGGCTTAGAAACATTTCTGAGGAGAAGAACCCTTATGTCCAGATGCAGCTACCTTCAGAGTACCCTATCCTTTCTATCTTGGGATAGAAACTCTAGTACTTCTCTGGCTTATGAAGGCAAAGCCAACCACAGGGCCCAGTGACTCACAGGATCCTGTATCTACACCCCTTCCAAAGTCTGAGAATCCTTTCCTCTCTCTCCTGCTGCCTGCAAGAGCTCTCACTTCTCTTCCTGTTTTTCCAGCCTAATTTCAGGCAATGGAGCACAAAGGCCAGCTCTCTACTTGGAATGGAGTGGAAAAACAGAGAGCACAAACAGTAAGTAATATTTAGGGGAATTCCCCTTCCAGAGACTTCTAAGGAGAAAGCTAGAGAGATTAAAGTGTGTTTTCCTGCTTAGAATGTGGGGGTAAAAGTTGAAAATAGACGATCACAAATGCAAATGTATAGTTCAATAAATAATGCTGCACCCATTCATT